>NC_000003.12:65464545-65767575 GCF_000001405.40 Homo sapiens | reverse complement strand
AAGGATGAATGTCTTTGAGCTTTCTAAATACTATAAAACTATTCTCCAATTTAGGATGACAGGAATTTTGAAAATGCTTTGAGTAAAGTCTTTATTTATTTATTTATTTTTCTTTTTTCTTTTCTGTGTTTTTAGTAGAAACGAGATTTCACCATGTTGGCCAGGCTGGTCTCGAACTCCTGGCCTCTAATGATCTACCTAATGTGGCCTCCCAAAGTGCTGGGATTACAGGCATGAGCCACTGCCCTGGCCTAAAGTCTTTATTAAAAAAAAAACTAAACTGTGGGTGAGTCAGAAAGAGATACTATATATAATTTTAGATCTGTAAGAAATATAATAGAACTTGGGGGATAACACTCTTGCTTGGGTCAGGCAGGTAAGTTAAATGTGTGAATAGGTGATTATTGATAAATAGAGAGGCAGACTTGATGATCTGGAGAGTTCATGCTAGCCAGACAGAACATGTGTGCAGATTGATTTTGCGTGTCATGATTCTGTCATTCCTGCTACCTAATCTAGACCATGCACTTATGTAAGAAAAAAGAGAGAGAAATGGAAACTCAGAGAGGGCAATATGACCTGCCCAAGACGGTAGTTTGTTACCAACCAAATTCGGACTAGAACCCAAGCATCTTTTATCCTCAGGCTAGTGTGCTTTCTCTTATTCTGTTGTTATTATTACTATTTGAGATGGAGTCTCGCTCTGTCACCCAGGCTGGAGTGCGGTGGTGTGATCTCGGCTCACTGCAACCTCTGCCTCCCAGGTTTAAGCGATTCTCCTGCCTCAGCCTCCTGAGTAGCTGAGATTACAGGTGCCTGCCATCACACCTGGCTAATTTTTTATTTTTAGTAGAGACAGGGTTTCACCAGATTGGCCAGGCTAGTCTCAAACTCATGACCTCAAGTGATCTACCTGCCTTGACCTCCCAAAGTGTTGGGATTACAGGCGTGAGCCACCGCACCCAGCCTCTTATTCTGTTATAATAATGACTGTGATTAAGATAATTCTTGCGGCCAAGGGCCGTGGCTCATGCCTGTAATCCCAGCACTTTCGGAGGCCTAAGCAAGCGGATCACCTGAGGTCAAGAGTTTGAGACCAGCCTGACCAACATGGAGAATAGCTGTACAATCCCTTGCAACGTAGTTTCGAATTTCTATTATCCACATCCTCTTTGGAAACAATCTAGTTTATGTTCCTCCTAAAATATGGTACCCGGAAAGAATCACAATAGCTTGGGTATATTCTAGCTGTTGTCCACCAGGCCAGGAATTGGGACTCCTTCTCCCTTGTTCTATATAACATACTACATTGAATGTAGCCTTAGCTTATTAAACTCCCGATTTCTGAGTTGAAGAAGGTATCCCCCACTTTACCCAAATGAAGTTTTTTTGAAGATTAGTTTGTTGACTTGTGCCTTATATATAGAAAGAGCTGTGCTAAATCTGTGAGTTTTAATTAATACCAAATATGTTAGGAAGGCAAATGTAAATATCCATAGCTGTTAAATAAACAAGCAGGAAAATGTTAGGGATACTTTAGTCCTGCCTACTCATCTCAACTTAATAAGCAGGGAGAAGAAAGCCACAGATGGGACCGAGGCTGGGATGATCAGATGAAATTATTTAGTTAGGTCAGCAGATGTTTTGGTGACACTACCAGGGTTCACAAATGTTTTAAAAATTTAGGCAGATATTGCAGAAAGTGACTTTTGTATAGGAAGAATCATTGCCTTGCTTAGAAGCAAGATTGAGAAAGACAGAGAAATCCGAAAATGGCAACCCATGTTGAAGACTGTCCATTGACTCATATAATGGAAATATCAGTAGATTTCATGGGGAAGGAATCACTAGCATTCCCCAGCCAGTGATTAAGTTCTTTACAAAATTAATTCCAAAAGGCCATACAGCCTCTGGTTGAATATTTCTAAAGAGCAGGAGCTCAAACTTCTCAAAGCAACTTAAGGTTAGAGGAAAGGCACCACAGCCTCATGTATCTGGTATTAGGTTGTCCTGGGCCCGAATCCTGACTCTTCCAACTCTCTAGCTAAACGACTTTGGATAAATGACTTCAATGTTTTAAAATTCAATTTTCTTTATTATGTAAGGTAGAGTAGTACACCTCTCCTAAGTTTGTAAAGGGCATTAATGAGACTCTGGAGCTTAATAAGCAGTGGAACATTGGTTTCTTTATAGTTGTCCCGCCAGTGCCACAACCAAATGCTTGGCCTTACCTCAAATAAAAAAGTGCTTAGTGGCAATCCTGTTATGGGATCATGGGATCAGTAGCCTTTCCCCTCCTTTGGTAAAGGTTCATTCCCAAAACCAGACCTATAAGTAGGATTCATTGTCTTTGCCAAATGTTTTTATTCTACAACAGTTGATCACATATGTTATACTTTTAATGGGAACAGGCAAGTCAGATAATGTTAGATAAATTCTGTAGCACTGAGGACACCATGTTAGGTGCCATCCATTGACTTCCATGATGGGAAGGATGCATTCCTTACCTTGGGGACACAGGCCCTTTATGAAAATCAGCCTCACTGTTAGGTTGACTTAATTTAGTTCCTATAATTTCTTTAATGATTGTATCCATTTTTCTGCCATCTTCTTGGTTCAGTGCTGAAACCCCAGAAAATTAGTACATAGTCTGTTGCCATGTCACTTTGTGAGCCAAGTGAAAAAGGACAAAACAAGCGGTTCTGTTTTTAAATATCTAGGAGAAATCAACAAGCTTCAGGCATATACTGAATCTGTGTGTTTACGCCTATGCTTATTCCAGAAACTAAAATAATTTCTGAAATTCCTTTCAAAAAGCCAAGTTAAATGACACGACTTTCTCACTGTATTCTAAAGAAGATGCTTAAAGAAAAAAAAAGAAAAAGAAAAAGGAAGCTGATTTATGGTGGATGGTAGATGTCTGCTGTCTGCTTTTGATGAATTTTTCCCCTAAGCATTCTGTAGAGTGAGGTGATCTTTCCAAAAGGCCTCAGCTGTCAGCCTTTTTTAAAACTTTAAGGTAAATTGAACTTTGATTTAGAGTAAAAAGTGAAGAACCAAATTAAATAAACTGATGTTCCTTTTCTTCTAAAATGTTGGTTCTTTTGAAAACATAGCAAACATAGTAAAATAGAATATCAGCAACCCTTGCAATGTCAGAGCTAGACATCCAGCTTTTCCTTTCCTTTTTGAATAGTGGGGGAGAGGGGAGTGGACAGGAGTGGGAGAAGCATAGAGAATGAATCACAACCATAAGTAATATCATGCTGGCTTGCTTTACATTTTTACCTGAGAATCTCTTGATCATTAAGTATCATGCCATTTTCACGTCTACATTCTTTTTTATGGTGGGTGGGTGGGTGTGGAACTAGAAATTTTTATTACTGTATTTAAGGATTTCATGTTGATCATAAAAGGAAACGGAAGACCATAGACCATGTTAATACCCAAACTATAATTCTTTTGAACAACAAGGTTTTTTTTTTTTTTTTCTTTTTTTCTTTTGAGACAGGGTCTTGTTCTGTCATCCATGCTGGAGTGCAGAGGTATGGTCTTGGCTCACTGCAACCTCCACCTCCGAGGGTAAAGTGATCCTCTCACCTCAGCCTCCCCAGTAGCTGGCACTAAAGGTGCCAGCGACCACACCTGGCTAATTTTTTTATTTATTTGTAGAGATGGGGTTTCTCCATGTTGCCCAGGCTGGTCTTGAACTCCTGTGCTCAAGTGATCCTCCCGCCTCAGCCTCCCAAAGTGCTGGGATTACAGATATGAGCCACTGTGCCTGGCCTCAGGATTTTCTTTTATTTATTTCTTTTTTTTTTTTAAAAGCACTTGTGCGATATGAAATATGCCTATGCTTCCACCTAGAAGACTGTGCTATTTTGTTACCATTAGTGTAGGGAAATGCTTATGCGCACAGATATCCCATTCAGACAGTCTGGGTTGGAATCCAGCCCTTGTGCTTAGCAGCTTTGTGACTTGGGAACATTATTTTTTTTCTTTATGCCTCAGTTTTCTGGGGTTGTTTTGAGGATTAAATGAGTTACTATAGAAAAAGTGCTTGATAAGTGATGTGTGCTATGTAAATGTTGTTATTGTAGGATAGGCAAACTTTTACCTTCACCTTCCTAGTTTTTTTCAGCCAGGCCTGAGAATTAAAGCACTGTGAGAGTCACAGGAGAAAAGCTTACAAATTTATGTAATATAAGTCTTTTGTGACATGGGAACCCTTATATGGAAATATAGATCTAAGGAAGTGGCAAAACCTAGATACTTTTATATTTGGTTGAACACAGAGAGGCAATTCTGGAAAAGTAACTGAATTATGTAGGGAGAATGAAGGAAGGTAAGAATTATTTTAACAAGGTCTGTTTATACAGAACTCTCTTGGTCTCAGCTTCCCATCCTTGATGATACGAATGTGACTTTCCTACTAGTATAGGGAGGATACTTGCACATGGGGGTTTTATCACTGCTTTCAGGAAGGAAAAGAGTGGGGTCAGAGAGCCTCTTGCACTGCAGATATCCCCTTGAATGGCTGTTCCCCAAAGTAGTAGTGATGGTTCAAAAAATGTACCATCCCTACTTTGGGAAACAGGTGTTGTTTCCATTATTGGTTCCAGATTATGTTGCAATGAATATCCTTGTATATAAAGTTGTGCCTGCATTTAGACCACATTCTGGAAGTGGTAGAGTGACGCTTGTATGAATTACTGTGCAGACCAGAGTTTCAGTCCTATCTGAGCCACTTACTAGCTGTGTGACCTTTTGAGATACTCAATTTCTGAGGACCTCAGTTTCCTCATCTGTAGAACAGGAAAAACAGTAATACCTATGTCAGTGGGTGGTGTAAGAATTCAATGAGAAAATCATGTAGAGGACTTAGCAGAGTGCCTAACCTATAATAACACACCCATGTTATATAACTAAAGAAACAAATAGAAACAAAGTAATTATTGTTACTGATAGCATTTTTGTTTCCCTGGGCCCTGCTTATGATTCTCCAGTGAATGAACAAATGAACAATGAGTAGTTCACCCTTTTCTTGGGATCATTATAATGTAAAATAATGATGGCATCCTTTGGAGATCTGTGTGTTTTTTCTTCCTGTTTTTTTTTTCCGCCTTCCCATTCTTTGTACTTCACTTGTCCACCTGCTGTGCAGTAATGAGATTCGTAGGAGAGGCTGGTGTTCGGAGAATGAATTAATGCCTTGCAAGTCGCCTCTGCTACATGTATCTCCTTTATCATCACTAACCAACTATTTAGACTTTCAAAATCTGAGAAGGAAGAAATGGGTGTTCAAGGAGCTGAACTGTTAGTGGGACCCACTTCAGGAGGCATTTGTGATTCTCGTTGGAGGGGGAAAGGAACCACTTGAGCTGTGATTGTTCATAGACTGCCCTCCTGGCAGGCGCTGGGTGCTGGAAGTGGCTTATACCTAGTGAAATGCAGCCATTCTGGGGTATTGTGAGCCCTGGATAGTGAGTTACCATAAAGAAAAAATGAGGCAGTTCCCACCCCCACCCTGCTGACCTCCTGAAAACTTTTTAGGCTCTTACTCCAGTCTGCTCTATTGAGGTGTGGATATGGAAGGGTTAAGCAGTCCCCATTTTGTGTCTATTTAAGCCCATTTAAGAACAAGATGGAAAATGCAGCTTTTCATCTTGTCAGGACCATTTTTCATTTCTCACAGTACCATCCCCACACCTGACGTGTTTTCACAAGCACTTGGGAGCTCAGCAATCCTTGAAGGGAGGGTGGAGATGAAACAGATCACATTCCCTAGTGAGTGGTACTGAGAGGCAAAAACAATCAGTTTTACCTGCAGCCATCATGGGCATCTGTTTTCTGTGATTAACACGAAATTGTGCATTCTAGGTTCATTCTCGGCTGGTTAATGAGGAACCCGCTGGCTGATGGAATAAAGACTTCTTTTGTGGCATTGTGCATTTGGTTTGTGGCTGGCTTGAAACAAAATGGCTTGCTCCTCTTAACCTCCCTGCGTTTGCCACTAGAAAAGAGACAGACATAAAAGCGTTTGGAGAGGTTAGAAATGAAACCTCATGTAATTACTGTAGGAAATGGCTTAACGTTGTTGGAATTTAGCATTTTGCTGCAGTTCTGAAGAGTCCTTACTTGACAAGACTGGTACTAGGTCTATTGGAAATATAATTTATCCTTTATAAAAATGTCTAACAGTATTCTTCATTTGACTCCATTTGTCCTCTTTAGTTGGGCAGGACAAGAATCTTCCATTTTAATCTCGTATCTGATAATTATTACCCTGTAATTTAGTTCACAATCAGGTGGCAAATGTGTATGGATGTTAAGTTGGGATGTCTGAGAGCTGTTTTCCCTAAAACATACCATCTTTTGCCTAGTACATCCCAGGGCGCTCTGGAAATTGAATGTGCCTGGTGAAAGTCAAGAGGACTTGAAGATTCCAGATCACATAAGTTGTTCAGCTGCATCTATCCTGTGGAAGGGTCCCCTTCTTTCATCCTCAGATATCTGCGTAACTTCAGTGTTTGGGATCTCTGATTCTGTCTTCAGGGTACCTATCCGTCTATGGGCGCTACATATGTTTAAAATGGCAAACAAGCTCATTGCATGCAAAGACTCTTTCCTGCCTACCTCTACCCCTTGTTTCAAAGAAGTGTTTCTACGAAGCCTCCCTCTGACTGGCCATCTCAGGAGTGTGGTTTCTTTCCCTCCTTCTCAGATGGGTCTCATCTGTTGAGATTTTATGTTGATGAGAACTTCCTTAAACCCTGTTTTTCACTCTTCTTCTATCATAAGGCAGTGTTGTGTGGTAGCTAGGGACAGAGGCTTTGCGGCCTGACCATCTGGGCTCAAATTATAACTCTAGGCTGGGCCAGTGGCTCGTGCCTGTAACCCTACCTCTTTGAGGACCAAAGGAAGAGGATCACTTGAGGCTAGGAGTTTGAGACCAGACTGGGCAACATAGGGAGACCCCGTCTTTACAACAAATAAAACAATTAGTTGGGCGTAGTGGTGTGTGCCTGTATTCCTGTCTTATGTTGCTATCTATTCCTATCTTCTATATTCCTGTGTTCCTGTCGCTTGAGCCTAGGAGTTTTAGGATGCTGTGAGCTATGAGTGTGCCACTGCACTCCAGCCTGGGTGACAGAACAAGACCCCATCTCTTAAAAAAAAAAAAAAAATTACCGCTCTGTTACTTCCTTGCCGTGTGACCTTGGGCAAGTTTCTTATCCTTTCTGGTCCCCAGTTTCTTCCTTTTAAAAAGAGAATAATAGTAGTAACTGCCTCTTAGAGCAGTATCTAGTGTGTCATAAACAATTATTAATCAGCAGACATTTATTGTGAACCTCCTGTGAGCTAGACATAGAGCTGGACATTATAAAGGAGGACGGGGAGGAGGAGGAGGAGGAGGAGGAGGAGGAAGTTGAAGACAATGATGACAACAATCATAGTAACAGTGGTTAGCATTTATTTTCCATGTGCAGTATTCCAGACCCTATGTTGAGAGTTTGACCTGCATTATACCATTTGACTTCCAACACAATTCTATTACATGAAGGAAATACTTTCGTGCTCTCCAATTTTTGCTCAGGAAAGTGAAGGTTAGAAAGGTTGTGTAGCTTTCTAATAGTCAGGGCTAGTTACACACTAGAGCCAAAATTTGAATCCAGGCTAATTCTAGAGCCCCGAATCTTAATTTCAGTGCTATATCACTCAAATAAAAATGGGCCCCCTTTTGAATCTTTCTCACCTCTTCACTACCTCTTTAAATAAGGAGGTATAGACTCTATCAGTTTTACTGGAACACATCTCACATTCAAGCACAAACTTGTTAGTCCCAGCATTGCCCCATGACGTTGAAATGAAGACCTTTCTTTTATGCCTTTAATAACAGAAAAGGAAATAAATGCAAGTAAATGTTCAAGACTTCTGTTTGTTCGGTCTTGTGCTCCATATAACTTGAAATCAGCCTCTTCTACCCCCCACCCACTGCTGCTGGCTGAGATAGATAGTATTTTGCAGTAGATGCTTTTTTTGTATGTTGGGTTTTCTATCCCAACCTTTTGGTTGCTTGCTTAAATACTGTTCTGGTATAATGACACACATTGTCCTGAGATCCCAGTAATAAGAATAACAAGAGCAGCTGCCTTTTCTAGTTGAGTGCTTCTTTTGTGCTAAGCACAGATGTAAGGAACATTATCTCCTCTATTCCTCACAACACATCCCCATTTTATAGATAAGGAGACTGGCACTTAGGCGGGTTAAATGACATCCATGAATATATGGCATTGGATGAGATGGTTACAATTTTAGCAGCTCAGTTCAATATTTTAAAAACTGTCCTAGAGGAGGGCATCATGTATTGAGAAGAACAACACTAAAATTAGGGACTTGATCCGATTCCTTGCTCTCCTGCTAACCCATCGGGAGACACTAGATAAGTTGCTTTTGACTTCCTTCAGTTTCACTTTCCATTTTTTTTTTTTTTTTTTTTTTTTTTTTTTGCACTGGGCCTAACAGTTCTCCTTTCTGGGGCTGTGGTAAAGAAAATATGTATGAGATCATATATGAGAAAGCTTGCAAGGATTAGATGGATTTAACATTTGAATTCTAACATTCACCAGCATATATGTTCCTTGAGTATCTTATTTTTAAAATGTGGGGACTAAGTAAACATTTGCCTATTTTTCAGAATTCTTGGAGGTGTTTGTTGGAGTCAGTAAAGAGTTTGGAGTCAGAAAGTTTACGTTTTTGAGAAACACTGCCCTCATTGAATGAAGGCAACAAAAATATTATTAATTGATTTCTCACAGTTTCTCAACCTTGCCATATTTGAGGCCGAATACTTCTTGTTGTAGGGGCTGTCCTGTGCATTGTAGGGTATTTAGCAGTATCCCTGGTCTCTACCCACTAGATGCCAGTAGCATCCTCCATTTGTGACAACCAATAATGTCTCCAGACGTTGCCAGATGTCTCCTGGGGCATGATATTCCCCCCCAGTTGAGAACCGCTGCTTTGGGAATATATATTGGAAATTAATTTACTTAACATATTATGAATATGCTGCAGACTGGGTAAAATGTGATAACGGGAATGTATGGGCAGTTTGCAAAATCTGGCTCACTGAGGACCAGAGTGCTATTTTCAGAAATGAGCTCCAAGTGATTAAAAGAAAAGAGCAGTCAGACTGGATGTCTGATATTTGGGTAGTTTTGAATATAATAAAATCAACAGTGTAAGTAAGCATCTTTGAAAAGGACGAATGACCTTTCTCTTTCTCCTTTCCCCGAGTTTTGTTTGTAAGCTTTATTTCTCTCCCCAGATGCTCCGCTTTATGTCTTGCTGTGGAAAGGTGATTGGCTCAACAGCTCCATTCTAGGGGGTCTTTTCTGCACCTCTCTGAAAAGAACCAACTAGGACTGGGAGATTTATCTCCTCGAGTCAACAGACCTTTGAAGTCAGCGAGTGTTGTTGTTGTTTTGGTTAGAACCCAGTTAATTTGACCCTAGGATTTGAGGTGCCTTAGAGCTCTGTGTGTGTAAGATGCTGTGACATCACAGAAATGGGTCTCTCAAGCCAGTTTTTCCTGAAGGAAGTTTCTGGAAAGAGAAGAAATGCTCTAAAGTATCTCTCTAGAGAAGATTATGTGTCTCTATTGTTTAAGGGAAATTGGGTGATACATTTAGTTAAAATTGAAGTTTGTCTTGCTTTCTAAACCAATGAATGTCTTAACTTTATAAACCAGAGAAAGCAGAAATGAGTACTTAATTTCTCAAATAATTTATTTTAGGATTTCTTTCTTTAAATCATGTGGCTGACAAACCTAAAAGTTGAAGCAGTTAATAGTTCCTGCATAAACTGAAACACTTCTGAGAAGATGGTTTAAGTCATTAGGAGGGTATGGTTCTATTTATAGAAATTAATAATTTATTGAGATGAAGTCTGGCTCTGTTGCCCAGGCTGGAGTGCAATGGTGTGATCTTGGCTCACTGCAACCTCTGCCTCCTGGGTTCAAGCAATTCTCCTGCCTTAGCCTCCCAAGTAGCTGGGATTACAGGTGTGCACCACCGTGCCCAGCTAATTTTTGTATTTTTAGTAGAGATGGGATTTCGCCATGTTGGCCAGGCTGGTCTTGAACATCAGGTGATCCACTTGCCTCAGCCTCCCAATGTGTTGGGATTACAGGCGTGAGCCACCATACCCGGCCAGAAATTTAATTTATGGTACATTTTTGAAAAATGTGACCACTGGTTATATAGCTACAATGGAGTTTATTGTAAAATTTCAGAAAACCTCTTTTCTATAGAAGGTCCCTGGCCTCCAGTTTTGGTCCTCTGGAATGGTTATAAGTCAGTGCTTCTTGTGCCCTCAAACTCAGTGAAAATTAAAAGAGTTAACATAGACAATCAAATATATTTTTCTCTCCAAGTTACTGTTAAAAAGTAGCAAATGGAAAGCTACATAATTTGAGAAGGGCTCTTGAGTGATTTTATAAACCTCCCGGCAAGGAGGTAGCAACCCAAAGCTGTGATAGATTATGAGATTCTGCAGTATGTTTTCTTAAGTGTCTGAAAAGAATTATTTCAGTATGGTATTTGAGTTATTTTCTTTAACTAAAATACTTTCAAATTTGGCATTCCGTGTATGGGTTCAGATGTAAGTTCATTACCAGAGGAATTCTGTTTTTCATCAGGGATAGGTAATAAAGTGTCTTCCTTGTATGATGGTGTGTTTGTGTATGTGGGTATTCTGTTGTTTTAGTTGAGGCTGTATAGCTTTCATTTTAACTCTATTCTCTGAACACTCTGTATTGAAGGTAAGACTGTCTCCTGATGACTTCCGAATATGTCATCTGGAAATATGACTGTAATTTTTCATAAAGGTAGTTTACAGGAAGAGACTGTGGCACCATAATGCACTTCAGAGTGTGTACAGTTGGCAAAGGACATATCTCAGGATGTACAGAGATGCTTATGAAAGACTTGTTACAGTAGAGACCTCTGCTGACACCAGGAGCCAGACGCTGGGATGAACATATATCATTTATAAAGCCATGCTCCTGTTCTGTCTTAGGGCAGGGTTTTATTTAAATAAGCAGGGTCCCCATGAGAAGTATGACCTTTGCTCATGTTTTTATGAGCTATTTAAAGTGTTCTAAATTTACTAGTACATGCAACTTTTACCGAAATCTTGCAGCTTCTCTTTTCTTTAGATCCCCATCACTTGTGAGAACATTGTTCTCATCCACACCGACATGCACCACCATTTAACTTATTTATGCTGTGTAAAAATGCACACAATTTTTTTCCCCACTGGCCATCTTTAGAAGAGTTTAGTCTCTAACTCTTTATTTTTTTCTCAGGGATCCACTAAGTGGAAAACTACATCAAATTGTCCCTTTTCTTCTCTGTAAGAGGGGATCAATTACAGAGCGAACTAAGTTGGAAAAGAGAGAAGTCTATAAGCCCCGACACGATAATTTTTAACTTCACGAACATTGTGTAGTTGTTCCCAGTTATAGAAAATCTTTGGAATCTTTCATTGTGAAAGTTGAAATTATTTTAAAGACTTAAGGGGAGAGCTTATCTAGAAGTAAGAAATGGTTAAGACTATGAATTTGAAATGTAAGTGATCAGAAATGACAGATTTTGATTTATCTAGGTTTAGATTATTCAGTGTTTATATTGCAGCATGATAATGCATAAGGTTGCCTGCAGGGTAACAGTTTTCTTAAATTAGAACTATCTGAAATGAGTTGGCATGAGGTTAATAAGATTTTATTTTAATAATAATGGTAACTTTGCAGAATAGCTGTTGCCTGAATTTTTTTTAGGCTTACTCAATTGTGGGTAAGTTAGTTTCATTATTCACATGAGAAAATACTACAGCATTATGCTAACCTTCCTGAAGGCCATAAACATATATAGTTGTAACCTTGGGTCTCATTTACATTTTCTTAGAAGACTTATTCATTTTATATGCCTATGTGTAAATTCCTACCACTTGATGCTGAATCCTATCACAGACTGTCTAGAAGAAATGAATTCTAATTACCACCCCCACTGTTCCCTTGCCCCCGAAGTACTCTATACAAAATAGTGATTTTTAATTCAGATACACTTTCACATGCTTGAGTGAATATTCTGATATCAGAGACCAAAGGTATAGAGCAAAGAGTATGGGTTGGATCATATCAGATATGACCCTGAACATGTCTGAATGACTTAAGCTTTCTAAGCTTTTTCTCTTTGATTGTCAGAAATAACTACCTCCTTGGGTGAATTGTAAACATTAGCTGATATAATGCAAATGTACTATTTGTGGCCGAGC
The DNA here is from genome assembly GCF_000001405.40 of Homo sapiens. Lineage (NCBI taxonomy): Eukaryota > Metazoa > Chordata > Mammalia > Primates > Hominidae > Homo > Homo sapiens. The sequence goes on along the minus strand of NC_000003.12, from coordinate 65,755,239 downwards.
GCGGTGGCTCACACCTGTAATCCCAGCACTTTGGGAGGCTGGGGCGGGCAGATCACCTGAGGTCAGCAGTTTGAGACCAGCCTGGCCAACATGGTAAAACCCTATCTCTACTAAAAGTACAAAAATTAGCTGGGCCTCGTGGCACGCGCCTGTAATCCCAGCTACTAGGGAGATAGGAGAATTGCTGGAACCCAGGACATGGAGGTTGCAGTGAGCCAAGATCACACCACTGCACTCCAGCCTTGGTGACAGAGTGAGATTCCATCTCAAAAAAAAAAAAATTTAAAAAATAATAAATAAATAAATATACTATTTGTGGTGTAACAGTTATTTAATTGGCCAGCCCCTTCCTCACCTCTCTTTGTATGAAAGATAACTTCCTTTTAAACATAGAAAACTAGCTGATACTTACTCCAAATTAAGTTTAATCTCCAAGATTTAGTCTCCGATTTGGACAGTAATCCAAACTGGTTGGCTAAGATGTTGCCATATGTTCATTTGTAACTTGGCATATTTGGTTTGAAATAGTGAGAATAAACTATTTGAAAACCCAGTGGGCCTTCTCCAAAGCTTTGGTTCTTTTAGCTGCCTAAAACTAGCACTGCCTTTAAGGGGAAAACCCAGTGTACACGAAACTATTTTCCTTAAGACATTGCCTTTGAAAGTGGCAGTGATAAAAAGGCAGGCTCAACATCAGAAAGTGAATCATGAAATACATCTAATAAGATACTTGTTTCAAAGGCTTATGGAATAACTTTCTTGATCTTGAAAAGTGATATTACACACAGAAATCTGGGGACCAAAACAAGTGAGTGAGCATAAAATGAGCACAGGAATGAATTTTCCTGTGCCCTATAAGTCCTTGATAGATGTTTTAGATAGTTATTTTTTCCTTTCTTCAGTAATTAGCTCATTATTTTTTTCCTACATCACTTGAATGAGGATGGAAATTAATCGTAAATGTGCCATTGTTTTTACATCAGATCGTGGCATATTTGCTTGATTCTTTGTTGCGGTAATCAAAATTCTGTCTCTCAGTGATAAGAAGGAATTGTGGATTTTGCTTTTATCCTTTAAAATCATTGGTAAAAAGTCACTATATTTTAGCAATATCTATCATGTGATAGATTTCAAGCAAACAGAAAATGAGGATGGGGAATTGAAGAAAGTTCTTTGGGAATCCCTAAGATCAATGAGAAAGATTTTGTATAATTATAACTAATGCAGAGGGCACAATAAGTTATTCATTCTTTACACACTGTGTTCAGTCAGACATTCTCTACAGTCTATACCTGCAGCTGTGTGGTCCTTTCCCATGCCTATGATCCGAAAGTTAGGTGGTTCGCTCCTTCTGGGCCCTTCTGCTTTTCCTAGAATTTCAACTTTACTTTTCTTTCTCCTGGATATTACTTCCTGGGAGGCAGTTTTGTGTGGTGATTAAAAGAATGGGCTTTGGAATCAACTTGCCTGGGGTTGAGTCTAGACTCTTTCACTTGCCAGCTACATAACATGGGTACAGATTACTTTTTTTTTTTTTTTTTTGAGATGGAGTTTGTGGTGGTGCGATCTTGGCTCACTGGAACCTCTGCCTCCCGAGCTCAAGTGATTCTGCTGCCTCAGCCTCCCGAGTAGCTGGGATTACAGGCATGTGCCACCACGACTGGCTGATTTTGTATTTTTAGTAGAGATGGGGTTTCACTGTGTTGGTCAGGCTGGTCTCGAACTCCTGAACCTCAGGTGATCCTCCCGCCTCGGCCTCCCAAAATGCTGGGATTACAGGCGTGACAGATTGCTTTTTTAACTCTTAGTTTCTTTACCAATAAAATGGAGATAATAACCATACTCAGTTCATAGGTGTTTTTGGTGAAGATTCAGTGAGATAATATGCAGGAGAGTGCTTCGTATTGGTGTTTTTCTCAGCTTTCTCATTGGGTTGATGATGGCAGAGTGTCTATAATACCACAAATTCTGACGAGCCTGGACAGTTTAGGTCTCACAAAGTGAGCTGAGTGTGTGTATTTGCAATGCATCCCTGTGGTTCTCGGGCACTCAGTTTCAGTTCAGGATATACAGATCTTCCCAGATTTTCTCATCTCGGTCTCTGCCATCTTTGGTGTTGCACTATGACGTAAGTTCCTCCTTCTTTCCCTATTTCTCTTTTAGACATTGTTGAGGAAAAAAATCATTCTGACACTTGTCAAAATGGTCAGGAAGACTTTACTGAGGACTGCTGTAATAGGGGTATTACAGTAGAGGAGGGAGATCAGGCTCAACTTTGAATACAGCCAGGACAAGTGGGATTTATAGCTAATGAGCAAGGGAGGGTGTGAGGGGAGGTCAGTGGGTGGAAAATGACTAAGAGGAGATATCAGAGGTAGAAAGATTTTGGCTGCACTGACCTAACAGGATTCTTGCTGAAAGCAGGCCAAGATGATAAGATGTCAAGGATTGAAGTCGGGGTGGGATATGACTGAGTAGGATTCTTTGCTAAGACTGGGCTGGCCAGCCAAAGACAGGACAGGGGTTAAGGTTGAGGCCTAGTCCAAAAAGAGGGCTCATAGGAACCAGACTAAAGTTTGATCAAGTAGAGAGTCTTTGTGAACACACATCAAGGCCTTGTCCTCAACCAAAAATACATGCCTGCATGACACCATAACCTTAGTAGCTTGCTTCTGTATGCTTAGAAATTATACCTCTGAGATTATAGATGTAATTTTACAAGATTATTTTTAACGTTTTGTGGAGAACAACCATTTTGGATTAATTATGTCATTAATTTTGACATTAAATTACATTGATTTGATTGGTTACCAATTATAAAGCACTTTCCCATGCATTATTTTATTTATTCCTCACACCAAACCTAAGTAGGCATTTCCTCATCTTATAGAAGAAAATTAAACCTTAGAGAGGCTAAGTTACTTACCTAACACCATATTAAAGTAAACAACAGAGGCTGAGTTTTGAATCTGATCTTAAAGCTACTTCTAAGTATCTTTGCAGTGGGTCACTCTTGTAATCCCAGCACTTTGGGAGGCCAAGGAGGGCACGTTGCTTGAGTGCAGGAGTTTGCAACCAGCCTGGACAACATGGTGAAACCCTGTTTGTACAAAAAATACAAAAAAAAATTTAGCCAGGCCTTGTGAGTTGCGCCTGTAGTCCCAGCTACTTGGAGGGGCTGAGGCGGGATGATGGCTTGAGCCTGGGAAGTCAAGGCTGCAGTGAGCTGAGATTGTGCCACTGCACTCCAGCGTGGGTGCCATAGCAAGACCCCGTTTCCAAAAAACAAACAAACGAAAAAATCAGACGATATCTTTAAGGATAAGTAGCTTTTTAAAAAGTTCTTCCATAAGAAATTCTGTTTGTAAAAGAATAGAATAAAGAAGGAAATTTTTTAAAATTGGATGGAGATCAAGTCTTTTGACTCTAAATATTGTATATCTTTTAAACTATAAAATTGAATGTAGAGTTTTAATATATTTTCTTCAGAGAGAGCACATATATATGGAATGCACATGCATATGTAAATCTGCACACATACATCCTTACATACACACTGCCCACATTTGACTCAGTGATACTTGCAAAGACCATTCTTCAGTGACATTTGGAAACTGCCTTTGTCATCTCTCTCTTTCCTAAGGCCTCTATTAAATGACAAGATTATTGTCTTGTCCTCTTGGTAAGAAGTCCATACTGCTAGCATCCAGGAAGTGTTTTTTAGAAAGCGGCTTATCAGAACCGTGTAGAACAGTGCCCTTTTCTCCGAAGGTCAATGCAACATCATAATGTTAGATTGAAAAGAGACATCAAAAGTAGACAAAGGGAGAGACACTGTGTGCTCTTTGAAGCTGACCCTGCCACACAATGGGAATGCTCCAGCCTGGCTGTGATGCCGGGAACATTTCTCAGGCTCTTTCTGTCAGTGCACCATTGCCCAGCAGGGGGCAGGACAATTTCTTTCTTCATGAGAAGCCTCCAGCTGAAGGATCTTTACATTTATTTCAGGTCTCTGAGCTAGAGTAAGGGCAGAAATGGGATCGATACCTTTCTCATCTTTTGAATGCAGGACTAGTTTTAGGGTTTTAATCAGATGTTTCCCCCAAATAATTATAGCTTATACTCACCAAGCTGTTTCCCAGTGCCAGGCACGTGTGCACACAATAAACACATTAGCTGGGTCAACCCTCATCACAAATTTCTGAAACTGTTTTTAATCCCCATTTTAAAGATGAGGAAACAGGTTCAGAGAAGTTGAATCACTTGCCTGGTGCATCTTATATAAAGAAAGGTTTCAAGCCACTTTGGTAACTTACTTTAATGTCTCATGACACCTAGCACTGTAATATTCTTTCTTTTCCTGCAAAAATTTCAAGTAGTACTATGTTTCGTATGTTGATTGAGAAGAGTTAATATGTAAGAGCCCTTCCTACAAGGTCTACTTGCTCTCCCTTGGTGGCTTTCAACTTTCAGCGTATGTAAAATACCTTGCGGGGAACTTGTAAAAAATACACATTCATGAAACCCGAGATTCTAATGTTATAGATTTGGGATTGGACTCCAAAGTAAGCATTTTACCTCAGGTGAGGGAAATGTAGGCTATTCGTTGACTGCTTTGGAGAACTTCTGATTTACACAGCAAAATTTGACTTCTCAGAGTTTTGATTCCCATAGTCACTAATTACATTGCATATGTTTCTAAAATGTGTGTGAACCAGTATTTGTTAAACAAATCAAATCACTATTTAGAGTAACTATATTGTTAGGTATTTTGTAAACTTTGTGAACTCATTCTACAGTTCATCTAGCTTGTTAATTTGATTGTAATGGTAGATTTTTTCTTAGAGGGAGATGCATTTCTACTTGAGAAGCATCATTAAAGATCCCTTTCTCACCACTGTACGTATAAATCCCTGGTACTTGTTCCCTTTTTAAAAAGCCCGTTTTCCCAACCTCCTCATCACATATGTAACTCCTTTTAGGTTCTCCAGATTTCTGTTCCTGCCCTCCATCAGCACAGTGACCAGAATTATAGGATGGTTGCTTTGGGGTCCCAAACTATTATTTTGCCAATTACGGGACCATCTTGTTTTGGTGTTTGCCAGTGGATTTATGCCATTTGGTTTTAATTTGCAGAATGTGTCCCAGCCTCAGCACCCTCAGGAACCCCTTTCTGCTCTGCCTGCCCTTAACCAGAGCCTTGGCCACCAGGAGTTTGGGTTTTCCTCGTTTGTTGTGCTGCAGCCTTCCTGACCCCATCTCTCATTGCACCATCATTTTGAGTTTAAATGCTTCCCCCTGCATTATGGAGTAGGTGGAAAAAGTAAGCTCTGTATCATCTGGATCTTGCTTGGGAAGGCCAAACAAAACCTCTTTTTAAAAATAAGGATTCCAGAACATATCTTGAGGCCTCCACTTTTGTTTGCTTGGTCAGCATTTGATTCAGCGTATCATTTCTACTGGCTATAACCCTCAACCTCATTTGCATAACGAATGATTGGCCCACAGCAGTTTTTTTTTTTTTTTTTTAACTCAGACTAGACCTGGTTTTATATATTTATTTTATTCCCATAGGTTTTTGGGGGAACAGATGGTATTTGGTTACATGAGTAGGTTTTTTAGTGGTGATTTCTGAGATTTTGGTGCACCCATCATGCAAGCAGTATACACTGGACCCAGTTTGTAGTCTTTTATCCCTCATCCGCTTCCCATCCTTTCCCCTTGAGTCCCCAAAGTCCATTGTGTCATTCTTATACCTTTGCATCCTCATAGCTTAGCTCCCACTTATGAGTGAGAACGTATGATGTTTGGTTTTCCATTCCTGAGTCACTTCACTTAGAATAATAGCCTCCCATCTCATCCAGGTTGCCACAGAACAGTTTTGCAACTGATTTTGGTCATGTTTTACATAGAATCACATCACCTTCACCTTATTTGATGGATGCTCAGTTATAAGGATAGCTATGGTAACAGTAACAACAGCTCTTATGAATTGCATCATGCACTTACAGACATTGGGCACTCTCTTCATTTAACCTTCACTATCATGATCTCTGAGGTTTGCTGGCTACCACTGAGTGCCTTGCATCTTAACATGATGAAGTCTTGGAAGCCCATCAACTCTCCCACTGTAGAGAATTGGATGGCTGTGCTGTGTTCCTCTTATTCCTCCTATACCTCCATTTATAGTAGTGCCTGAGCTCTGTCAGTTTTAACACATCTACTGTCCACCCCTACTGCCGCTGGCCTGTTTGAGGATACCATCTGGATCACCATTGCCACCCCTATTACTCTCCTGCCTCCAATGTTATCCCCCTTCCCAGGGCTGCTTTGGGATCCTGTGTTGTTTCTGCCCTTTTGTCCGTGTCATTTCACCAGTCTTAAGTGCTGTATACCCCACTGTTTACTAACCTGGCCAAACATCAATCCCCCACCAGGCCTTGATTTTGACAATAACTCCCCCAGGAGGTCATGCCTCTCATGTCCTTCTTTTTGGGGGCCCATAGCATCCTTTCTTTATCTCTCTTATTACATGTGTCAAGCTGTATAAATGTGGCCTGTTTTTTAAATCTCTTCCTACAACTTGGTCACCAGCTCCTTGACATCAGATGTGGCACACAGTAGGTGTTTAATAAGTATCAGCTGAAACAATGGAAGGACAGGTGAACCTAGCCTGCCCCTCACTGTGTTGCAATACAAAGCGGCAGCTGCAAATTCTTATCCTTTGAATAGATACATAACTTTCCTTCTATTCTGGACTCTCTGGGGGTTCCTGCTCAGTTTTAGAAAATCTTAACTTAGAGCAGAGCCAGAACATCTAAAGGCCCATATCCTACCCTGGGCTTTGCATTAATCATCCCCAAAAGACTTGAACTTGAGAATCAGAATATTCCTGTGGCTCACAGTTTTAGTGTTCTACTTGACACACAAGAAAGTGGGCATGGGGCCTGCTTAATGTCACTGTTCTCAGCAACTCTTTGAGGGCAGTTTTTGTTACCTAATAGATATTAAAATAACAACTACACCTTAATTCCTTTAGGAATAAAATAAGAGCAAACTTGAAAAATCTTCATGTCTAAATTTGGCTACTAAGGAGCACCCTGGCCCATGCTTGGAGCCTGACTGCCTCTGAGACTCTTAGGTTTTCCTTGTCCCTCTTAGCTATCATCAGTTTCGGAGAGAGGAGGAGTCCTGTTTCTGGCAGGAATGCTGTGAAGCAATATCTTTTTAAAAACTGTGTTTAGAGCCACATTCTGGTCCTAATTACTGGCACCCCGAGTCTTGGTTTCCCAGCATTTGGCTCACTGGCTTCTCTGCCCACCACCCCTGCCTCGCCCGCTGGCTTTGCTTCTGCCTTTCTGTAGGCCAGTGGTTCTCAAACTTTTTGGTCTTGACATTCTTTTAGACTCTTTTTTTCCCCCTTAAATAGACCTTATTTTTTAGAGCAGTTTTAGGTTTAGCAGGAAGATGGCGCAGAAAGTAGAGTCTCCATGGACGCCTTCTCCTCCTCTCCCGCAGTTTCTCTTCTTAACATCTTGCATTATTGTGGGACATTTGTTACCATTGATGAATCTATATCAACACATCACTTAACTGAAGTCCACAGTTCACCCCTCTGGACTCTTAAATATACTCGAGGACACCAAAGAGCTTTTATTCCCTGCATATTTACCTTTTTAGAAATGGAAATTGAGAAATTACAAATGTGTATTAATTCATTTAAAAAAATTACAATAATATCCCTATTATGTATTAACATAAGTAATATTTTTTAAAGAAATAGTTTCTAGAACTAAATATTTAGTGAGAAGAGTGGAATTTTGTTAGATGTTTGGCCATCTCTGGGCAGTCTGGTTTAATGTAGGGCAGCTGGGTTCTCATTGCTGCTTCTGCCTTCAGGCCTGTAGCCTCTGGAAAACATAACTGTAAGATGAGAGTGAAAAGGGCATGTACATCTTTGCATGATTAAGTAATGGTTTTGAGCTTATGTATCTCCTGAAAAAGTGTTAAGACTCCTCAGAGGGTCCCCTAAACACAGTTTGAGAACCACTTTCATACACCTAAATGATGCTTTCCTTTAACTCTTATTCATCCTTTAGGTGACTGAGACACGGTCTTACTTTGTTGCTCAGGCTGGCTTTGACTTCCTGGCCTCACACATTCGTCCTGCCTCAGCCTCCTGAATAGCTGGAATGTCAGACATTGGCCACCACGCCTGGCTTAGATCTCACTCTAAATGTGCCTCATCAAGGCGTCTTCCATTAGCCCAGACTAGATCACCCTGTTTGGCCTTCCCATTACATGTGCTTGTACTAAAATATGTGTATTTGCTACTAGACTGTAAGTTCCCCAAGGCCAGAGATGGGGCTCTGTTTGCTGCTGTATTATGTATTCCTAGCCCAGAGAAATGCTCTGAATATACTTACTGAGTCAGTGATTGACTAGGCAGAAGCAGTACAAAGTAATATAATTATTTTCCAGATATTCACCAGTGAAGAGGGAAGAGGCTTGAATATAGTTTATTTCTATATTATATTTTAATGCCCTTGATGGCTGGAATCATGCTTTTCCCCTCCATGTCATCAGCAAGGGTAGTTTGTGCTCACTAGATGTGCCGAGTGAATGGATAGATACCCAAGAAGAGGACGGGTGAATTCAGGGGTTGGATGAGATGTCAAGTAGGACTTTAGGGTCCATTTGATTATGTGATTGTTATGTCCTGGAAATGACTAATTATACTGTCAATGATATAGTTATTTCTGAGTTATGTTTGATATAGTGACTCCATATACTTGCATCAGAAACATTTATCATCCTATATAGGAGAATTTATCATCCTATATAGAAACATTTACATCAAATTAGTCTTGAATCAGGGAAAAATATGCATTGAATTAAGAATTCAGGGCTGGACGTGGTGGCTCACACCTGTAATCCCAGCACTTTGGAAGGCCAAGGCAGGCAGATCACAAGGTCAGGAGTTTGAGACCAGCCTGGCCAACATATTAAAACCCTGTCTCTACTAAAAATACAAAAATTAGCCAGGCGTGGTGGCAGGTGCCTGTAGTCCCAGCTAGTTGGGAGGCTGAGGAAGGAGAATCGCTTGAACCTGGGAGGCAGAGGTTGCAGTGAGCTGAGATTGTGCCACTGTACTGCAGCCTGGGTGACAGAGCAAGACTCCATCTAAAAAAAGAAAAGAATTCAGTATCTGGCCAGGTGCAGTGGCTCATGCCTGCAATCCCAGCACTTTGGGAAGCTGAGGTGGGTAGATCACTTTAGGCCAGGAGTTCGAGACCAGCCTGGGCAACATGGCAAATCCCTGTCTCTATAAAAAATACAAAAAATTAGCTGGGCATGATAGTGCACACGTGTAATCCCAGCTACTGGGAGGCCAAAGTGGGAGGACTGCATGAGCCTGGGAGTCTGAGGTTGCAGTGAGCCAAGATTGTGCCATTGTACTCCAGCCTGGGCCACAGAGCGAGACTCTACCTCAAGGGGGGAAAAACAAAAGAGAATTCAATATCCACTTGCCGTAGGCACCTTGCAATGAGAAAAAGAAATAATTGATTAAACATATGTCTTAAATTACTAAGAAAGGCATAAAATTTGCCTATTGAATTTTAATGTGTGTTATGTGTTTATGTTTTTCAGGTAAGGAATTACATTTGGTTCTGCCTGGTTTCCTAAGGGACTTGACAGATGCTGTCTTCTTATGTTCATTTGTAACCTGCCAATTCATGCAAAATATGCTTGCCTGCGAAGTTAGGGCTTCCAATTGTAAGTAATACGCTCTGTATTTTTGTCAGTGGATTGGATCTTGTGGTAAGAACTGTGCAAGATGATCTTGGTTATCTGCTAGGCTGATTTCAGAGGTGCAGTCTGACTTACTGACCACTAATCCTTGACACCACTCCCTGTGCCATTCTGGGGGCACTGTCTGTCCTCTGCCCTGTGCCCCTTTGCCTGTCTCATTCCTCCTGCTTGAGATACCTTCTCTTTCCTGCTTCTGTTTCTCTGTAGCTTACACCTTATTTGAGACACAAAGCATTCTGGTTCCCTGTATATAACATTTCCATTGTAAAAAATAATTTAATATGCGAAAATAGTTTTCCAAAAAATCACTTGTGGAAAAACCTTGAAAACATTATGCTAAGTTAAATATGCCAGATGCAAAAGGACCAACACTGTATGATTCTGCTTGTATGGAAGATCTAGAATGGGCAAATTCAGAGAGACAGGATGGAGACTAGAGGTTGCCAAAGGGCTGGAGGGAGGGACAGAATGGGGAATTTATTGCCTTATAGTTAAAGAATTTCTCTTCCAGGTGATGAAAAAGATAGATAGTAGTGATAATTGTATAATGTTGTAAATGTTACTAATGCCACTGAATTACATACTTAAGAATGGTTAAGATGGCAAATTTCGTTTTATATATGTTAATGTAATTTTTAAAAAGGGAAAACAAAGTTGTCCATAATCCCACCCCTCGGAGATTTCACTGTTAATACTTTCGCATCTTTTTCTTACCTTTATTAAAAAAAACAGAAAACAAAAACATTTCCTGACAGTCTTTCTTATCATTGAAATTAGGATCCTAGAGTATAATATAGTCTATATCTTCTATAAAATCAGTCTATATCTTCTTTAATTCAGTCTTCTTTCTTAAGCATGTTTCCATACGATTGGAACCTTTGCATCAGCCTGGTCAGCTACTTAAGATTTCATTCTAACCAGACTCATTCATTTAAAACAGTGCCACTATAATCTTTCTCAGCCTATTCTTGTTATGCTGACTTCCCCATTTCATTTATTCAGCAAACATTTACTGAGCATTTGCTATGTGCCAGTTATACTTTGGGCCCTCGGAGGGAGGTAGAAGCCAGTAATGGGGTTCAAAATCTGGAGTCACATCGTCTAACCTATGCAAACCAGTTCTCTGTGATATATTTTGAGAGACATTGGGTGATCTATAGATTCTATACTATTCATCTGGTCCTAAAATTCTCTGATATGGGGCATTTAGTTCTGAAACCTGAAAACTAGCTAGAAGAAACCTGGCCATGAACAAACTGTTAGAAGCACATTTTAAAAGTTAGCTTTCACTGTTTTTCTCTATTAGGGAGATACCCATGAAGCTTTTGGCCTTTCCTAAAAACTGATTTGAAATGTAATGAACAATTTGAAATTTTCATTCCCAAGAACAAAACAAAACACCCAAATACATCCCCTTATTAGGAGTCTAATGAAGGAATGTTAAGTCTCACTTTTTTTTTTTATTTTAAAGTTTTAGAATAACAAAGCCCACACATAATCATGGTGTCTTGGTGAGTATATATTATCTTTATGTGTAAATTAATTTTCCCCAGACTTTATTTTATTATATTAAAATGTGTTCCACTCAAGACTTGAGAACCAACACAAAAAATGAATATGTGTTAAATATACCCTAGAGACAGAAAAAATAAATAATTACTTTAACAAAACCCTTAGTGACACGAATAGACTTTTCTTTTAGACTTTTTTTTTTTTTGAGATGGAGTCTTGCTCTGTCACCCAGGCTGGAGTGCAGTGGCACAATCTCAGCTCACTGCAGCCTCTGCCTCCCAGGTTCAAGCAATTCTCCTGCCTCAGCCTCCCGAGTAAGCTGGGATTACAGGCCTATGCCACCACGCCCGGCTAATTTTTTGTATTTTTATTAGAGATGAGATTTCACCATGTTGGCCAGGCTGGTCTCGAACTACTGACCTCAGGTGATCTGCCCACCTTGGCCTCCCAGAGTTCTGGGATTACAGACATGAGCCACCACGCCCGGCCTAGATATTTTAAATACTGGCAGAGATGAGGACTGCTTCAGAGATATTTTTCTTGGGTGATTTAGAAGGAAGATGGTGGAATATAAAGAACTTGGTGGACAAACACTTAGGAATCTTCTAGACTATATCCTGATTTTATAGTATCAGGCACATAGTAAAAGCTTGGTATAAAGTTGAGCAAATGAATGGATTTTGAAAGGACTGAACTTTTAACATTAGAATATGAATATTATCACCATGGGAAAAAAGATACATTATTTATTTTAACAAGTGATCTCAAGAGTGATAATGAGATGATGTGGTATGAATCATCTTTGTATGCCTAGACGTATCTAGCATCCAGGAAAATATGCAGATGTCTTTGTAGAGAGAAGTCATGTAGGGTCTCTTTCTTTTTTTTTAAGCAATTGATAGAATGAAGTTTATTTAACCCTGTCTCCCATTTACTCCTTTCTTCAAAAGCTAATTTTCATATCTGTTTTCAGACTTTTATGTGGACAGATGTTTCAGGGTTTGTTTGCAAACATTTCCCAGACATATTGTTGATCAGCAGGTTTCTGCAATTAACAGCATCTTCTTAAGCCTGTTTCCTACATTCTGATTGACTGTATGACAAATGCTGTAGGTTTTCACAGATGCAGGGAAAGAGAAGGTTACCAGCTCAGCAGAATCCTGTGGAAATCAGATATGAGTCTTAGGACAGTTCATTGGAAATGGAATTCAGTAAAAGGTTGAGAGCGCATGAAGTAGTGTGGTTGTAGGTGGCGTCTTGAATAAAGTCAGCTGTTGTGCATGCACCCCAGCAGACACTGGGGAATGCACAGACACATTCACTCACACACAATATCTCCTTTAATCGTCTGAAGAATTCTGGGAAAAGCGACTGGGGTCTTTATTTCAGCGATGAGGACAGAGAGGCTCAGAGACCACAGAGCTTGCCCCAAAGCCCATATGAACATTCATGGTGGAGCCCCAAGTCACATTCTGATGTGTCTGGCTCTGAAGCCCTTACTTGCTCTACATAAAAAAGTATTCATTAAAATGAGAAGCAGGCTCTGGGTATATTGGATTTTCATAATGGGGAAAAAGATGCATTCATTGTCTCAAAACATGGGCGCAGGAGTTCTAAGAATTTTTTTCTTAAAATTAATGAAATAATGATGTAAAATATTTGGCAGGGAACCTGATTCATTGAAAGTGCTCCAAAGTAAGGCCTGCTGTTGCTGTTGTTTTTGTTATTGATATGCAACAACAGGAAACTTTGAAGAACAGCCTTTGTTCTTCTTGGACTTGATACAGTGTTAAATATTGTAGAATTCTAAGCATTTTGATATAAATATATTTAAATATCATATCCCCATGCGAGTGAACAAGGGCAATGAAAGCCACGTAGTATTCATTTTGTAGACTGCATTCCAGTGGATTCCAAACATCCTACTCTGTCAAGGTGGCACCTCCTCTATGCTGTCCTCATTAGGCTGTACCTAGTTCCGGGCATGACACTTATTAGTTATTTGTTGAATGAATGGGTGATTAAAATTGGTCGTGGGGATTAACTGTCTGCAGCCTGGATTGGGTCTCCATGTTCGTGGATTTTCTAGAGTGTGGATCTCCTTGTTGAAAGCTTTCTGCTGATGTATAATAAATTTTATTCACAAATGAAACACATCCTTTGATGTCTATGACATGTTGTGATCCTAGGGTATATTCCTCAGCATTAAAGCCATTAACTTATCCCAGTACAGAAGCATGGTTTAAAATGAGTCTTCTCAACGTGGCTTCTTTAAAAACTCTGCAAATTGTAGCTCAAGGAAGATAGAATTACTCCCTGTTAGGTTTTTAAGTTCTTTTGTAAATTTTAAAGATTGACACAACTGCAGGAGCCAACAACAAGAACTTTTTATTTCATCAAATGTGCTCATCAAATGTTGTAGCTTAATAAATAAAGCAATAGGCCAGGCGTGGCGGCTCAGGCCTGTAATCCCAGCACTTTGGGAGGCCGAGGCGGGCGGATCAGGAGGTCAGGAGACTGAGTCCATCCTGGCTAACACGGTGAAACCCTGTCTCTACTAAAAATACAAAAAATTAGCCAAGCGTGGTGGCGGGCATCTGTAGTCCCAGCTACTTGGGACGCTGAGGTGGGAGAATGGCGTGAACCTGGGAGGCGGAGGTTGCAGTGAGCCGAGATCGCGCCACTGCACTCCAGCCTGGGGGACAGAGTGAGACTCCATTTAAAAAAAAAAAAAAATCAATAATAGCAACCTCTTTTATTTTGATGGAACTGCAGTTTCCACAGTTGATCAAGTTCTCTCTGGTCATAACCATAGTCTTTGATGTTGTTTACATGATTATAGAAGGAGCTTCAAAATGTGCATTTCAGAAGCAGCCCAAAAGGCATTAAACTCTTCTCACTATTCACCCAAAGCTGTCATTGAATCATATTTCCCCCATTACAAAAACAGTAAATCTGAAATACTTAGGAAAGATAGAAAAGCATAAAGAAGGAAAAATAGTGATCTCAAAGTTAATGGCTGAACATTTTTGTTTATATTTTCTAGTGTTTGTGGATGTGTGCATACAAAAATGGGGTCACATATTTACAAGTGGATTTTTATTTACTTAGCACTATGTGCCTTAAATTTTTAAATCTTAATATGTATTTTTTCACGACCTGACCTTAGTGGCTGAAAGCAGTGGTTTTATAGAGATAGAGGTTTCCTGAAGTTTTCAGAATGTCTATTGATAACAGTTGAGAGTAGATTATTTCTTAACCGATGCAAAATAATGAACAGTAATTAAGTTTTCCATCGTTTCTCCCCACTATCACTGGGATTTTCCTGAGACCTTAACAGTAAATGTGAAAATAATGTGTGGCCCTACAGCCAGACACCCTTATCACTGCCCTGTTCACCTTCCCTGGAAGAGGCAAGTAGGCATGGCTGTTAGAAACAAAGGGTTCAGATTTGGGCTTTCCAGGTTCAGATCCCAATATCTCAGTTTACTGGGTGTATGACCTTTGCAAGCTCATTAACAATTCCAAGCACTGGTTTTTGCAGTGGTACAATGGGGATAGTAATTATACTAACCTCCTAGGATTTGTGGGAGCATTAAATTAAGATAATGTAGTAATGTCCCTCACACGATGACCAGTGCCCAGAAAATATTATTAGCATCATTATCAGTCCAGTAAATTGTTTTAAAAACCAAAAAGACACTAGTGGAAATTGATTTGTGGTGTTTCCTGGCAGAAAAATGAATATGGGTTGTTATGTTTCTGTGTGTTTGAGGGTGTGTGGGAGTACGCATGCATACTGAATGCACATTCCTATCAGAGGCTTCAGATAAACTAGTGCTTGAAAGCCATTCCAGGCACATCCTTTTGATTGTGTCCCTCTATTGCACTTTGCAGATACTGCATTTTTTTTTTTACAACTTGAAGGTTTGTGGCAACTTTGCATTGCCCAAGTCTATTGGTGCCATTTTTCCAACAGCATGTGGTCACCTTGTGTCTTTGAGTCACGTTTTGGTAATTCTCACAATATTTAAACTTTTTCCTTGTTCTGTCTGTCTTGGTGATCTGTGATCATTTATCTCTGATGTTACTGTTGTAATTTCAGGGTGCCACAAACTATACCCATATAAGATGGCAAACTTAATAAGTGTTGTGTGTGTTCTGACTGCTCCACGGATCCCCCTTTCCCATGTCTCTCTCCCTCTCCTGGGGCCTCCCTATTCCGTGAGCCACAACAGTATTGAAATTAAGTCAATTAATACCCTGCAATGGACTCTTTAAGTGTTTGAGAGAAAGGAAGAGTCACACATCTCTCACTTTAAATCAAAAGCTAGAGATGATTAAGCTGAATGAGGAAGGCATGTGGAAAGCTGAGAGCGGCTGAAAGCTAGGCCTCTTGAACCAAACAGTTAACTAAGTTGTGAATGCAAAGGGAAGAGTTCTGGCGGCAAATTAAAAGGGCTATTCCAGTAAGCACACGAATGGCAAGAAAGTGCAACATCCTTATTGCTAATGTGGAGAAAGTTGGTCTGGATAGAAGATTAAACCAGGTACAACATTTCCTTAAGCCAAAGCCTGATCCAGAGCAAGGCCCTAACTCCCCAGTTCTGTGAATGAAGGCTGAGAGGTGAGGAAGCTGCAGAAGAAAAGTTTGAAGCTGGCCTATAAGTTGGTTCATGAAGTTTAAGGAAAGAAGCTGTTTTTATAACATAAAAGTGCAAGATGCAGCAGCAAGTACTATTGTAGAAGCTACAGCAAGGTATGCAGGAGATCAAGCTAAGATAATTGATGAATGTGGCTATACTAAACAACAGATTTTCAGTGCGGATGAAACAGCCTTCTATTGGAAGAATATGTTGTCCAGGACTTTCCTAGCTAGAGAGGAGAAGTCAATGCCTGGCTTCAAAACTTCAAAGGACAGACTCAGTCTCTTGTTAGGTGGTAACGTAGCTGGTGACTTGAAGTTGAAGCCAATGCTCATTGACTATTCTGAAGATTCTAGGGCCTTAAAGAGGGTGCTAAATCTACTCTGCCTGTGCTCTATATATGGAATAACAAAGCCTGAATGATAGCACATCTGCTTATAGCATGTTTTACTGAATATTTTAAGCCCTTGTTGAGACCTACTTCCTCAGAAGAAAAAAGATTCCTTTCAATGTATTGTTACTGCTACTCATCGACAAGGCACCTGGTCACCCAAGAGCTCTGATGGAGATGTACATGGAGATGAATGTTGTTTTCGTGCCTGTTAACACAGCATCCCTTCTGCAGCCCATGGATCAAGGAGTCACTTAAACTTTCAAGTCTTATTATTTAAGAAATACATTTTGTAAAGCTATAGCTGCCGTAGATAGTGATTCTTCTATGGATCTGGTCAAAGTAAGTTGAAAATCTTCTGGAAACAATTTACCATTCTAGAGGCCATTAAGAACATTTGTGGCTGGGTGTGATGGCTCAAGCTTATAATCCCAGTGCTTGGGGAGGCTAAGGTTGGAGGATCACTTGAGGCCAGGAGTTTCAGTGCAGCCTGGCAATACAATGAGACCACATCTCCACAAAAAAATTTTTTTTTTAAATTGGCTTGGGGTGGTGGCCCATGCCTATAGTCCTAGCAACTCAGGAGGCTGAGGCAGGAGGATGGCAAAAGTTTAAATATAACTTTTATATGTGCTGGAAAACCAAAAAATTTATGTGACCTGCTTTATTGCAATATTCACTTTATGGCGGTCATCAGGAACCGAACCCACAGTATCTGTGAGCTATGCCTGTATAAGTATTCTCTGAGGATATTGATGGGATGAGTGCCACTGTCAGTGCAAACCTGTTGTGATTTAAACACTTTGCTCCTGCAGTGAGATGTGGCCTAAAGCCATTAGCACAAAGAGGAAGGAAAACTGGAGGGCTTTGAAAGCACTAGTTGCCTACAGTGAGTTTTTATTTTCAAGTTAGAATATTGTAAGGGAATGTGGAATCTGATTTTAGGAGTCCTAATGAGGCAGGTTTAATGCGCTAATGGCGTGTGTGTGTGTGGAGAGAGGTGTGTGTGTGTTGTTTTCGGTAATTGGTTAAGTGAAACTTCAGGCTTCCATCTTCACCCCTTCCAACCCATTTGCCATATGTGGGTAGAGTAATGTTGATAAAGTAGAATTTAGTGATCTCACTTCCTCATTTAAAATCTTTCATTGGTTGTAATTTGACGTGATTAGCCTGGACCTTTGTGGTTTGACCCCAGCCACCTACCCATGTAAAATCTTTATTTTCTGCCTCTTGGAAGTATTGGAAAACCGGGCACCATATGGCAGCCAGTGATTGTGAGTGAGCTACCACCTGCCATGCTCCCACAATGCTCTCTCCTTTCCTGTATTGGAACAATGTTACATTATTGTCTTATTTCCTGTTGTATCCCCAGTATTTAGCACATTGCTGGATTCTAACTCAGGGCATACCTGGTGAATAAATTAATTAGTTCCAAACATTGACTTGTTCTTTACTGGAAGAAGTTGCTTTTATTCATTAAATTTAAGGCTGATTTATTCATCCATCCATCTGTCCATCCATCCACCCGTCCGTCCATCTGTCCATCCATCCATTCATTTTAAAAGTCTTGATGCGCTGGGCGCAGTGGCTTACGCCTGTAATCCCAGCACTTTGGGAGGCTGAGGCAGGTGGATCACGAGGTCAGGAGATTGAGACCATCCTGGCTATAACACGGTGAAACCCCGTCTCTACTAAAAATACAAAAAATTAGCCAGGCGTGGTGGCGGTGCCTGTAGTCCCAGCTACTCAGGAGGCTGAGGCAGGAGAATGGTGTGAACCCAGGAGGTGGAGCTTGTAGTGAGCCGAGATCGCGCCACTGCACTCCAGCCTAGGGACAGAGCGAGACTCCGTCTCAAAAAGAAAAAAAAAAAAAAGTCTTGATGCAAGTGTGACAGTATTAACAATCAGTTCTGGCTGGTGGGCACAAAGGTGTTTGTGGTATTCTAGGAATGAAGTTGCCTTTGAAATTAATAGTGAGATGGTTAATTTTGTGTGTCATCTTGACTGGGTTAAGAGATTCCCAGGTAGCTGGTAAAACATTATTTCTGGGTGTATCTGTAAGAGTGTTTCTGGAAGAGGTTTGCATTTGAATCAATAAACTGAGTAAAGAAGATCTGCCATCACCAATGTGGATGGGCATCATCCAGTCCTTTGCTGGCCTGGATAGAACACAAATATGGAGGAAGGGCGAACTTGTTCTCTCTTCTTGAGCTGGGACACCCATCTTCTCCTGCCCTTGGACATTGGAGCTCTTGGTTTCTGGGTCTTCGGTCTCTGGAGGATTTATACCAGTGCTGCCCTTACCCACCCCAGGTTCTCAAGCCTTCTGGCTTGGATTGGGAGTTTATACCATCATGGATTGAAATATACCACCAGTTTTCTTGGTTCTTTAGCTTGCAGACAGCATATTGTGGGACTCCTTGGCCAATTCACATGAGCCAGTCATGTGAGCCAATTCCTATAAATAAACTTCTTCTTATATATCTGTATATATATGTCCTATTGGTTCTGTTTCTCTGGAGAGCCCTGACTAATACAAATAGCATTCTTTTAAAAGGAGTCTCTGTTCTTGTCACCTGGAACTCCATTGATCTAAAAGTCACCACTGGAAGATCCCACATAGATGAAGCTGCTACTTTTGCTGGGAACTTTTCTTACAGGTTGGAAATAGAATGATAGAAATCAAAGTGCTCTTTTGGCAAGACCCATAGAAAACCATAAGAGAATTGAATGATGGTAACAGAGAATGAACCTTCGGCTCTCTGAATTCACTTTCAAAAATATCAGTGTTACTTCTGAAAATTCTGCGTCTGGGAGATTTAATTGTTGGAGTGTCTCAGGCAAGAGCAGTGTCTTTAGAGATGAAGATGTGGGTTCAGATTGCTGCTCGGGCACTCACTGGGAGTAGAACTTTGATCAGGCTATCTAATCTCCATGGGCCTCTATGAAATCTGACTGTGGAGGTAAGAATGGTCCTCACAGAGGCTTCAGTTATTGACATGGTGCCTGTAAAGTGCTTGATAACCTGGCACATTCTAAGCATTTAATGAGCGGCAGCGGACATCAATGTTAATATATGTGTATTGGCAAGTCAAATTTTTTTTGTTGTAAGTGAAACTTAGCAGAGGGAGAATCTTTAACTGTGGAGCCTCCTTGGTCAGCACATGTTGCTTTTCTTTTTGTCTTCAGTAGGTTGTTGATAATAATGATAACTGAGGTGCTGCTGTGGGGCCTGGGGGTTGCATTTTTATACTAGCTCAAGGATCATTCACTGGGTTGGACGGATCCCTAGCAAGAGCCGTGAATACCAAATTCAGTGCTGTCTGACCATCTGTGGAGGCTTCAGATTGCCCTGGATCTGTTGACAATATTACATGATAGATCAACTTAATGGAATCTCGCTGATCTCACTCATCTTATTGGTTCTTATGTAGGTCTCACCATCTTGCATAACCTTAGGAATCACCTCCAATATTTATATTTTCTGTTGATCTCCTGTACACACACACACACACACACACGTGCAGACACACTTTTAAAAACAGGCTTTATCCACTTTTAAAATGAGAACCCCCCCAAAAATCCTTAACTTCTGTTTCCATTTGTCTATTATTAGAACACTTGCAGACAGCAATCTATAAAGTGAAATTTTAAAGCAGTCTACATGGCTCTTATTCATTCATTTTCAAGAAAAAAATTAAATGCTAGGAATACAGCATGATTCCAATATGTATTTGATGAAACATCTTCAGAGGTTAAATGACATTCATAGATATTTAAATTTAGCTTTGTGTTTCAGGAGTAATTTATTATTAAATAATAAGGGTCTTTTGCCAGATTCTCAAGTAACTCAATTGTATGCATAGGTATATACTTTCTTTTTTAATAGAGAGAAGCTTTTATGTGAATTGTAATGATCTATAGGATAATTTTAGGATTTGTCTTCCTTCCCCCTCCCCTCCCCTCCGCTCTCTTCCTCCCTTCTCCTCCCCTCACCTCCCATCTCTTCACCTCCCCTCCCCCCACCATTTCCTTCTCTGTCCTCCCCTCCTGCTGTTTATCTAGATGTGACACTGGATTTAGCTTCCCTGGAAATTTATAATAAATCCATACACACATTCAAGAGGACTCGCTTATTGTTAGATTTTAACAACTCTGCTTCCTTCAGGAATCTTCAGCAGTCATATATTTGTGTTGGAAACAGTCACTAAAGAGTTTTCAATGCTGTTGAAATAGAGATTTGACTAATGATAATGAAGGTTATGTAGACAAGACAGTTTCTCTCTCTCCCTCTCTCTCTCTCTCTCCCTCTCTCTCTTTCTTTCTCTCTTTCTCTCTCTCCCCCTCTCTCTTTCTCTCTTTCTTTCTCTCTCTTCCTCTTTCTCTCTTTCTTTCTCTTCTTTCTTTTTTTTTTTTTCTTGACAGGGTCTCACTCTGTTGCCCAGGCTAAAGTGCTGTGGCATGATCACGGCTCACTGCTGCCTCGACCTCCTGGGCTCAAGAGATCCTCCTGCCTCAGTCTCCAAAGTAGCTAGGGCTACAGGCAAGTGCCACCATACCTGGCCAAGTCTTTAAATTTTTGTAGAGGCAGGGTCTCCCTGTGTTGCTCAGGGTGCTCGAACTCCTGGGATCAAGCCTTCCTCCCACCTCCTGCCTCAGCCTCCCAAGGTGCTGAGATTACAGGTGTGAGTCACTGCACCCAGTCAAGATAATGTTTTTAACCTGCAAATGAAAAATGAGTTGGCATCCTCATCTGCTATATCTGTTCTCCAAACCCTGTCAGCCATGGGAAAAATCGACTGAGACGATGTTCTTCTTTTTGAGAAAGATAAATGGACCTCAGAAAGGGACATTATAGTGATAGGAGGAGTAGATTGGATTTTAAATCAGACCCAAGATGGAGAAAAGTAACACTCAGAATTAGAGCAGGAATTTCGGTGTTAAACAGCAAACCTGCATTGCCCTTCCCTGGGAGTGGATTAACAACAGCTGTAGTGACATGGCCTCCTACAAACATGTGAAGGTGGTTTCATTGCTTCCATTCCCTTCTTGGAAGTGTCCATCTGACTATCTTCTGTGCTTCTGGACTGAGCAGGCAAGGAAGAAATATCCTAGATGGTTGCAGTGATTTATTTATGCCTTAATATGCCATATAATATAGCCACTTTGTTTCAAGATTAAGATCAAACATCCAAGGAAGGGACTGGCTGAAGATTTAAACGGTCTTCAAATTACCACATCTGCTACATCTGTCCCTATAAACCAGATGGTTTTTTGATAGGATGACTCTCATTGTGTGAGAGATGGATGAGGTTTCCTTCTCTGGTTTTTCTCTTGGATTGCAGTTGCCACTGACAGATAATCTTAGAGCAGAAATGTCTGCTCTGATGGGCTAAATCTTCAAGATATTTCATTATTTGTTTTTCTTATTACAGTGTTTTGAGGTCAAACATTCTAAAATATAGAGATTTTTACATACAATTAATTTTCTGGCTTTTCATTTAAAAACACAAAACACAGCTGGGCACGGTGGCTCACGCCTGTAATCCCAGCACTTTGGGAGGCTGAGGTGGGCGGATCACCTGAGGTCAGGAGTTCGAGACTAGCCTGGCTAACATGGTGAAATCCCATTTCTACTAAAAATACAAAAAATTAGCGGGGCGTGGTGGCAGGTGCCTGTGATCCCAGCTACTCGGGAGGCTGAGGCAGGAGAATTGCTTGAACCCAGGAGGCGGAGGTTGCAGTGAGCCAAGATCGCGCCATTGCACTCATTGCACTCCAGCTTGGGAGCAAAACTCCATCTCAAAAAAAACAAACAAAAACAAAAAACCCACAACAATGACAGAAAAAACAAGTGATCTTGGAACCCTGAGTCCAGACAATCAGCAAGAACTTAATAGATTCTTACCCCATTAATGGGGCAGGAGATTCCCCAGTTTGCCACAGTCCTCATCATTCCCTGATATTTTACACCTAGTTCATTTTTCTCATTTGAGTTTCTCATCAATGAATTCAAGAATCAGAGTCATAGTTTTTTTGCCAGACCTTAAAGATACTTCTTAGCATATAGTTTAATGCTTTGAGTTAGTACAAACTCCAGGAAGTGGATCAGACTTGGGGAATGAGGGAAGATATGCATAACTTTTGCTTAATTGTGATGTATAATCTGTAGCAGGATTTTTGCATAATTTTGTTATGATAGTTGATACTAAAAACAGAAGTCTCAAAAGAGTTTTGTATATTATATTGAAGGAATCCTCATTCTATTCAACTTCACATTCTTGTTTTCTAGGTAAGTGCCGCGCTGTGATTAGCAGTCTTTCTTCTTTACTGTTGTAATGCTGATATCCTCTAGAGGGTAGCAGAGAGCAGCTTGATGTTAGAGAGTCTGGGGAAGGATGCTGGTGGTTTGAAATGATTCAGAAACCGTTTCTTTCCCTTTCTCGCACAGCTAATCCTGGGAGCTCTTGGAAAGTGTGGCAGGAAGGATGAGGTTGTACTCTTCACTAGTTACTGCTTATCAGTATCCCCAAGGATCAGTCTAATGAGAAGTGGGTTTGTGTACAAAGTCTTTGCAAGTTTTCATGTCTTGTAAATGAGAGTAGCCAAATCTGGCTTGTCTGTGTGTTTTACCTAAGTGCAGAGCACCTGGACTGCAATCCTAGCACACAGACATTGAAAAGAGGCAGGAACTTTTCTTCTCTAGATTCTGTTATCTCTCTGAGGTTGGTGCCCTCTTCTTTATGCAGAGACTGAATTCGTTTTATTTCTGAACAGTTCAGCAGGGGCTAATTTGCTAAATTGATACGTGAATGTTTTCTACCAAGAAGCTATATAATTTAAAGGGGAAAAATATTCATAATACTTAAAATAGAATTGTTTAATTGCGACATTTCAGTATCCCAGTATTATATCAGAACCACAAGTAATCAACTCTGACAATATTGTACACAACAGTTTCTAAAATTTAGACCCTCATTCTTTCCTGTGCTTGTAAACTTAGCAAGAATGGAGATTACACCTTATATTCCAATTCTGGCTACTATCCACATTTAACATTCTTCTTAGTATCAGTCTTCGAATCCTGGGGATAAATAAGCACAGCTTGCTTTTAGGCTGAATTTTCAGAGCGCCATTTATTATTTAAAGCACTAAAAATGCCTGATTTATGCATGATAATGTAAATTTCTTTCTTTCTTTTTTTTTTTTTTTTTAAATTTTTTGAGACAGAGTCTCACTCTGTCACCCAGGCTGGAGTGCAGTGGTACAATCACAGCTCACTGCAGCCTCGACTTCCCAGGCTCAAGTGAATCTCCCACCTCAGCCGCCCCAGTAGCTGGGACTACAGGCATGCACCACCATGCTCAGCTAATTTTTTTTTTTTTTTTTAAGAGATAGGGCTTCACTGTGTTGCCCAGGCTGGTCTTGAACTTCTGGACTCAAGTAATCCACCCACCTCAGCCTCCCAAAGTGCTGGAATTATAGGTGTGAGCCATCATGCCTGGTCATAGATTTCCTTAAATGCTGTTAGAATTCTATTTAACCCGACTGGAGCCAAGTTTTAAGGTGGACTGTGTGATGGTGTTTTTAGCCATAGCACGAAAATTCCTTTTATGTATGTCTGACATGGCAAACAAACATTCCCATATTTGCTCCAAAGCTATTACATTCTGAAGACAGGGTTTCTCTCTTGAGAGTATTTGTAAGTTCAGCCTTTTACTTATATACCAGTCATTAAATCATGGGGTATGGGTTATATGTTTTAAATGGACATTTTGATCACCCTTCAGGGAAACTGGAAGAAATGCCCTGTTGCACGGTGGTTACCTTTTGAGTTATCCAGTAACTAAATTTGGGGGCTAGAAGATGCCTCTAGAGGTAACTTGATTCATTGTGATTCTTTTCATTGAATTTGGCAAAACTACAATGGAGGTAACCATTTCACTTATTAAAAAGAAAAAAAAAAACAAAAACCCCGGGGGGGTGGGGAGAGTTAGACAATAACAGATTCTGTTCTACAGCTCTGACAACACTTCAGCCTCTCACAATATTTTGCTGTAGAGAAAACAAAAATGAACTATTACTTTTTTCTTTTAGTGACCATTTATTCATTTGTTTATCCGTAGATCTTTCCATTCTAGGAAACATTTGTGGGTTACAGTGCTGTCCTTATCTCCTCAGTAGCATCTCTCCCTGTTCCCGCTAACTGACCCCTGATTTTGTGTCTAGTCAGCACAATTACTTGATCTCAGGCAAAGCAGGCCTGTCCCAGGTCATACGTCGTGAATCACAGTTGGTCTAAGCCAGTCTCGTCAGTCCATTCTGCCACACCAGTGACTGGTCTAGAGTTGTATATGCGACCCAGCTCTGGCCAATGAGACGTGAGGGGAAGTAGAAGAGATTCCCTTCCTTAGTAAAGATGATGGATACTCATGAAGATAGTCATTTCGCCCCTGTCTCCTGCTTCCTGCTTTAAATGAGGATATGTTGCTTGGAAAGGTAGTAGCATCTTGTGAAAATGAGGTGACAGGCTTGGGGAAGAAAATTCACATGCTGAGAATGGTGGAAGCCATTTTTTTTTATAGCATTGTTGAAGAGCTGAAGCAACCCCAGGGATCACTTCCAGATTTTGTGAGATAAATAAGCCACTAACTGTTTAAGCTACTCTTAATGCAAAGATTCTCTTATTTGCAGCCAAAAGCATTCCTAACTGATAAACCACCTAAAAGGCAAATGATGTAATGGAGATATTCACCAATTCCACAGCAGTATATTTTGTCTCAATCTGCTCTTCATAAATATTTTCTTTTGGCCTGGAAAGAAAGACAGATGCTGAGAAATGTAATTAGACTCTTGGTATGTGTGGCCAAATTTTAATTTCTAATTGAACATGAGGCCCCAAAATGTTTAGTCACAGAAAGAAAGTAATACAGCATCTCTTATTCAATCAAGTCATTCTGAACTACTTATATAACCAAAGGTCAGTGGTAGCAGGATTGTATTACATGGTGATTTTAATGTTCTGCCTTTTGTTGCTAACGGCTTGTTTTAAAATCTAGTTCAGTTTCCTGCTTAGATTGCAGTGCTGTATTTGCAGTAGACAAATTCAGAGATTCTCTTGGGAGACTCTGGTTATGGCTGGATTCCCAGAACAGCTGAAAAGGTCAGGAAGTAGAGTTCACTTTTCATTAGCGATGGGGAGCTTCAAAGATGGGTTCCAGGGTCAGCAAACACACATTTGCTCAAGGAATTTGGCCTTGCTGGGTAGTGGTTGTAATGTTTAGTAAAGCAGGATTGGCAGTGGCTCTTCCCTGAGTTAGATTCAGTGTTGTTTCTAAACCTTTGGCTGGAAGTTAGTCCACTTAGACATTCAGATAAAACCAAATCTTAAATGACTGTATAAAATATATATGTTTTATGTTTTATATTGTCTACTGTGCATAGTATTATACCCAAAATGCTCATACATAGTGATTTCATGTGATTTTAGCCAACCTCAAACTTTGATCCTAACTGTATTGTTAGCTGAAGTCATTGAGAACTTTCAGCCAGGAAATATTTTTAAATGAATATAGTTTGTTTACCAATGTAGGTGCAGGCAACCTCAACGTATGCTTACATAATGTAATAGAGATTTTGGAGTGACCTGCTGTCAGGAATAGATAAGCAGTTTATAATTAGTGTGTTGGTCCTATATGAATATACTTGTAGATGGCTTGTTTTCTTCAGAGTGAATATCATCCCCCCCCCCCCCCCCGTTCCATTTTTTGTTAACTGCTAATTTGTAGGACAGATTTGTTTTTATTGGATAATGCAGAACACAGATTCAGACCATGCCAGGTCCAAATTTTTGCAAAACTTGATTTAATCAGATCAAAATTAGTCAGGTTTTACTGCATGTCATTCCTATTTAATCTCAAGAGTTATTAAACACAGTAAATGATCATTTTGTGAGGAGATGTCATATGAGTATTGATTAGGAATCACAGTAAAGCCTTACTATTTTAAAAAACAATTGGCTTCATTACACACTCAAGTTCTACTAGAGGAATAGTGCTTATGCAGTTAAAAAAGTTTTATCCCCAAGTTCCTTTAAGATTTTTTAAAAAAAGTGTTAAGAATAGTGGTGTCCTAGACAAAATAATTTTTTAAAAAATACGGTTTTTTCTTTGCATCATTTCTTTGGGACAGTTGTTTCTCTTCTGACAATACTGTTTGAAGGGTAAAAGTTCAGCTGTGCCACAGAACACCTGCTCTTTGCTTAGCTGAATGACTATCTAGTTTGACTTATTTCTCCAGGATTTGGAATTTTAGGCCCTGGGGTTTGAGGAAGTAACTTACCATGTTTAGGGGTGAATTACTTCTCTTCATCTTTTCAGCTTTTCTTCTTGCTGTTTCCCACACAGCAGCAGCTGTTTTTAACAACAGAAATCATGTCATAGCACTTTCCTGCTGAAAACTGCTGAGCAGCTTCCTGCAGACAAAGATCCAAATTCCATACCATGGGCTCTATGATCCCACGTGGTCTGTCTCTCTTTGCATCTCCAGCTCATCTTAGGCCACCTTCTGCGCCTCACAGGGTGCTCCAGCTCCAATCATCCTGTTCTGAGTTTTCCCCAAGCTCATTTCCATCTCAAAGCATTTGCTCCTGTCATTTGCCTCATATGGGAATCTCCTTCCCTAGATCTTTCTTGACTGATGCCTTCTCATGGTCCCAGACACAGTTCCTATGCCACCTCCTTAGAATAGCCTTCCAGACTTCCAGACCCTTCCTGAGTGTGGAAAATGCTATTCTGACAATACATTATGTTAGCTTACATTGAAGTTGCCTGCACCTGTATTAGGAAACAGACTATATCCCTTTACAAATGTTTCCTGGTCTATTTTGGGTGGGGGTACTAATTGACTTTCTTCTCAAATAGTACTCCCACCCAAATTTCCACCTATAGTCACTCTCCCTGACATCACCCGGATTGATATATCATCCTTAAAAGTATAACATAATTTTCACTTCTGAATAATATATATCTGCTTTCCTATCATCTGTCTGCCTCTGTGAAAATAGAAGCTCCGTCTTGCCTACCTTGTTGATCCATCTTGTCTGTCTCTCTGAGGGAGACTGGGTGTCCCAGTGCCTAGAGCATATAGGAGACACTCATAGTTACTCATTGATTGAAACAAAAGAAAGGGAAACAAGCAATGTGTGAATGCATCTGGAATATTTTAGAAGTAAAATAACAGAATTAATTTAGGCCATTCACATATATTACTCACATCTCCCAGGTTACATTCAGTTTATCATAAAATATCTTCCTCATTGGAAGCTTCATTTGGAGTAACTCCCATAGAGCCAGGGGCAATGGCACACACCTGTAGTCCCAACTACTCAGGAGGCTGAGGCTGGAGGATTGCTCGAACACAGAAGTTCAAGGCCAGCCTGAGCAATATAGCAAGACCCCACCTCAAAAACAAATAAATAAATGGAATAACTCCCTGTTTCTTTATATATATAATAATTCGATTGTAACTCAAATGTTTATTGAAGTCCTTTTATCAGGTAACACAAATGTGTAAAGCAGTGGTTTTCAAACTGTGTTCTGTGAATTCCTAACTCTGGTAAAATTCCATTTAAATAAGTGTGCTGTCAGATAAGTTGTTGAATTACAACAGTATCATATTCTTTTAACATGTTCTATCAGCATGTTAAAGAATTTTTGTAAATCCTACAGTGAAGAAATTTCTATTACTTTGTCTCACTACTTCCTACACATATTTGGCCACAGAATTTTCTCCATCCCATATATTTTGTTTTCTTCCAAATTCCTGTTAACATTGTGTGGAATTACAGGTTGAATATTCCTCATCTGGAATGCTTGGGACCAGAAGTGTTTTAGATTTTGGATTTTTTTTTTTTTTTTTTTGGATTTTGGAGCATATTGGATTTCAGATTTTTGGATTAGGGATACTCAACCTGTTTATCCATCTCCCTTTATCTGTTCCATTCTGCCTCTCGTCTTTTGCATGCCATGGCTATAACGGATAATGGTGATACTTGCCTGGGGATTTGAAGCCCTATCAAGATGCTCGTAGGATAAGAGACCATTCTGAGGTCCCTAGGTGCCTGAAACCCTACCCAGGCCCCCAAGAGCTGAGGGCGTCAGTGTTTCTAGGAACCCTGGTGAAGTTGTGCTTTATAGCACACTTGTGGATGGTGTCCTAGAGAAATTACAGCTTTCTTTTGGATCAGTATGTATAAAAGACAATAATTCTCTCTAGCCATTTTTGAGATATCACCAATGAACTGAGGGTGGCATTATTTAGAGATTTCTGGGCTTCGTGAATGCTGCAGAAACTTGATACCTCAACATAACCACAAAAATAGGGCAATATATGCCTGCCTTGCTGTGTGATTTTCAAAGGTTTGGTAGAGTTTCTGAATCTACTTCTCATTTGTAGGAAAATGTACATTGCAATAGTTATTCACTGTCAGAGACTCAATATCTTTACCAGATTGAATGGTTAGCATCCTGTATGCTGAATATTCTATTCTCCTAGACTTCCATTTTGTCATAATTTAATTCAAAATCAAAGTTTCTCATTGTGAAATATTAAGCCAAGGTGTTTTATATAAAAAAGCATTGAATTATCTTATTCTCCAGGTGGCATAGCTTAAATAAGATGGAAATGTAAATCTAATCAATGACAAGACTGTGTCTATTTTATACTGTATAGCTTCTTTAAAAAAGACTGATTCATATGCAGCAGTAATTCATTTAATCTCAACAAGTCTTTGCATAATTTCATATTTCTTTACTATACTCTGCCAAGAATATGTTCATATATATTACTTTAACCCTGCTAAACTGGCTTCAGAAAATACTTGAGAGGCAACTAGACTGTTAACCCTTTAAATAATAGTTTCTCTTTTCCCTTTCTTTCCTTTATTTTTATGACGAATTAACTTACCTGGAATCAAGTTTTTTTCAGAATTTGAGTTCCAACCTTTTTCCTGTTATGCATAGACTTTTCTAACGTTGGAGCAACCAGCTTGGAGAGTCTTGAAATTCTAACTTCTAGATCTTTTGTCTTTGATCATCGGCTAAGACTGTGCTGCTCCCATTTTAAGTAGGCTGGAATGGAATGTGCTGCTACTTATTCCAGGATCTGGCAGAGTGAAGAAGGAGATGTACTAATTCCTGTCTTTCAGCATTGTTAGCTTGGTGACACTCAAGTCCCTTGCATTTCTTCTTTTCCATGCTATGCCAGAGAATGTCAAAAGGTGAGTCCACATGCCTACTTGCCAGCCTTAGTTTCTCAGTGACCAAGTTGTCGAGCCCCAGCCACCAGGGTTTGGCAGAGTTGAGACAATGGAAGACTGTCTGATAATTGTACCTCTGTCCTCCTGCTGTCTTGTTAGACATGTAACAAGATCTGTGATACCCTGTGGGGGGTGGTATAATAAGAACTCAAGGATGTTTTATTCATCTTTGTAGCTATAGTGTGTGCTCAAATGGTAATAGCTGATGTTTGAGATAGGTCCCATTACTCTCCCTGTTTTTCAGATGGAGACACTGGGGTACACAGAAGTCAAGTGGTCCCTTCAAGGCTATAAGGAGATAGAGCCTGGTTTCACATCCTGACATTATTGTTCCAGAGTCCATGCACTTAACCATTGTACTGTCCTACTTCAATTGAATGACTTAATTATAACTGAAAGGGATAAAGAATCAAACTGTGTTGCAAAGGAATCTCATTTGGAGTTGTTTCCTTCTAAGCATATTGAAATATTGAGTTTTTTTGACTCAAATCCTGGGTGTTGTGATTTAAAAATGAAATAGAGAGATTTCAGCTGGGATTTTAATTTATGCTGTGTTTTTCATGGTGATTGATATGGTTAGGCTTTGTATCCCCACCCAGATTTCGTCTTGAATTGTAGTGCCCATAACCCCCGAGTGTTGTGGGAGGGACCCAGTGGGAGGTAATTGAATCATGGGGGCAATTTTGGCCATGTGGTTCTCATGATAGTGAGTGAGTTCTCATGAGATATGATGGTTTTATGAGGTGCTCTTCCCCTCTTTGCTCTGCACTTCTCTCTTCTGCCACCATGTGAAGAAGGACATGTTTGCTTCCCCTTCCGCCATAATTGTAAGTTTCCTGAGGCCTCCCAAGTCTTGCTTAACTGTGAGCCAATTAAACCTCTTTCCTTTGTAAATTACCCAGTCTCAGGTATGCCCTTAGAGCAGCATGAGAACAGACTAATACAGTGATCATTTATATATTTAACAAATGTTGAGCACCTAGTATGTGTCGGGCATTATCCTAGATAACAGTGGCTCACCAATGAACAAAACGGGAAAAGCCCTCTTTTCAGATAGCATCCATTCTAATGGGCAGTATAGATTTATCTGATCCAGGTATCCAGTAAAATTTCCTACCCAAAGACTTTGTAGTTATGACTATACTCAGGTGAAGTTATGGCTATGCTCAGGTGATTGAGAATAATGGTAGTCCCATGCTGAAAGGGCTGTCTTCTAGACTGCTGAAGGATAACTTGAGCAAGCCATTCTGACAAAAACCTGAGAGATGAAACAGAATCAGACATCTTTAGTGTGGTGGTGATTTTTGTTGCTGTGGTAACCATTTCTGTTAGCATCCCTCTCCATGACTACATTATAATTTTCACAGGACAGTGTGAGTTTATATACAAACAAACACATGTGCTTTTATAAAGCCTTGTTGAGGTGGAAGAAAGCTCGAGGACATGTGTTGCCTTTTTTAAGACACACAGTGTTTGGGCTAATTAAACCTGTCTGTTCAGGCATATCATTGTCAATGCTTTGCTCAGAGTATTAAGTTGCTTTCTTTGAAGTGATGATGTATGTGTCTGCAATTGATGGGATTTTTGAAATGTGTGTGTTCACAGGTACACCTAGTAGATTTTTACTTTTTCCAATCCCCAAACATGCTAATTTCCACACAAAGTTCTCTTGCACTCATGCTGAATCTCACTAAAGATTAAATACTTGAGGCTCTAATGAGACCCTCCTATATAATTAAGATGATCACTCTCACTTTAGCATAAGTTCTCCACCAAAACTGTGATTATGATGTGCATTTTTACATGTCAAAAGTACTAATTTTGCCATTTGTTGTTGTTAACTTTCTGAAGTTAATGAGAATGTACTGTTTAAGAGGAGCATATGTGTAGAGGAAACACAGATCCCAGTTTATTATCTGTGTCGACTGATGTTGCTAGATATGTTACACATATAACATCTATAGAACTCAGTCCCCTTTGTGACAAACACCATGAGCAGGGAAAGGACTTGGAAAGGAATAATTTTGAGGAGTATAAATGAGTCCTGAAACTTTGAAAACTGCTGCTTGAGGAGATTCTACAGCCAGAGGTGCCAAGAGATGGCTCTTGCTATTATTTCTGCCCCTAGAGATTGTCAGCTTTCTTTTGGAGCTACTTTGGGGTGGGGAAACTCTTAACACCTTCCAGATACTGGATGTTCTGCATGAAAAGTCCAGGATTGAAGCATCTTGGTGATGTAGCTCTTTTCTTCAATAAGCTTATGGACACAAGATGCTCTTGTAGACACAAGATGCTTATAAACACACACACTTCCTCCGAGGTGTACCCACAGTGCCACAAGGGGTTTCACTCCTAGCTGCACTCTGACCTGAACTGTGTCTCTTCTTAGTTCATCTAGGTTTTGTTGAGCACTGGCCACTAGTTCAGACTCTAAGGCAGGTTCTCCATTGCGCCTTCCTGACATCTTTTTCTGACCTGTATGATGACAGTCCGGGCAACCTAAGTCCATGAGGGATGTCCTAATATCATTGCTCCTTCTCAGTGATCTTTGAGCTCCAAATTCTCATTTGTGACTTTTTTTTTTTTTTACTACAACAGATATCTACATCTTGTATCTATAAAAATCAAAGGTAGTATTCAAGTTCCCTCCAGCCCCTCCACCCCTCCCCTACCCCCACAAGTATTCACCGTTAGAAACAGAAGTGGCTGGAAACTCACATGGTGTTTCTTTTGTTCCTTTACAGAAATGTGGGCCTATGGAGGGCTAAATTTGCTCATGTGAAACTTCTGCTAACGTTGTTCATAATTTCTTGAGGCTTTCATGTCACACTAATATTTTATGATTTAGATAAAATTTAGTCTTTGTTATCACAGAGTTTAACAACCATGTAGAAAGAAGATGAGTCCAAAGTAATTTTTTTGTTTTTGAGACAGGGTCTCGCTCTATGGCCCAGGCTGGAGCGCAGCGGTGTGATCATGGCTCGCTGCAGCCTCCAGCTCTTGGGCTCAAGCAATCCTCCCATCTCAGCCTCCTAAGTAGCTGGGACTACAGGTACATGCCACTGTGTCTAGCTAATTTTTTTTTTTTGGCAGAGACAAGGTTTTGCCATGTTGCCAAGGCTGATCTCGGACTCCTGGGCTTAAGTGATCTGTCCATCCCTGCTTCCGCCTCTCAGAGTACTGGGATTATAGGTGCGAGCCACTGTGCCTGGTCCCCAAAGTAATTTTTTTATTGTCCGGCTTCTCATCTGTTTCCCAGAGTTTTCCCATTCACTAGGTCATTTAATTCTTAAACAAATCTAGGTAAGGTGGATAGTGACAAATCAACTGTGGTGAGTACTTGTATCACGACATACTAAGTTTAGTTTCCTGATATTCAAAGTAGAAATATTCCACCTACCTCTCAAGACTGCTGCACGAATTGGTTGACTCAGTTCTTAAGCCATGGAACTTGCTCTACTGTGAGAGCACTGTGGAAAGAGCAACTGACCCTGAGTAGTAGGATTGGAGGAGGGAAGGAGGTCAGCAACAGGGAACTCATAGTGGAAAGCAAGACTTGTAAGGGCAGAGTGAGAATGTGGGAGGACATTCCAGGAAGAAGAAACTGGATAGTCGAGAGCCCAGAGTTGAGACACACTGGGAAAGTAGGGAATTACAGATTCCTTAGTCGACCTCCAGAATTAGAAATCAAGTCTATGTAAGCTTACTTGAAAAAAAAAACAAAAAACAAAACAAAACATACAAACAGAAACAGCCATTTTAAGGAAACCAACTGAGGCAGTGTGCAATGATTTAATTCCATAAGTGTTCATTGTCACATTCTTTGGAGTAGCATAAATAAGAGGAGTAGTATTTTCGAGTACATTAATATGTTTTTCTCTTTTACATTTCTGTGTAAATGACCTTCTTTCCCAACACCCAGAGGCATCCATTTGCCTCAAGGGATTATGATTCTTAAAGCAGGAAGGCAGGAAGGAGTCAGTGCTTAAGTTTTGTCTACCAAAATAAGATTTTCTAAATCCCTTAAGCCTACATTAGCATATCAAGAACAAGGCCCAGTGGTGAACTTGAATGTCAAGTTTAATGTAACTAGGGTGACCACACTTACTAGCTTGCTTAGGACAGCTCTAATTCATGCACCTTATCCTGACCTAATTATCAGTAGCACCCCTTTTACTCTCAAATGCATCCTGGTTTGGATGATGAATTATAAGTAAGGGAAGTCCCTGCCTCAGAAGAGGTAGAGTGACATGGAGCCCAGCCCTTCGGGCCTAGTGGAGTGTGGGGATCAAGGAAGATGGAAAGGGAGGGAAGTAACAAAATATGTATGTGTGTGTGTTATGTTATACCCTGGAGTCAGAATTCCAGTGTATGCTGGGAGTGGTGGCAAACATATTAGTTAAAAGCAATAGGGCGTTGGTCTCACTACCTCTGGAACTCTAGGAAGGCTACACTGCAGGGCCATCCCATACCAAGACAGGTTAACAGCAGCTCGGTAAGTTTAGGAGAATGGCCAGGGATTTCAGGTGGGATTTCACACCTGAAATCCCAACCCTTTGGGAGACTGAGGTGGGCAGATTGCTTGAGCCTAGGAGTTTGAGACTAGCCTGGGCAACATGGTGAAACCCCGTCTCTACAAAAAATTAGCCAGGCGTGGTGTTGTGCACCTGTAGTCCTAGCTACTGGAGAGGCTGAGGTGGGAGGTTCTCTTGAACCTGGGAGGTGGAGGTTGCAGTGAGCTGAGATTGTACCACTACACTCCAGCCTGGGCAACAGAGGGAGACCCGGTCTCTAAAACAAAACAAAAAAATAAAACAAACAAAAAAAGAATAAGAGCATATCAGGCTCAGGCAGAGCGAAGGCCTGAGAGATCTATCTATCCTGAACTTCCTCATCTCCCACTTGGTATGAAAGGGAAGCTTTACGTGTTTCTTGGGGGATGTATAAGGTCCTGAGGAGAGAGCCTGTGAGCTTACCGTGGGTGATGCTTTAGTGATGGTGAGCTAACATTCTAGAAGTACAGGCTAAGATGGGCTAAGTCAAGGATTGGTTAGGGGATGGGACTGAGGCCCAGAGGTTCATCAGAATTTGAGGGGGTTAAATTAGGATGGAATTGGTAAGAGAGAACGTAGCACTCAGTCCAAGCCTGGAGAACAGAGCCAAGTCTTCCAGGGTAGGCTTCAGTGTCAGATGCCCATGGGGCATACACTGGGTAACCTGGCAGGTAAGGTACTTCACAGCAGAGAGAGCAGAGGACTCGGTGACCAGCACAGGACCCCTCTTCCTACTGCCACAAGATTGTGTGAGCCTCCCAGATACCTGGATGTCATTGTAGGGAGGATTTGCATTAACATTAAAAAAAAGAGATGGATTTGTTCATTTAAAATATATTAATCCAACACTTACCCTATGCCTGGCACTACTGTAGATACTGGGAATACAGCAGGAAATGAAACTGAAAAAAATCCTTGCCTTCGTGGAACTTACATTCCAGTGACTTCACCCAAAGACTCCATTTAAAACACAAGAAATTGAGATACTGTCAACAATAACTTAGCACTACTCCGCTACCTGTCAGGGTAAGAGCTCTTAAGGAAGGTTAAATAAACTATAGACAATTAAGAAGTTGCATTTGTTTTGTGCATCTGAATTGTAACATTTTTAAGTTTGACACTGCTGTCATAACTGTGCAAGATAGGAAGTTGAGTAGATGGGCCAGGTGCAGTGACTCATGCCTGTAATCCCAGCACTTTGGGAGAGCAAGGCAGATGGATCTCTTGAGCCCAGGAGTTTGAGACCAGCCTGGCCAACATGGCAAAACTCCTTCTCTACAAAAAAATACAAAAATTAGCCTGGCATGGTGGTGTGTGCCTGTGGTCCCAGGTACTTGGGAGGCTGAGGTGGGAGGATCACTTGATCCTGAGAGGTTGAGGCTGCAGTGAGCTGTGATTATGCCACTGTACTCCAGCCTGGGCTACAGAGTGAGACCCTGTTTCAAAAAAAAAAAAAAAGAGGTTGAGTAGATAAGTTATGGTACTTCTCTAATAAAATACTATGCATTAACAATGATGTTATAGATGAATATTTATTTATATATAACAGTGTTCACAATGTATGATGTAAATTGTAGAAAGCAAGTTAAAAAAATCATACATAATATTTTTAATTTAAAATATATATACATTAAACATTGTATAATATCCACATTCTACAAAAATGTATATATGGTAAGCCCAGATATATATATATGTATATACACACACACACACACACATATATGTGTATATATATGTATGTGTGTATTGTATGTAATATATATCCATATAAGCCCAATTCAAATAAATCTATAGCAGTGTCTTGGTTACATTTATGTAGTTAGACTGCTGTTTGTGGATCTCTTTGTATTTATCTGTCTTCTGATGCTTTTGTTATTAATACACAATGTTTTGGTTTAAAAAGTTATTTTTCAAATGTTTTTTTATTGTTTTTAGTATTCAACAATTTAGGGCGTTTGCTTTGTGTCTTTTTTTTTTTTTTTTTTTGGTAGGGTTATGTGCTACTGGGTAGAAGTTCTGAAAAACAACATATAGGCTGTGGTGAGGAGCAGAGAGAGGGCAGGAAAAGGGAATTGACCTTTTCTTTTAGTGCTTTTTGAAAGGAAGGGAGGAAGGAAACAAAAGAAGGAAAAATACCTCAGCCCAATTGGAAAGACCAGATGGAAATCTGTAAAGGATGCCTCATGATACCTGCCTTGGGAAATTTAAATACAAATGTGACAAATATGTTGTTTCTGGGAGATTCATATGAAAAAGGATTTTTTTTCATCTCCGTTTTTATGTTGTCCTCAGTGTTATATCAGTTTCTAGGCACACATATTTGTACGTGAATCCTGTAATAATTTGATCTGAGAACGTGCTCTGAAATCTTTGTCATCTTTCATCACAGGCTACTTCGGCTGTTTATACCAGAGTCATGAAAATGTGAAATAACTTAAAGGCAAGATGCATTACTAGTATGTAACTAAAGTGAACCGCCTGTGATTTGCAGAGAATAGAAGTGTGATAGAAGTAGATTGGAAAAGATAGAGCAAAGGTACAACATTGTAGGATTTGCACTGGGGCACGAGGTCATTTCTGTTCTCAAATGTATATTGATATGGCTGTTCAAAGATTGGTTCATCTCCATCTCGTGCTGGAAACACGTTCTGTGAAAGGAATTGCAAAAAGTTCTCACCGTTATCCTTTTTTTCATCATCTTAGGAAGCTATCTCTTAGGTCCAGCCAAAATGTTTCTGGCAATACTGGGTAACTTGCTTCTGCTGTTAGAATGCCCGGTCATGGCTTTCTCTAAAAAAAAAAGTTTGTGTTGACCAGTATGATGTCACATTAACCACAGACGACATAGCCTATCAGTTGTATGTCACTGTGACCTTGTAGAACACCTTATCAGGAGTTAGAGTCACAGACCAATCAATTCAAGGTCCCGAGTGTAGGTACAGGGATTTCTGCATGGAAGATGTTATAGAATGTTCATAAAAACCTTCCACAGTAACTCTGCCCACTTGGTTAGACAGAATCTACCATGGTAGTAGAAGCTTGGGGGAAAAAAATCTTTCTTATGTTGTTTGCTCTTGGTGACCACACTCTGCTATTACAGTAGGTTTATGTGGAGCTGGAGCTGATTCAGCACTTTTGGCCCTAGGGGAGGGCAGATGACCAAGCTTGGGCACTTAGGGTAGTGCTCCATCCTCATGGCCACTGTGATTAGTTCAGGATTCAGAGGGTGGTCTAAGCTGGACCAATCAGAATCAACTCAAGGGCTTTTGCCAGACCTATCTAAGAAGTGATTCCTGGAATGGAAAGTTTTGAGCTTGAAGCTATAGGGGAATGTCTAGATATTGCAAGATGTTTTCATCTCCGTTTTTATGTTGTCCTCAGTGTTATATCAGTTTCTAGGCACATATATTTGTACGTGAATCCTGTAATAATTTGATCTGAGAACGTGCTCTGAAATCTTTGTCATCTTTCATCACAGGCTACTTCGACTGTTTATACCAGAGTCATGAAAATGTGAAATAACTTAAAGGCAAGATGCATTACTAGTATGTAACTAAAGTGTATATTGATATGCCTGTTCAAAGATTGCTTCATCTCCATCTCGTGCTGGAAACATGTTCTGTGAAAGGAATTGCCTCTACCTACTGGGTGCCAGTAACACATTCCCCCAACCCTAGTTGTGATCATCAGACATGTTTTCAGGTATTGCCACATGTTTCCTAAGGGACAAAACTGTTCCCAGTTGAGAACCACTGGTTGAGTCTAACTGGGTTTGAAGACAACTCTTTGACTTTTCGGTTGTTTGTCCTATATTAACTTTCTTTCACTGTCTTTTAGATGAGCCTGCTTCTGTTATCATATATATTTCTCTGACTAAAGCCAGGAAAAGGCCTCCTCTTTTAAAAGATTCATGTGATTTGCCCATCCAGATAATCCAGGATTGTCTCTCCATCTCAAGGTCCTTTACTTAATCATATCGGCAAAGTCACTTTTGCCATGTAAGGGAACATATTCACAGATCCTGCAGAGCAGGATGAGGACGTATTTGGGGAGCCATTATTCTGCCTACAACATTCACCAATATTTTTCTTTTTGGCTTTAGCAAGTTGATTTGACTTCCAGTTGCTGCAACTAAGATTTTGTGATAAACTGTGACATAGTTTGGAAAACCACTTTTTAAATCATGCTGCAGTTCATAGGCTGATTTTTTAAAACCCCTAGCACCTAACACAAAGCCTGGTCAGTGATGGGTCCTCCATGTGTACTCATTGAATGCAGAGTTTATTCTTTCGTTTTATCTTGGGTCCCATGAAGAAGAGTTATTAGAAACTACCACAAGAATTGTTAGGCAGAGCTTTGGGAGAGAGAATACTGAGAAAGGAAGTAAACATTCCCTGCAAAGATAAGCAATTAAGTGATTTTAAAGAGCTGGGAATTTCAGAGTCAGGTAGCAAGAAAGGAATTGCTGTTCCCCACTGTTCCTACCACTCTGTGAAATAAGATAGTCTGCCTTTGTGTCGGCCTAATTGCTGCTCTTCCCTTCCCCTCATTTTTGTGCACTGCACATCGAGGTAAGTGACTGATAAATCTATCCTAGATGGAGAAGAATTTATTATTTTTATTTTCCTTCTCAGAGCAGTTTCTCAGGATGAAATATATTTATGTTCACAGCCTCATGTATTCTGAGGTCTGTGTGTTTTCTAACAGATTACACAAATCCCTTTGGGATTACAATCAGCTGGCCTGTAGCATACACAACAGTCCCTGTATCATTCTCTGTGTGAAACTATCCCAGATCCTTAGGCTAGTCCTGAATCTGATACAGTGTCTCAGTCCTAAGAAGATGGTGTCTAATACATCAGTTCCTAAGTTGAGGACAAGAGGATGCCTTTAAAACAATTTGAGGGGGCTCGAATGGTTTAATTTTGTAAACGATTTTTTTGGAATATAATTGTTTGTTTTCACAGGCCTTAGAATACAGAACTGAGTCTCGGATACCTTTGATTGTAACACAAACTTTTTGAAAGCTCTACTTCAACAAACCACTTCCAACACCTCTGTTGCTCCAAGGAACATCTCAACTGAGATGTGCAGCTGTCTTGGCTTTGGTTTACTAAATTTACAAATTTACAAATCCAAAACGGAAGGAATTCTACAACCTAAACTCTTCCTGCTTTTTTACTTAAGCAGCACAAATTTTTGGTTATAAAATGAAGTGTTTTCCTATAATGAGTGCACATAAATATTTCATTGATGCAATTATCTTTCACATGAAATAATTCCACAGCATGGCGAGTGCCTGAGAGAAGTGATAAATCTGCTTCCTTTCCCCAAGTGATTTCTTTTTTAAACAAACAAAATGTGTGTCTGAAACGGTGGTGCTTGTGTGTACGTGTCTTTTTGTACCTGCCATTTCCTTCCCTGGATTGTGCACGTGACCCCTAGGAGTAAGTGGTAATCAGAGAGGAAAGCAATGTTGATTTCTGCAGTCAAGATGAAATAGACAAATGCTGGTCCAACTGGAATTTCCAAACTCCCAGCAGTATGCTTAATTAAAAATGCATTTCAAATTCTGAGCTTTTGGCATATATAGCAAGAAATAGCAAATTGAACTTACACCTGTATTACTAAAACCAAAACAAAAAATCAAAATCCTGACCTGGAGAGAAGGATGAAAATGCTATAAGGGGACCAAGAAAATGTTTATGACCTGCAAAAACTATAATTGTTGTTTGTGCATTTTTTACTTTAATTTGGGATGCAGAAAATTGTTACACCAATTTAGCATCTGATGAGAGTGATATACCCTTGAGAAAATGCCTTTTTGCAAAGCATTGCTGATTAAAATGTCTGAGGTCGTTTTTCTTCCTAGGTAAGTCTTCACTTTGAAAGCAAATCTGTATACTACACCACATTTAGATTTCCCACCTTCTTTTTTTGTATGATTCTTTGGCCATCCCACCCCCCACCATCTCTACCCCTCTCCCCATCCCACCCATCTTATATCTTTGTCACCATCCTTTGTCCAGATTCTAAACCTGTGTCTGTGGTCCCTGCTCCTTCTGAGTTTCGGGGAGAGCAAGACACCATCATTAATATCTATACTATTTTTCCTGTAGTGAGGAACAGAAGAAACTGCCAGGCTTGGTCACAGTGGTAAACAGAAATTTCAGATGATTTAAATTGGTGTTGTGGGGGGTGTGTGTGTGTTCATTTTATGATAATGGCACTTAAGAGTTGTCCTTAAAAGAGACTGTGATGTCAGAGAAGAAATGATTGAGGACTTGATTTACCTGTAGAAAGCTAAATTGAGGCTCACTGATGATTCTTAAGAGACAGTATCAGGCTTCGGTTTTTTTTAACCCTACTTACAAGCTAATAATTTAGCCTATTATACAGTTTCATGCATGCTGGCAACCAACATGAGACTCTTGGGTCAGAGATAAAGGCTGTTATTGCTCACAGCACAACAAGTGGCATGAGCATCATGTTTACGTAGGCTCCCATGCTCCCCAAGTCCTGAGGAGGGTGATTCGAAGGGGCCCAGGTGGAGATTGTACACACTGAGTTTGCTTTGCCACTGAGAAACCCTGAGCTGGGGGAATCTGCCTCTTGTACTGCAAGCCTGCTCTTTCCTGGATGGAGACATTACCTCATCTCTCAAGATTGTTCACTGCGAACATAACCCCAAGCAGTGGTCCAGGCAGAGGGTGTTCAGGCCTTAGTGTTCTTTGCAGGAACATTCAGGGGTCAGGGCCATTGGAGGAATGCCTCTCCCTACAAGAGTCACTCAAGGCACTTTCATGTGTCATATTGATAATAACTGCCAGTTACGGAACGTCTGTGTATGCAAGCACTGTGAACACGCTTTACATGGGTTAATTTTAACCCTTACGTCAACCCAGTGCGGTGGCATGCCTGTTTTACAGATAGAGCAGCCAAGACTTAAAGAGTTCAAGCAACATTGCCTGCTCTGACCGCAGTTCCAAAGTCAGGTGCTTTTTATGATTTTTTTGTTTGAGCTTTTCGTATGTCCCCTTCGTGGTTCTTATAATAATGTTATTTTATTTTAACTTTTTTTCCTCTTTTTCCAGCATTGGAGTGAAAGCTCTTTAAATTCAAGGACTTTATTTTGTTCACCTTTGTTTTCCCAGCAGCTAAATTAGTGCCTGGTGGTAGGAAGCAGGCATGCAGTAAATGTTTAGGAACCATGTCTGTTTTGTACCCCAGGGTTTTCTCAGTGTTTGACAAAACTACCTGTGACGTAGTAGGCACACACAAAATACTTACTGAATGAATACATAAATGAATGAATGAACTTACCAGGTCCTGAGTAATGGAGCCAGGACTTGAACTGAGGTCTCTTTGGCTCTTAAGCCTTGTGCTTAACTATTATGTATCTCTGCCCTTCTCGGTTAGTGGTAGAATCAGCTCAGTTCTCAAAAATTGTTGGGGCTTAGGCTTCTGTCTGACTTGTTTTAGTAGTTCCCACAGGGTAGACAGCCAGTATTATATTGGAAGGGACTTTGTAATAAAAGAGTTTCTTTCTTTTTTTTCTTTTTTTAAAAAATCTCTCTTGCAGCTTGATAGGGGGAAAACAATGGTTACCTCCCAGAATCTGAAAGAACCATTTTTACTCAAATACAAGGCTCTCTTTCCAGAGCTCCCTGTGGGTGACAGCATGGAGGGTTTGACCAAGAATGTTGAGTTTCTTCCCGGGCTAGTTTCCATGGTGATGGCTGCAGCTTTGCTAAGGCTGGTATGGCAGGGAGAGGAAGCAGAAGACAGGGTGATGTTGCATCACTCAAGCAACCAGAATGTTTTATGCCCACAAACAGCAGGGCCTGCTGCAAATGCCAATGAACAGAAACTGGCTCAGGAGTAGAAGGAATGGGGCCTGGAAAGCTATTCTCTCTCTAGGACTTTCTGTCTTTACTGCATTTTGAAAGCTTAGGCTGTATTTAGGGTCAAAACTGAACAGTAAGATTCCTTTCCTAGCTATGAGCTTCCTGAATGAATATTTAATTGGAGAGCCTACCAGTGAGAGAATAAAGGTAGAGTGATGGTCACTTGCTGAGATTTGCAGAGACATCCCAAAGCATTTAGGGGCAGCATTTGTAGAAAATTCCTAGAAAGTGTTTTATTGAGCAACTATTTATAGAATGCTATTTAGGTCATTTGTTGCTGCATAGCAAATCACCCCAAAACATAGTGACTTGAAACAATTTCTTTGGGAGACCGAGGTGGGTGGATTACTTGAGGCCAGGAGTTTGAGACCAGCCTGGCCAACATGGTGAAACCTCGTCTCTACTAAAAATACAAAAATTAGCTAGGTGTGGTGGTGTGTGCCTGTAGTCCCGGCCACTCAGGAGACTGAGGCATGAGACTTGTTTCAACTTGGGGGCAGAGGTTGTAGTGAGCTGAGATCACGCTGCTGCACTCCAACCTGAGTGACGGAGTGAAACTCTGTCTCAACAACAACAACAACAACAAAAACAAAAACAAAACACAATTTTATTATCGCGCATGGCTTTTTTTTTTTTTTTTTCTTGCTTGGGGTCTCTCGTGGTTGCAGCCAGATGGTAGCTGCAGCTGGATTCATCTGGAAGGATTCCTGACTCACATGTCTGGCAGTTGTTGCTGGCATTGTTTGGGACTGACAGTGAGGACCATCAGCCAGAACCTACACATGGCCTCCCTGTGCGGCTCAGTTTCCTCAGAGCATGGTGGGTGGGCGCCAAGACTGAGTATCTAAGAGAGAGGAACTGGAATTCTCTTAACCCTTTGACCTGGAAACTGTCAAAAATCACTTCTGTCATATTCTGTGGGTCAAGTCTAAGAGCCCAAATTAAAGAGAAGGGCACATGGACCCTACCTTTCAATGGGAGGAGTGTAACAGAATTTTTAGGTTGTGTTTTTAAACCATCACAAGAGCCAACCATTTGCTAGGCACTTTGGAGAAACACCCTCTCTTTCTGTCCTCATGAAGTTTATAGCCTGGGAGATAGATATCAATCCAAAATCACAAGAATAAAAGATAAATTGCAATATGGTAAGGGTTCTGAAGGAGATATGATCAGAGAGTCTACAATATGGGGATTGTATTAATTTGCCGAGGCTGCCATAACAAGGTATCACAGACCAGGTGGCTTGAACGATGGACTTTGTTTTCTCTCAGTTCTGGAGGCTAGAAGTCCCAGATCAAGGTGTTAGTAGGTTTGGTTTCTTCTGAGACCTTGCTCCTTGGCTGCCAGACTCCTGCTGTTATCCCTCTGTGTCCTCACCTGGTCTTTCTGCTGGATACATGCTCATTCTTGTCCTAACCTCCTCTTTTTCTCAGGACACCAATTGTATTGGATTAGGCGCACCCATATGACCTCATTTTGCCTTAATAACCTCTTTAAAGGGCCTATGTAAATACATTCACATTCTGAGGTACTGAGGATTAGGATTTTAGCAGATGAATTTTGGGGGGACAAAACTAAGCTCATAGCAGGGAATTGCCTAAAGATTTTTTTGTGTTTTTTTTGTCTGTAGGTATTTCTTGTTATGGATATAAACTCAAATTTTGGAGTTTTGAATTATCTGTTTTTAGAGATTGTTTATCTAAAACCTTTTTACATTTGAATAAAACGTTTATGTGGTTCCAAAGTAAAATCTGAAGCCTGTTCAAAGAAATCTGGCTTCCAAACTTCAACCTCATTTCCTCTGAATGTCCTTCTCTATTTGACCTTGGTATAATACAGTTCATAGTAATTGTTTCTTACTAGTAATTATTTCAACCCTTCTAGACTGCAAGCTTCATGAAGGCAGAAACTTTTATTCTCTTGTTCATAGCATCATCCACAAAAAATCTAACACTGTACCTAGAACACACTTGGTGTTTGGTGACTAGTTGTTGAATGGACATGTGGCATTGGAGTTTAAGGTGTAGACTGGAACCAGTAGGTTTGGGAATTGTCTTCATTGTCTTCATAGAGGCTATGAAAATGGATGAGACCCATCTAGTGGGATGAGTTACAAAAAGAAAAGGCAAACAGTTGAAGGTCTATATTTAGGGGACAGAACAAGGACGGTAAGCAGAGAGAAAAAAGGAACAGTTGGAGAAATGGTAGGAAAGTGGGAGAAAGTCTGTATCAATGGGCATTGGGAAAGCATATATTTAAAACGGACTCCTTAGTCAAGAAGGGCATGGTTGAAAAGTGCTGAACTGGACACTGGAAGACATTGGTTCAAGTTTTGCTTCTACCTTGATTTGTTGTGTGACCTTGGGCAAATTAGTCTCTGAAAATCAGTTTCTTCACGTGTGGAATGAGAATCACTGTATCTATCTGCATTGTCTACCTCGTAGGGTATATGAGCTTCAAGAGATAATAGTGTTAACTCAAATCTAGAAACTTCTTAGTGCTTTAGAAATGTAAGGTTAAGGCTGGGCACGGTGGCTCACGCCTGTAATCCCAGCACTTTGGGAGGCCGAGGTGGGTGGATCACCTGAGGTCAGGAGTTCGAGACCAGCCTCAATATGGAGAAACCCCATCTCTACTAAAAATACAAAATT
Organism: Homo sapiens; assembly: GCF_000001405.40. Lineage (NCBI taxonomy): Eukaryota > Metazoa > Chordata > Mammalia > Primates > Hominidae > Homo > Homo sapiens. The sequence continues at coordinate 65,710,445 of NC_000003.12, read as the reverse complement.
AGCCGGGCATGGTGGTGCATGCCTGTAATCCCAGCTACTCAGGAGGCTGAGGCAGGAGAATTGCTTGAACCTGGGAGGCGGAGGTTGTGGTGAGCCAAGGTCGCGCCATTGCACTCCAGCCTGGGCAACAAGGGCAAAACTCTGTCTCAAAAAAAAAAAAAAAAAAAAAAAAAAAAGAAATGTAAGGTTAATAAGTGATTCACCAAGTAAAGACATCTTCTAAACTTACCTAGTTTAAGCTTGCCTTTTCACTGATCGCTTGTCTGCCTTCTATTTTGCCTTATTATAGTATTTTGCTTTTTAAAACCATTCCTTTAAAAAAAGGCTTGTGAAATCTTGGGGAGTAACCTCTTAACATACTTTCTCTAACAACAAGGTAGTCTACAAAAGACAACTTTCAGAAGTCAAAAGCTTGGGCTTTATGTGGCACATTTCACTATTTGCTCACCAAGTCAGCTTTTTGGAGAAGCTTTGATTGTAAGGTCACTGGTTTGGGATGCAGTGTTTCTCATAACTTAATTCACACCAGATACTTCTAGGCAAGAGAGTATCAATCATGATTTGATTTACACCAGTTATGGTTTATGTTTCAATTAATGTAGAGGCTAGTTCTGTACGTCAATTAGAGCTACTAAAATTCTTTTCAAATTGCTTGACAAAAACATATCTTCAAGTTTTAATCTGTCAAATGCAACGTGAAAACGTGAAATGAGCACTCTTCTCATATTCAGATGAAGGTGGCAAAATTGGGTGTCAATGTGCTTAAAGACATCTCTAATGGATAAGTTATGGAAAGGCTGATCCGAAGTGCATCTGGTCTTGCTAGAAGCTCATGTTGGCAAAGAAAAGCCGTAAGACTACTGACGTTTCCTGTTGTCTCTAATTTGGTATCTTTGCTTTCCCAAAACTCACCCATGATGTTCCTAAAAGAGGTTTAAATATTTTATCCTCCAATCTTGCTCTATTCAGTGGCTCTTAAAGATGAAGAGAGACCTCAGATGTATTAATAGAGGTAGGTGAGTCAACTCACTTTTAATGACAGAGACTTGACAAAAGACAGCTTCAAAGATACCTGTTCTTAAAACTTTTGAAGGCTCTGTAATCCAGTGTGCTAAGCATTGGACTGGAAAAAAAAGAGATAGCAGGTTTTCATTTCTGGCATGCCACTGACTGCCCTTGCTTTGGAGATTGGTATAAGAAATGTGTTGAGCTGCATATTTTCTCGTTGCCCCTTTTCATTACTTGGAAAAAACCAAGCGAGAATGATGTGAATGCTGAGCACATTTCTGTCACCAAAAGAGAACGGCCATGTAGTGTATATACATATTCATGTTTACTTGAAAATCACTGGCTAACTTTAAGCATAATTTCTGTTATGCCAAAGCCCAGATGTGCAGGCTTGTCCCTCTTCTGAGGTCCAGGTAAATTAGAACCCTTATAAAACCTCTGTTAACCTTTATAAAACCTCAGTTTGCCCCTCTAAGGCCACAGAATTTGTGAGGCATTGGGAGATGGGTGATAGAGTTGGAAATTACTCCTTCCTGCTTGGGTGGATTTACCGTTTCTCCTTTCTCCTCATGTTCATCACCTACCCAGGTATCCTGGAATTTGGTGAAGAAGAAAAAGAAGAAAGAAGGGAAGGGTTGATTGAGAAGAATGGCAGTCTGTCTGGAAGCCACCAGAAGAGATATAATGCTAGCTCTTGTCTGTTCTTTCTCTGTCCTTCCCCCGTTTTCTTTCTCTCTTCTTTCTTCTTTTGCTTTTTACTCTCTTGCCATCATTCTCCTCTTCTTCCCTCCCTTCCTTTTTTCTCACTTTTTCATCCTTCCTTTTTTCTTTCCTCCCCACCACCAATGACCGATTTGCCCACCTGACTGCCCCCAAGCCTTAACTAGAAGAAATAATTGAGCACTTTCTCCCCAAATTCAAGTTTCAAAAGAAAGAGATGTTCTGAGTTAAGTGAGGCAGTGGCATCTCCCAGTCCGTCTCTGCTTCTTCGTCTCTGAGGGGTCTGTCACCTCTATCAGTGAAGCAAGCACCTGGCTGCTCCTCTGAGCCTGTTCTGTCTCTCTTCCTCAGGCACAGAAGAGCTTCTCACTGGTAATTACAAGAGGACAGAGGATACTTATCCCAATGAAAGCTAACCTTCCTCTTCTTTTGGCGTTTACTACCATCTCTTTATTCTTTTAACAATTCATTTCCATATTTAAATGCCATTGATTTCTTTAAAAGGGGGGAAAAGCCAGGTTGGGTCCTATCTGTAAATCATTGTCCTGTCTTGAACCTCAGGTAAGAGAGGCATTGGCTTTGTCAGGTTGATTCTAAAGATTATTTTTCAACTCCAGGAAGTGGGTTACATTTATAGGGGTGATTATTTTGGTAAATAGGACATATGTAGAACTATGTCCAATTCCATACTTTTTGATGGTGAGATGCTTTTAAAGTGTGTAGACATTGATACCTTATCCAATATTACCTCATTCTTTCTATGTGCCAGTTTTATATTCTTCACACAGTTACAGCCGCAGGTTGGATTGGCATGGCCATGACTTTGGATTTTTAGCGACCTCCTAATTTTATTGGCTTGCTTTCCTCTCTGGTTCAGCTATCAATATAGTTTAAAGGTTTTACTGAGAAAGAAGCTTGAGAGGGTGTGTAAAATCCATAGTTGGTGAAATATCTTTTTATCTTTGTGGCTTAATAATTATCTTTTCTCCAGGGATTCTTTTGCCAACTTTTTTTTTTTTTTTTTTTTTGAGATAGGGTATCACTCTGTCACCCAGTTTGCCGTGCAGTGACCCCATCATGGTTCACTGTAGCTTCAACCTCTCAGGTTTAAGCAGTCCTCCCACCTCAGCCTCCCAAGTAGCTGGGCCTACAGGCACGCACAACCATGCCTGACTATTTAAAAAATTTTTTTTGTTAGAGAGACAGTGTCTCACTGTGTTGCCCAGGATGGTCTCAAACTCCTGGGCTCAAACAATCACCTGGCTCGGCCTCCCAAAGTGCTGGGATAGGGAGCCGCTGTGGCTCAGGCCGGTTGCCCTGGCACTCGGGGAGGCGAGGCTGCACGTCCAAAGTGCTGGGATTACAGGTGTGAGCCACTGTGCTCTTTTGCCATCTCAATTGCATGGTTTGATTCTTGACAAAGTGCTTCTATGTGGCATAGCATCAACCCTGAAACATATCAGTCATTAAATATTTAATTTGGAAGTGTGAAATGGCAGGTTCACTTTTTAGATTACACATTAGAGCCCTGCCAATCAGCACTGAAGGAAAGTTGCCTACATCTAAGGTTTGGTCAGACTTTGGGAATAGAAGTTTATACAACATCTACAGTAACTACGGCAAACACATTCGTGTTTGATCAATGAGCTGTCATTCCCTGAAATCTTTTGCCAAGTCTTTAGTTTATCCGACTGCCATGCCGAGACGGTGGTTCACTTGAAATGATAAATGAAATCCACAGGTGGTTTTGGTATGGACATTTTTTGTTTATGTCTTGTGAGATGGAATTATAGGACTAGGATTTAAAGCAAATTGAGCATCCTGAATAAAGTCTTTCAGTGTCTTCCTGTTGCAATTAAAATAACATGCTGGAACTTATTACCATGGCTGAGAGAGTCCTGTGGTCTCTGGCTCCTGCTTGCGTTTTCATTTCCATCCCATACTGTTCCCCCCACCCACCCATCCATTACGCTGTAGTCAACATGAAGTCAGTAATGCTGTCAGATTTGCTTTGTCTCTGGACCTTTGCATTTCCATTTCCCCTCCACATCTCTTTCCCTTCTCATCCCCTGTCTGGATCCTCCTTATCTTTCACTCCTCTCCAGGATATTCTGGACTCCTAACCACCTCAAGCCTTCTTCTGTCCTTATTTGGCACAGTCTGTTGTGATGCTGTTTGCCAGCTCATTGAGAGAGAGGACTTTGGCTCATTTTCGACAGTTTCCCATTCAGACCACTGTGCTTGGCACCCAGGAGGTGCTGGGCGCACATTTGTTAAGTCAGTGAATGGAGGCTGGGTAATTTCAGGGAAGGCAGAGGCTATGGTATGGCGCCTTAGTCTTTCTGGAATAGTTGCTAAATATCCCAGTGAGGCTTTTAAGAGTTCCGCTCAGATTTAGCTCATTCATGTCAACAGTTGCCATGGTTTGCTATTTCAGAGCATTTTTTAAAACATAAATTTTGGTCCTTTCAGACAGAAGCATCAATTTGGTAAAGATTATTTTGTTTTAAATCCCATTTGCAAAGCAAAATGAAATTTAAACTAGCCCGTGTACCATCTACTAGTGGTTTTCCTGACAAAATGTAGCAAAAGTGCTAATGTTTTCATTACATTGATTAGAAAAAAAAATTAATTGGAGAACTTAGTTTGCTGAGCTGTTGAATAGAAAATGCTGAAAGGCATATTCTCACAAATACAGTCAGTTTGTACTTTACAGAAGGATTTGTTACTCATGGACTCAGAGCTGGGTTTGTATGATACCACATTTCATCTACAGAAATATACTGCAGATAAGGAAATATATCTTCACCATAAGAATTTATTTTGCCAATCAATAAGAACATTAATGCTAACACTCCATTAGATTCTCTGTTGAGAGGAAGGATTAGCCCCAAACCTATACATTAACCCTGTCTGAACAAGAGACTTAAAAGTTCGTTTCATATTAGTGAGCTCAAACTTTTGTAGCCATTTGATTTTGAAATTCCTTTTCCAAACTCAAGTAATCTTTGGAATGGGACACATTAATGTCTAATTATCTAGGGGTATGTGAAAATGTTCAAGATCTGTTATGACTTAGCTTTTGAGAATTATTCAAAGCCATAAATTAGGGTTTCTGCAATTGAATGTGATACTCATGGCTGCTCCCCATGTGAATAAAGAAGCATTACCATCAGAGGTTGTTTAGACTGACTTGCACCTTGTACAATTTCTTTTTGTACAAATCAGGGTAAAATTCACATAACACAAACTTAACCATTTTAAAGTATACAATTCAGTGAATGCTCACAGTTGCTTTTTTAAGGGATAATGTATTGTTGGTATTGCTCCTCTTGAGGGCTTACTAAGATACTCTGTATTTAATTAGAATTTCAGTAAATTCAAAAAGCACATCATAGCTGGCCTTGGTGTGCCACTGAATGTTAACCACTTTGTGAAATTTTCTAGGGCAGAGAAAATACTCAGTTAAGCTAACATACTCTGAAAACATTAAAGTACTTAAAATAGCACTTTATTATCCAAATGTAAGCTTAGAAATTTTTTTTTCTTCAAATAGGCCTTGATAAGAACTTAGTTTGACTTAAAACCATGACAATGAGAGTTTTTGCAAAATCTTCTGAAATTCTCTGCATTTCTGTCCTATCTAGTATTTGTATGAAAGTAATATAAGATGAATTGTGACTGATCCTTAACCTCAGCAAAGGTCTCTAGAAATTCAGCCAGGCAGAGCCATTTTTAATTGGTTGGGGATTTGAGGAAACCGCGGAGGAGTCTGTGCAGTAGTAGAAAGCCGTGTCTTGGGTCTAGAAGGAAAATAGGGATTATTGGGAAGGGTAGGTAAATATGAGAAGTGCACATCTACTGCAGACTGTGATGAGACGGGGTCTAGAGGATAACTGAAAAGAAGGAGAGAGATTTAGCTCACCATAGAGGCGCATTTCTACAAAGTGTTAGCTACTTGTGCCTTTTTTTTTTAAATGAATTTTTATGTCGTCATGCACTTGAATGCACACAAATTTTCAGAAACTGATTAAAATGATTGTTGAAAAAGAAAATTGAAGTGACTACCATAGCATTCCTAAATTTTAAAAACCACATAAGCCCCATTGACTCTTTTGTCAAATGTGCAAGTTCTTGGTGCCAAGTCAGATGAGGAAGAAAAGTTTCAATTCAAAATAATCTCTCTGGACAGAGATAATAAGGAACAGAGAAGATCGAGGGCAGGAGAAACCTGGCAAGTGGTAATGTCTAGAAACCCCGTAGGAAGCCTGGGGAAAGGAGGCAATCTAGGACAGCCAGCCTGATTTGAGCTTCCCACTGGAAAGGGTAGATGCTCCCTCCTCACATGGCAGTTGAGTTGACACTTGGGGCTGGTGCTCATTTGGTAACAACTGTGTCTAAGAACATTGGAATGAGTTGAAGCTTGGAAACAAACTGCAAATGAGGTGTCTCCTAAGGAGGACAGAGCTCTGTTCAGGGCTGGGGAAAACTAAGCCTGTTCGTGTTGGTGGAATAAAACATAGAAGAAATGAGGCAGAACAGATAGCCAGCTGGACTTGGAGGATGTTGTAGGATGGTCTTTTCCTGTGAGGATTAGTAAAAGGGAATAGTGGATTGGTGATGCCCTGCCTTCTTTCCCCTCTTCTCATCCCCTGTGCTAGGAGATACTTCATTAACTGAGACCCTTAAAACGCAAAGTAAGCAATAAAAAGGGTTGTTCAGATTGTACCAGCTTCCCAAAAAAACTCACTGAATTCTAAGCAAGTGAATTTCTTGAAACAACTTTAAGCCCATGCATGTCTAAGAAATCCCTAGCTAACACTGAAGTTAACAGTTCCCAGGGTTAATGGGAGGTCAGGTAGAATTTTATTGACATCCTCATTGCTATTACTAATCTAGAACTCATTTTCCTGAGGTTCATTTACCCAAGCAAGTTGGTACAATGGCACTCTCCCTCCTTCTCTCCCGCAGGCATCCCCGTCAATGAGGTGGAGGCATCTGGGCACACTGGGAAGCCTGTGTATATTCTTTGGTGTCATCTAAACTATAAATTAGCCTGCCACTTTCTATTAGTGTGACCTTAGGTGAGTTTTGCACATTTTGAGTCTGAGATGACTGCAAGATATCCAAGTAGCAGTGTCCAAGAGGCAGCTGGATTTCTGGGAGGAGCTCAGGAAGAAAGGTCCTGGCTGGAAGATCCATCAGCAGAGAAAGAGCAATTGAAGCCTTGGGCTTGGGTAGAATTGCCTAAGGGCAGTTCATCTAATGAAATGAGAAAGGGCACCTGGAGTATATTTAAATATTCTTAGACAATTTTTTTTTATTGGGTCTTTATTCTAATCAGGGAGAAAACTTGTCCAGGGCAATCTTGCTAGCATTTGAATAGACAATTGACTGGCCAGTCATGGGTCCTCACTTACACCCTACTCCTGCGTCCAGCAGATGCCCTTGTGGTGTTCATTACTCTAGTTAAACTCACTGGGCATTGGAGCAGTTGTCAGATTTGCTCATCTTCTGGTTCAGTAGTCAGGAAGCACGTATAGCAGCAAAGACTGAAAGCCAGCCACCCCCTGCCAAAACAGTAGAGAGATGCGCATCATGCCTTGAAGGCCAAATGAGGCAGATTGTCAGGTGCAGCATGGTGCTCCTGAACGTGGAGGGTGGGCTGCCTCTCCAAGCCCGTCCTCTCAGTGTCTCTGCTCCAGATTCTGCTTGCAAGTATTCTATGAAGGTGGGTACCTTCCATCATTCTCAGCAGGGGGTAGTCCTGCATCTCAGAGATCTAAGGAAGACGGTTTCTCACCACCATATGCTGAGCCCAAGCTTTTGGGAGTGGAAATAAAAAGGAGGAGCTGCTTATTTATTTATTTATGTGATAAGTGTGCATTAAGGCTTTAGGAATATCCTGGTTGTCAAGATGGACAGGGTCCCTGCTTTCAAGGAGTTCAGATCCTGAAGGAGATAAGTAAGTAAAACAAACAAAATAAGTACCAGTGGTTGTAGTACATACAGGTGGCCTAACAGAAAATAATTGGGTTATCTTCTTTAGCTAAGGAAGGCCTCTCAGAGAAGGGAGCTTTAAGGCTGTGCCCTGAAGGATGCAAAGGCGTGTAGAAGAGTCAAGAGCATTTAAAGAACAAGCAAAAAGACCAGGGTAGGAGAGGGCTTGGTAATTAATTCTAGAAAGTGAGAAGAGGCTAGCAAGACTAGTTAATAGCTTCTGGCCTGGATTCTGCATATATATTGTAAAATTGACACCTTACTGTCGTGTGTGTCACCTCTGCCATGTGAGAGATGTCTCCTGGGGTAGCCTGCACATGGTCCCATGATAAATTACAACATTGACCTTAAAGGTTATGGCAGTATTGGGTTCCACTGTGGAAACTCTTTCTGCCTAATGACTACATCCAAGAGGTGGTTTGTTGTGTTTGTGCGTTGATTTTTAAAGAAGCAGGGTGGCTAAAGATTGCCTGTAACTAGGGTGAGGCCTTATAAGCTGACACTTAAAAAATATATGTATATAAATTCCACTTGATATTTGGATTTAATGCTGCTATTATGGGGGACCAGTGGGCTCGCTCGTAAACACAGGTACTGAATACTGATCAGAAACCTTCAGATTTGTCATCTTCAGTATAGCAAATGTTCCATCTAGAGTGCTGAGCCAAGGGGGTAGATTTCCTAAGGGCCACATCCTAGGGAGAGCAAAAAAAATAAATAAATAAAATAACAAGCGTCGGGGAATATATGCAGGCATTGTGTGGGATTTGCATATAATTTGCATAGCGCTTGATAAGCTAAAATCTGTTCTCAGAAAATGTTCAAATTAAAATTTTATCACGGCTACCAGTGCAGCCATTTCTTACTATTTTCTCCTCTATTTTATTCTTTTGCTCATATTGGCTGTCTCTGATTCATATATCTTTTTGTTAGAAATGTACAGCTGTGATTCTGAGCATCAAGGAAGAAAAAAGGGAAAAATCTGAGTCCACCAGAGACCATTTCTTGGCAAATGAAGTTCTTATTCAAGCTCTTCCTAGTCACATCTTTTTCAGTCCTATAATAAAAGTGCCTTTATTTGGGGTCTGTCTTGGAAGCTCAAGGGAGCCATGTGTGTGACAGGAAAAAAAAAAGAAAAGTGAACCTTGCATTAAAAGCTACTTGGGACTGGGCGCGGTGACTCACGGCTGTAATCCTAGCATTTTGGGAGGTCGAGGCAGGCGGATCACTTGAGGTCAGGAGTTCGAGACCAGCCTGGCCAACATGGCGAAACCCCGTCTCTACTAAAAATACAAAAATTAGCTGGGTGTGGTGGTGCATGCTTGTAATCCTAGCTACTTGGGAGGCTGAAACAGGAGAATCGCTTGACCCCGGGAGGTGGAGGTTGCAGTAAGGCAAGATCACGCCATTGCACTCCAGCCTGGGCGACAAGAGCAAGACTCTGTCTCAAGAAAAAAGCTACTTGGAATCAAGTTAGAGCTTTTCTTTTATGAGAATTTTAGATAATCTATTGGTACATCAGTTTTTTTCATTAGTAAACTGGGGATACATGAAAACCTTACAGAGCTATTGTGAAAATTAAATAATATGTGAATAACACTTAGTGCAAGGCCAGCAATTAATATTGGTAAACCTGTTTTTAGAAACTGCCCTTAAGCTATATTGTGGACATAATTTTTGTGTTTCCAAGTTGGTAATGAGCCCCCTGATGGTGGCCGCATTGTGTTAAAAAGGGGCGGTTGAATAAGTGATTTGGGGGTCCCAGCCTTCATGTTCTAAAGGATTGGTGGGTGTAAGGAGTATGTTGGTGACCTGAAGAGCTGTACTTCCTCTTAGAAGTACTCACATTTGCACTTAATATTTAATTAACACATGCATCAACTTCATTAGAAGCAATTAAAGAAACAGCTTCAGGTAAAGATGTTTGGTGAAATTTTTGGATGTGAGGCTGTTAGAGATTCACATTTTCTATCCTTTGAGGGTTTCTTATACGACGTGTTACAGTCATTTTTTAATTGGTTGATCCCTACTAATTATCAGAACTGCTACCCAAAAAAATCACAACATTAGGATGAAATCAGATGTGGTTGTTCAGTTTTATTTATAAGTAGATCCAGGGCAGCCATGGAATACAAAGCTTGATTTTAGGAAAATATTTAAAACATTAGATCAATTCATGTATGATTACTATTCAAAATTATAATTTGGTCAAATGGTAGAATGAAATTTGCTATTGTTATTATTATTATTTATTTATTTATTTATTTTGAGATGGAGTCTCGCTCTGTAGCCCAGGCTGGAGTGCCCAGTGGTGTGATCTCCACTCATTGTGACCTCCGCCTCCTGGGTCCCGGTTCAAGCAGTTCTCCTGCCTCAGCCTCCTGAGTAGCTGGGATTACAGGAATGCACCACCATGCCCAACTAATTTTTGTGTTTTTAGTAGAGGCCGGATTTCACTATGTTGGCCAGGCTGGTCTTGAACTCCTGACCTCGTGATCTGCCCGCCTCGGCCTCCCAAAATGCTGGAATTACAGACGTGAGTCACCGCGCCCAGCCTGCTATTGATTCTTTAGAGGCTATCTCAACCATCTTATAAGGAATGTCATATTTTTAATGTACAAACCAAAAATGTCAAAATTGTATGTAGTTAAAAATCAGTTTCTAAAATCTCACATTTTTCTTTAGGGGAGTAGTTTTCAAACTTGAGTGTGCTTTGGAGGGTTTGTGAAAGTACAGATTTCTGGGGCCCTACCTTCAGAGTTTTTGATTCAGTAGGTCTGGGGCAAGGCCTAAGAATTTGCATTTCTTTTTTTTTTTATTTTTTTAATTTTTATTTTTTTATTATACTTTAAGTTTTAGGGTACATGTGCACATTGTGCAGGTTAGTTACATATGTATACATGTGCCATGCTGGTGTGTTGCACCCACTAACTCGTCATCTAGCATTAGGTATATCTCCCAATGCTATCCCTCCCCCCTCCCCCCACCCCACCACAGTCCCCAGAGTGTGATATTCCCCTTCCTGTGTCCATGTGATCTCATTGTTCAATTCCCACCTATGAGTGAGCATATGAGGTGTTTGGTTTTTTGTTGTTGCGATAGTTTACTGAGAATGATGATTTCCAATTTCATCCATGTCCCTACAAAGGACATGAACTCATCATTTTTTATGGCTGCATAGTATTCCATGGTGTATATGTGCCACATTTTCTTAATCCAGTCTATCATTGTTGGACATTTGGGTTGGTTCCAAGTCTTTGCTATTGTGAATAATGCCGCAATAAACATATGTGTGCGTGTGTCTTTACAGCAGCATGATTTATAGTCCTTTGGGTATATAACCAGCAATGGGATGGCAGGGTCAAATGGTATTTCTAGTTCTAGATCCCTGAGGAATCGCCACACTGACTTCCACAATGGTTGAACTAGTTTACAGTCCCACCAACAGTGTAAAAGTGTTCCTATTTCTCCACATCCTCTCCAGCACCTGTTGTTTCCTGACTTTTTAATGATTGCCATTCTAACTGGTGTGAGATGGTATCTCATTGTGGTTTTGATTTGCATTTCTCTGATGGCCAGTGATGATGAGCATTTTTTCATGTGTTTTTTGGCTGCATAAATGTCTTCTTTTGAGAAGTGTCTGTTCATGTCCTTCGCCCACTTTTTGATGGGGTTGTTTGTTTTTTTCTTGTAAATTTGTTTGAGTTCATTGTAGATTCTGGATATTAGCCTTTTGTCAGATGAGTAGGTTGCGAAAATTTTCTCCCATTTTGTAGGTTGCCTGTTCACTCTGATGGTAGTTTCTTTTGCTGTGCAGAAGCTCTTTAGTTTAATTAGATCCCATTTGTCAGTTTTGTCTTTTGTTGCCATTGCTTTTGGTGTTTTGGACATGAAGTCCTTGCCCACGCCTATGTCCTGAATGGTAATGCCTAGGTTTTCTTCTAGGGTTTTTATGGTTTTAGGTCTAACGTTTAAGTCTTTAATCCATCTTGAATTGATTTTTGTATAAGGTGTAAGGAAGGGATCCAGTTTCAGCTTTCTACATATGGCTAGCCAGTTTTCCCAGCGCCATTTATTAAATAGGGAATCCTTTCCCAATTGCTTGTTTTTCTCAGGTTTGTCAAAGATCAGATAGTTGTAGATATGCAGCGTTATTTCTGAGGGCTCTGTTCTGTTCCATTGATCTACATCTCTGTTTTGGTACCAGTACCATGCTGTTTTGGTTACTGTAGCCTTGTAGTATAGTTTGAAGTCAGGTAGTGTGATGCCTCCAGCTTTGTTCTTTTGGCTTAGGATTGCCTTGGTGATGCGGGCTCTTTTTTGGTTCCATATGAACTTTAAAGTGGTTTTTTCCAATTCTGTGAAGAAAGTCATTGGTAGCTTGATGGGGATGGCATTGAATCTGTAAGTTACCTTGGGCAGTATGGCCATTTTCACGATATTGATTCTTCCTACCCATGAGCATGGAATGTTCTTCCATTTGTTTGTATCCTCTTTTATTTCCTTGAGCAGCAGTTTGTAGTTCTCCTTGAAGAGGTCCTTCACATCCCTTGTAAGTTGGATTCCTAGGTATTTTATTCTCTTTGAAGCAATTGTGAATGGGAGTTCACTCATGATTTGGCTCTCTGTTTGTCTGTTATTGGTGTATAAGAATGCTTGTGATTTTTGTACATTGATTTTGTATCCTGAGACTTTGCTGAAGTTGCTTATCAGCTTAAGGAGATTTTGGGCTGAGACAATGGGGTTTTCTAGATATACAATCATGTCGTCTGCAAACAGGGACAATTTGACTTCCTCTTTTCCTAATTGAATACCCTTTATTTCCTTCTCCTGCCTAATTGCCCTGGCCAGAACTTCCAACACTATGTTGAATAGGAGTGGTGAGAGAGGGCATCCCTGTCTTGTGCCCGTTTTCAAAGGGAATGCTTCCAGTTTTTGCCCATTCAGTATGATATTGGCTGTGGGTTTGTCATAGATAGCTCTTATTATTTTGAGATATGTCCCATCAATACCTAATTTATTGAGAGTTTTTAGCATGAAGGGTTATTGAATTTTGTCAAAGGCTTTTTCTGCATCTATTGAGATAATCATGTGGTTTTTGTCTTTGGCTCTGTTTATATGCTGGATTACATTTATTGATTTGCGTATATTGAACCAGCCTTGCATCCCAGGGATGAAGCCCACTTGATCATGGTGGATAAGCTTTTTGATGTGCTGCTGGATTCATTTTGCCAGTATTTTATTGAGGATTTTTGCATCAATGTTCATCAAGGATATTGGTCTAAAATTCTCTTTTTTGGTTGTGTCTCTGCCTGGCTTTGGTATCAGAATGATGCTGGCCTCATAAAATGAGTTAGGGAGGATTCCCTCTTTTTCTATTGATTGGAATAGTTTCAGAAGAAATGGTACCAGTTCCTCCTTGTACCTCTGATAGAATTCAGCTGTGAATCCATCTGGTCCTGGACTCTTTTTGGTTGATAAACTATTGATTATTGCCACAATTTCAGCTCCTGTTATTGGTCTATTCAGAGATTCAACTTCTTCCTGGTTTAGTCTTGGGAGAGTGTATGTGTTGAGGAATTTATCCATTTCTTCTAGATTTTCTAGTTTATTTGTGTAGAGGTGTTTGTAGTATTCTCTGATGGTAGTTTGTATTTCTGTGGGATTGGTGGTGATATCCCCTTTATCATTTTTCATTGTGTCTATTTGATTCTTCTCTCTTTTCTTCTTTATTAGTCTTGCTAGCGGTCTATCAATTTTGTTGATCCTTTCAAAAAACCAGCTCCTCGATTCATTACCTTTTTTTGAAGGGTTTTTTGTGTCTCTATTTCCTTCAGTTCTTCTCTAATTTGCATTTCTAGCAAGTGTTCTGGGCTTCTGATGCTGAGTCCAGGGATCACATTATGAGAACCACTCCTTTAGGGAAAATTTGTAAGGGTTTGGCTTTTCCCCTATTCTTGTTTCTTTATTATATGTATGCTGTGGTGTGATACATTAATTTTTGTTGAGAATCCAAATGTATATTTTATTTTATTTTATTGTATTGCCACAAATGTTAGGAAATTCTGTTTTTGGTATCTAGCAGGAGGGAAAAAAAACATGAAGCTCATGGACATGTATTTTCATGGGCAGTTAAGCTATTCTTTAGATGAAAATGGCCTTAATCATTTTAATTATTTTAATTATAAGTGGGGAATACATTTATTTATTCATTCAACAAATATTTAATGGGGACTCCTTATGTATCAACTACTGTTCTAAGTGTTAGAGATGCCCCATGAATGTAAAGGATAAAATTCCTTTATATTTATATTGGATAAAATCCAATATAAAGGTATTGGATGGGGAGGCTACAAAGGGTGAATGAAGAAAACAGATAATTAAAAAAATGTATCTCAAGTGGTAGGTGTTATAAAGAAGACTAAAGCTGAATGAAATGGCAGAAAGTGATGGAGACAGAGGGTTTCTTTACATAGGGTGAGCAGGGAAGGCCTCCTTGATAAGGTGAGTTGAATAGGTACCTGCAGAAAGTTAGGGAAGGGGGATGTTTCTGATGGAGGAAAATGCTTCTAAGATAGGGAGGCAGGAGTGAGCTCACTGTATTTGTAGAATAGTAAAGACGCCAGTGAAGCTGGAACCCATTTGGTGGGAAGGGAGATGGACGGTGACTGGCCATTGGATTTTATCTTGAGTGAGAAGAGGAGCTGTTGGAGGGTTTGAGAAGTGTTGTGATAGCATCTGCCTTACCTTTGGGAGGGTCATTCTGGCTGCTTGTGGAGGGTAGCAACAAGGAAAGTATCTTAGGTGATGTAGGATGAGTAAAGAGTGAGTAAAGCACAAATATTGGTGGCTACACTCATGGCAGACATCACAAATCAACCACAGAGGCCTTTCCCAGTGTCCTGGATGTTGACTGGGACAACTTCCCGACATGGCCTGCAGCTGGAACTGAGAGCCCTTGGAATCTGCACAGCAAATGAAGTCTTTTTATTTCTTTTCCAACAATTCAAATATCAAATGGCTTTCCAGTGCCTTATCTCTCCTTAAAAGAGGTCTAGGCGTCTACTGTAGATTCATTCATCCCCCAGCAATACCTACTGAGCATAAAAAAAGCAAGTCTATAAATGGATGAACTTCATAATTTCAGATCATATGTCCTGGGAAGAAAAAGGATGTGACTGAGACCTGGAACATAAGGAGTTGGCCCTTTCAAGAACAGGGAATGGGCAGTCTAAGCAGAGGGAGCAAGTACAAGTTCCAAGGTCCCTGGAGCTAGGAGGACTGAAGCGGAGGATATCCAGGACCTCCTTCTGTTTTCCTTTGGTTCACATGTATCCTTATGATCTGCTTCCATAAGGTGAACTCTGCAAGTCTTACCTCCCTGGGACAAGATTGGCCACATCTATTATTTAATGGGGGTGATGCCTGAATCAGGCCGAACTTTGTCCCAACAGTCTCCCACCTAAAATACATCTTTTATCCTGTATTCATTTTCCCATTTTTGTCTTTCTTCCTTGAATTCAGTTCTCTCTGACCCTCTTTTTTCTACCTTATCGGTTATCTCTGTTGAAGAGAATTGTTCAGGGGAGTAGAAGAGAATGGATTTCACATGGCATTTGTGTATTAATAAGATTATTAATTTGGGGACCTTCTTCCCTTTCCTTCCTGCGTAATTTTTGGTAATAAATGCCCATCTAATTTACTAAATATTCCCTTGAGCACGAGCAGCCTTATATGCAAAAGAAATTTCACACTTTGTACCTGAATGTGGTAGTGGCTAATACATACACACAAAAAAAGTAATTCAGTAGGAAAAATAAAATGTAAAGAAAACCAATTATCTCAGCCTGTTCAAAGAGACAGCCAGCCAGGTAGTGAGTAGTGATTGCAGTATTTTGTTATGGAAGTCTTTGGTTGTAATTAATAGATTTCTGCCTTTTAGTAAATTTGTTTTATTATGCATTAGAGGACCTTGCTTTGAGTAGTGCAGCTCAGGGGTTAGTCACAGGAGTACAAGTTAGGTGGAAATACCTGGGCACTACTATTTGCAGCACATTGTAGCTGTTTCCAGGTATTGCTGGGAATGAGCCGAAGGCTTAGCCAGAATCAACTTTTGGTGTTGCCGAAACTGTCCTGATTAAGTCCCTTTTGTTCTCTGACCCCTGAGGATGGCTTATCAAGGTTCAGTTTACTCATCTGAAAAATGGAGTTGAAGAAATCCTCCTTAGAAGGTTGAACCCCGGGTGGTGGTGATGAGAACACTTCATATTTTTTTTAGCACTTACTACCCGCCAGGCATATTCCAAAGCACATTATGTATACCATTTCAATTAATCCCCACAACAGACAGGTGGGGTAGATGCTGGCCCTATAGATTAAACCATGGCATGGAAACATTAAGTGATTTGCTCAAGGCACACTGCTTAGTGCAGTGTATGACACTTCTTAAGTATTTATATGAAAATAATAACCACAGCTGCTATGGCTTAGATATAACCTTTTTTAAAGGAGTTTGAGTGTATTACAGAATGTAGGAAGTCTGATTCTCAATGCCTCTTGTTTTCTGTTTGTTTGGTTAGTTATCTGGCTCTATTTTACATCACCAGTTTTCATCTTTATTGATTTTCTGCTGATTAAAAAATAACCTGTCTGTATATTTTACTCATTTTTTTGGTCCTCCGTTAAGAAAGTGTTCTGGGCTGGGCACGGTGGCTCATGCCTGTAATCCCAGCACTTCGGGAGGTCGAGGTGGGTGGATCACCTGAGGTCAGGAGTTTGAGATCAGCCTGGCCGACATGGTGAAACCCCCTCTCTACTAAAATCAAAAATTAGCCAGGCATGATGGTCCACGCCTGTAATCCCAGCTGCTCGGGGGCTGAGGCAGGAGAGTCGTTTGAATCCGGGATGTAGAAGTTGCAGTGAGTCAAGATCGTGCCACTGCACTCCAGCCTGGGTGACAGAACAAGACTCCATCTCCAAAACAAAACAACAACAACAAAAAACAAAAACAAAAAAAAACTGTTCTGAATATGGATACCCTGTCAGAATTCAACATCTGCTGGTCTTCTTGGATCAGGCCGCCTTTGGTCTCTCCAAAGAGGCTAACCTGGATTCCTCTTTGGTGAGAGGACAGTAGACATTTCAAATAAGGCATTAAAGCTCCTCCAGGAAATTATGATTGTGGGCATTTCCCTCACTTTTTCAAGTTTCCAGTGTCTTTAGAATCTCACTTGGCCTTCTTAGAAACGTGGGCAATTCTTGTGCTATATTTTATGGTCCAGGTGCCTTGGAACCCGGTTGTATGGGGGCACTGTGGACAAGGGTCCAAGTCCTTGCTCTGCATTTAAAGGTTACATGATCTTAGGAAAGTTTTCAACCTTTTCAAGTTTTAGCCTCTGTCTTAGTCTGTTTTCTGTTGCTGTAACTGAATCCCTGAGACTGGGTAATTTATAAAGAAAAGACATTTATTATGTGGCCAGGCGCAGTGATTCACACCCATAATCCCAGCACTTTGGGAGGCTGAGGCGGGAGGATTGGTTGAACATGGGAGTTCCAGACAAGCCTGGGCAACACAGGGAGACCCCATCTGTATAAAAATTTTTTTAAAAAATAAAAATAGCCAGGCATAGTATCTCATGCCTATGGTAGGTCCTAGCTACTCAAGTGGCTGAGGTGGGAGGATCACTTGAGCCCAGGAAGTCAAGGCTGCAGTGAGCCATGATTGTGCCATTGTAATCCAGTCTGGGCAACAGAGCAAGACCCTGTCTGCTCTGTTGAGACCCTGTCTCAAAAAAGCAATATTTCTTACAATTGTGGAAGTTGGGAAGGCCAAGGTCTAGGACCCCATTTGATGAATACCTTCTTGTTTGTGAGGACTGTCTGCAGTCCCAAGGTGGCTCGGGACATAACATGGCAAGGGGGCTCACAAGAGACAGCCAAACTGGTTTTTGTAACAGACTCAGTCTCATGACAACTCACCCACTCCCTCGATAACCCATGCATTCATTCATTCATGAGGACAGAGCCCTCATGACCCAATCACTTGCCAAAGGTCCCACCTTTCAACACAGTTGCACTGTGGGACAAGATTCCAGTACATGAATTTTTGGGATACATTCAAACCATAGCAGCCTCCTTATCTACAAAATGGGGATGGTGATGATGATGATGTTGGTGATGACACTGGCTATCTCTCAGGGATATATGAATTGTGTAAGTCTATGTAGGGTAAGTCAAGGCCACTGTAGGCTTTTTGTGAGGGACTCAGGGCTAGGACTTCAACATATGAGTTTGGTTGGCAGGGAGGCACAGTTTCACCCATAACATGAGGGGAGGCTCTGTCCCCATCACCTAGTATAGTTCTTAACCCAGAGTATGCCATCAGCAAATATCTGCTAAATGAATTCATGTGTGCTGACAAGCAAGAATGAATCAATGAATAAACGATATCTGTCTTTGTTGACCATTGAAACATTTAAAACATGGATTTTGTATCGCATGTTCTAACATTGAGAGTTCTCAATGATGCTTATTCCTTGAGTTCTGTGTCTCACTGTGCTAAGTTAGAACATCTGATCTAGGAATGTCCAGATCACATTTTTTTTTTAAAAAAAGGTCTTATATACCTATACTTGTCTACTTGATTTAGCTCAAGTAGTGTTAGAGTCATGTAATTCAATCACAAATACAGAATATTTAAATTTTGACTTTGGAGTAATTAGCTACAACTTGAATTTTATTCTGTTCTGAAATGTAGCACTTTGGATTTTGATTTAATAATGGCTATTTGGTTGCATCAAGCAGGATTTTAGGTTTTGTGAGAAGCTAATTAGGTTGGAACTGGTTTAAGCACTTATTTTCCTGGAACGATTTCAGTCCAGTTAGCCATGCCTTTTTCTTCTTGCTCAGATGTAAACACACCACAGCAGTCTCAAATACAGAATTGATAAATGTACTATAATGCTGACAGTATAACTTCTGGAACTATATTATTTTGATTCACGCTGAGGTAGTGAGATTTAAATTCTGTTAGATTTGGAAATTCAAGGTTTTTTCATTTTTCTCAATACAGCAGTAGACTAGAATAGGAATTTGTTTAAGGTGGAGCTGGTGGGCCTTTGAGTTCAGTGTTTTCCTGAACATAATGTTCTGCTAAAAGTTTACACTTGCTAAAAATAAATAAAAATAATAATTATAAAAGGAAGTTATGTGGTCAAAGAAGGAAAACAGATTTCTCAGTGTAGAATATTACAGAGCCCATAATGTGTCAATGTATTTAGGTTGGTGCAAAAGTAATTGTGGTTTTTGCTATTTCATACATTTTGACTTCCCAAGAGGGGGCTGTGGTATGCAGACTTTGCCACATACATTTGCTCTGAAACCCCTTTTTTCTTTTTCTTTTCTTTTTTTTTTTTTGAGACGGAGTCTTGCTCTGTCGCCCAGGCTGGAGTGCAGTGACGCGATCTCGGCTCACTGCAACCTCCTCCTCCCGGGTTCACACCATTCTCCTGCCTCAGCCTCCCATGTAGCTGGGACTACAGGCGCCCGCCACCACGCCCGGCTAATTTTTTTGTATTTTTAGTAGAGACGGGGTTTCCCCGTGTTAGCCAAGATGGTCTCAATCTCCTGACCTTGTGATCCGCCTGCCCCGGCCTCCCAAAATGTTGGATTACAGGCCTGAGCCACCACACCCAGGCTGAACCTCTTTTTTCTTAAGGCACCAGTGTCCTAAGAAATACTCTCAGGATGGTCACTCTGGACAGTCTAAAATTAGGTGCACATTTTGCTAGTTTGGTAAGTGGGGCATATTGGTCAGAATTTCTTTTGCTCAGAATATCATAGTATTATATCATGGTATTTCATAGGCATCATTCAAAATATCAATTTTTAACATAGACTATAATAGTGGTTAAAATGTAGATCTAGGCTGGATGTGGTGGCTCATGCCTGTAATCCCAGCACATTGGGAGGCTGTAATCCCAGCACATTGGGAGGTGGATCACTTGAGGTCAGGAGTTCATAACCAGCCTGGGCAACATGGTGAAACCCTGTCTCTACTTAAAAAAAAAAAAAAAAAATTAAAAATACAAATGAGCCGGGCATGGTGGCAGCTATTTGAGAGGCTGAGGTACGAGAATCACTTCAACCCAGGAGGTGGAGGTTGTAGTGAATCGAGATTGTGACACTGCACTCCAGCCTGAGTGACATAGCAAGACTGTGTCTCAAAGAAAAAAAGAAAGAAAAAAGAGTTGTATATTTAGTGCTGTTTTTGACTAAAAAAATTCAGCAGTTTTTAAAAAAGCATTTTAAAACATTTCTGCTAAGACTTTCTTTAAAAGTGTCAGAAAGCCAACTCCAACTGTCTACAGCAATAACAGTGTGACAGTGTATCAGGAGTGGGGTTTTTAAGCTAAAAGAGTGTGTCACCAGGACTCAACCCTTCTCTGTCCCTTGGTTTTTCTCTTCCTCTGTATTCATTTGATTCTCAAGGAATATATTTGCCTGTGTAATCAAATAGACTCCATGTAGTCTACTCTATTTGCAGTGGAAATTAAACCTTTATTTCCTATCCTTCCAACAAAGTCCCTGATTTAAATCTCATTGGCTGATTTGGGCCCAGTGAGTCCTTTCCTTGCAGCCACTCCTATTGCTGTGGTAGGCAGAGCTGGATTGTGTGCAGCTCTTGTGCCAAGGAGTAGGGTCAACCTCATTGAAACAACATGTGCTGAGCCGGGGAAGGGGCACGGGATACAGATCCCCAGAAGAAAATAGAGGTGGTGCGGCCAGAAGCAGCAGACACGTATGCCTGGAGGGTAAAAATGACAGGTATCCCGTATACTTGCCCTTAGCTTGCTGGCTTGTGAAAAACCTTTTTTCCTGTGAATTGAATTAAAAAGATTTCAGTTAATTGACCTTCTAGTTAGTTAAGTTGCAGCTAATTAGGTTAGTTAGATTACTAGTTGCTGATGGAGTAAATCAATGAGCACTTGGCACAAAAATAAAGTTAACAGGTCCTGACATTTCACTGTGGGAAGCAGTTGAGAGGGAGGATTCCAAGATGACTTTGAATATTCCAGACGATGTAACTGTAACCAGCCCAGGAGTTTTCCTTGTCTGTGGGCTTCTCCACTAGGGGGATGATGTGTCTTTTGCCTTGGTGTCACTGTGACCTGGCACGTAGTTAATTCCGAAGGATATTTTATTATTGTAGAACTAGGAGATTGGAGTGGTTTTTTATTTTTATTTACTTTGGGTCATTAACTGAAATAGGGAGCAAAGGACAAAATGTAGGTTTAGGAAAGAAGATACTGAGTGCAAATTTGAAGGTGAAGTGTATTTGAGCTGCTGGTGGGACACTTTGGTAGAATTGAGCAGTTAGGAACATGGAACTCAGGTCTGTTTTATTGTATCCTGGGAAAATCCAATCTTGTCTTTATTTTGGTTCAAAACAGAACTTACTTTGATAAAAGCTAAGGCATATTTCCTTGTGAGAAGCAGTAAGGTGGAATGCTTTATCAAGTAAAAAGATTGTTCAAGGGAAGTGCTCCTAGAGCTTTTGTTTTCCCTTGAAGAGACTGATGTCTGGGTTTCAGAGGGACTATGTGTTTCCAGATGTTTCCATTTGTGAGTGTCAAGTTGCATTAGATGCCACATTTTAGTGACTTAACATCTCATTGCCTCAGTGAGGACAATTTGGGGCACAAAAATCATAGTCGAGGAAAATTTACATTTGCTTCTCTTGCAGTCTGTTTTTCCAGAGTAGGGATAGTGTAGAAAAATAAAGGTACAAACAGAGCTGCCAGCGTCAATAGTTTCTTACTCAGTAGTTCTCAAGTCAGTGCCTCTCTGATTTGGAATAAATATTTTCAATGTGTTCCCTTTATTATCCTAATATAAGATGAATAGATAATTCATCCTGCTAAGTATTAGTTAAGAGAGGGGTTTTCAGGAGGTGGGGATTCTAGAATATTAGGAAAATATGTTGGTATCCTCCTTCATTGTAGATGAATGTCATAGGTCATAATGCCATTCATCTATAATGAAGAAGGATACCAACATTTGATATTGGCTGCTAAGCCAATGTCAAAACCCAGTGGAATGACACTTCTGTAGAGTTTATTTCCCTTCCTGCTATCTTCCCTACCCCACGGAAATGTCTGTCACCATATAAAGCACAGTAGCACCTACCAGTAGCACCTACCTTAAGCCTCAGTCTTCCCCCTTGGGTAGGAAAGGGAGTGAAGGGAAGGTCACTTTTGAGTTTCCATGCTTTCTTCTTCCTCTCCTTGAGGTGGTTCTTCTGTCTTCTCTTCTTCCTCCCTTTCCTTTTTCTCTAATGACTACTGTAAGCCTTTTCTGAAGGTGTTACTATCACTCCATCCCAGGTAGATATTTCAGAAGTAAGATGTCTGGCATCACCCTCCTGGCCAAGGATCTTCCTAAAGCCACCATGTGAGAGGATTCAGACCAGAGTCTGGGCTGTGTAGCAGACTATGTCCTGCTGTTCTAGGGTCATGACTGTGTGTACTCTGAAGTTGCCGCTCTCACGGGGGTCAGTGATACCCATGGACCCTGGCAGGAACAGTCCTGCACCTAGAATCTGCAAGCAACACCTATGTGCAGTGTTCAGGGCCAAAGGCTGTCTGTTGGGGTTATCACAGCATAATGACTTAGTAGGCCTAGGATCCAGGGTGTGAGGGGCTCAAAGCCAGGAAAACGAAACCCTCAAGTCCTTCAGTAGTCTGATGATAACTTTAACTGTGAACTGAGAGCCATTTTCCTTGAACCAGCGGGCATGCCGAATGGCTGCTAAGGCACCCTGCAATACCTTGATATCCAAACGGAGTTCTGGGTCCAGTTTTGGAAGACTGGGTGGCACTGTTGTAATGACAGTCTTCACTGTAGCATCAGAAGAACTGATTTCCAAGCCAGTTTCGTCAGCATGGTAGGCATGGTCAAAACTTCAGAAGGATCCTGTGCTCTCAGGCTTCCCCCGACTTTGTTTCCCAGGGCAGCAACAGCTTCCAGCCTTGGCAGAATCTTGTGTATTACCAGCGGGGCAGCTGCACTGTGGCCTGTAGTGACCATTCTCTTTTTATAGGATCCCACCTATCCAACTTCTTCAATTTGCACTTCAGATGTCCCTGGAGCCACAGATTGTCAATCACATTGTTTATTTTTGTCACCAGGGAAAAGTAAGAGGCCTGCTCAGCAGAATCAGGAGCTGGGTCCTGATTGCTCTTCAGGAAGGCCTCACTGAAGGAAGTTGCATCAGGTGTTGGCTTGACCCAGGGGAGGGCCATTTCACACAAATAGAAATCAAACGGGATATGTGGTACAAAGGGCCTGAACTCTCCTCCTGAGCCTCTTTTGGAGCCCAAGTGTCCACCACAACCATGACCTTTGTCACTCTTCGTGGTGCCTTAAATTCCAAATGGAAGCCGCATCAATCACCCCTTCCTCCCCTGCCCCCCTCTCTTTTAAAATCTTGAGACAGGATCTTGCTGTGTTATTCAGGCTGGTCTTAAACTCCTGGGCTCATGCGATCCTCCTGCCTCAGCCTCTCAAGATAGCTTGGATTTCAGGTGCATGCCACCAGGCCTGGAGATTCTTCATTTCTAATTAACTCCCAAGTGATGTCAGTACTGCTCTTCCGTGACCACGTTTTGAGTAGCAAGACTTTTTAGGACTTAATGAAGTAGTGAGATGCTTGCACCTATACATAGAATCACTGTGAATGTTTCAGCTATAAAAGCACCTGCTACAGATTCATCGAATGGGCTACCGTAAACCAGAAAGACCTTGCTGTTGGAGATTCAATATTCCAAAATGATAACTCTTAGTAAAGTTACAAAGAAAAAGTAGCAGTTTCCTCTAAATTTACATGGTTTAGTGTGTGATGTGTATTAAAACTATAAAAAACATACTGTGCATTTGTTTTTATGTGAAATGAAGGAAGATTCTTGGTTCAGATGCTTGGCGTTTCACTTCCTGTCCACTGAGACAGTCCTAAGTCATGCATGCCATAGCATAATTCATTAAGAGATTCTGCCTGTTAAATCCCAGTTTTGGTGTCCAGTTGCTGCAACAATCCCCTTCCTCTCTGCATTTAGAAAACAACCCTACAGGGCTGGGTGCGATGGCTCATGCCTGTAATCCCAGCACTTTGGGAGGCCAAGGCGGGAGTATCATGAGGTCAGGAGATCGAGACCATCCTGGCTAACACGGTGAAAACCTGTCTCTACTAAAAATAAAAAAAATTAGCTGGGCTTGGTGGTGTGCGCCTGCAGTCTCAGCTACTCAGGAGGCTGAGGCAGGAGAATCGCTTGAATCCAGGAGGCGGAAGTTGCAGTGAGCCGAGATCGTGCCACTGCACTCCAGCCTGGTGACACCGAGTCTCTGCCAAAAAAACAAACAAACAAACAAAAAAACACCCCTACAGATTTCCAAAATGCCCAGAGGAGAGATACCATCTATGGAGAACCCCCAAATCCAAAGGCCAATGAATGGGAACAGGCCATAAGATGACTCATAGGTGTGATATGACTGCTTCTAGTTTGTTGAAGCAAATTGTCCCCAGAGCCAGGGGCCAAAGAAAATCAAGTAGAGAGTCACAGTTATTGCACAGAACATGACAGCAGAGCCGTACAGTCTTGCCGGAGGTGTTTTCTCTGCTGTTCACTTTGTTTCCCTAGCAATTGGGGAAAAAGTTTCTATGGCCATATTTGCAGCTGACAGATTTGTTTTGCACCGTGCTGCGAGAGGGTGTTAAGTGGAGGCCTGTGAAGAATCTGAAGCAAATGGAGATAATTTTCAGGGGAAGAAAACGTGTCTAACTTCCTAGTAACCACAGACTGAATTGTGTTTTTCCAGCTTAATTTCTGTCTCTCTCAGTAGTCCTTGAGTGTCAGAGACCACTGGCATTCTTCCAGGACTGGAAAGGCAAGAGAGCAGTTATTCAGAGCAACATACTCCTCTGAAGTTCAGTTTTCCTGAAAGCCTTATTTTTACTAAAATAGAAACTGATGGAAATGATCAAATGAAAATAGCAATATGTAGGGTGAGTTTTATTGATTGAATCAAAAGATGTATTTATTTGCTACTTCTAAATTAACATGACCACCTCAGATAGTTTCTTAACTGAAAATATTTTAGTCCCCAGACAAGCTACGTTCTTTGACATTGTGTGTAATACAAAATATAT
The DNA here is from genome assembly GCF_000001405.40 of Homo sapiens. NCBI lineage: Eukaryota > Metazoa > Chordata > Mammalia > Primates > Hominidae > Homo > Homo sapiens. The sequence goes on along the minus strand of NC_000003.12, from coordinate 65,685,514 downwards.
ATGAGATGGATTTTTCTGCTTTTGATATCAAGCAGTTTTTATAACACTGGAATATGAAAACGATATATTCATTAGAGACTGTTTGAAAACTAAGTTTAAAATTTGAGGAAAAAGTTAAAATGCAAATAAAGGTATGTGTAATTCTACCACCCAGAAATGACAAGTATTAACTGGAATTTTCTCCTAATCTTTTTTTTTTTTTTAAATGAAGAAATATACAAGCATGTGCTTACATTTTAACAAAATTAGAATAGTTTCACTACTTTTGTATGCTGGTATTTTCACTTCTGTTATGCAGTATGCATCTTAATGATACTAATTTTCAGCACTTTTTTATTAATGGAAAATTTTGAGATAATTGTGGATTCATAGGCAGTTTTACAAAATAATACAGTGAGAGCCCTTCTACACTTAGTTTGGTTTCCTCCAGTGGTATAATTTCCGAAAACTATAGTATAATATTGCAATCAGGATATTGACATTAATACAGTCTACCAGGCCAAACATGATGGCTCATGCCTGTAATCCTAGCAGTTTGGAAGGCTGAGGCTGGTGGATCACTTGAGCCCAGGAGTTCGAGACCAGCCTGAGCAACATAGCAAAATCTCATCTCTACCAAAAAAAAAAAAAAAAAAAAAAAAAAAAATTAGCCAGGTGTGGTGGCTTGCACCTGTGGTCTCAAATGCTTGAGAAGCTGAGGTTAGTGGATTGCTTGAGCCTGGGAGGTTGAGGCTACAGTGAGCTGAGATCATGGCACTGCACTCTTGCCAGGGTGACAGAGGAGGACTCTGTCTCAAAAAACAAAACCAAAAAAATCCTACCAAGTGTAGTCAGATTTCCCCAGTTTTACTTATACTTTTTTGTGCGTATGTGTGTATTTAGATTTATACACAATTTTTTCACCCATGTAGGTTCATGTATCTACAACCACAGTCAAGATATTGAACAGTGCTAATACCACCAAAATCCCTTCTATAGCCACACCCATCTCTCCCCTGGCTCCCTTCAAATTCCTGACAACCACTAATCCGTCTTCAATTTCTGAAAGTTGGTCATATCAGAAATTTTATATTAATGGAATATATAATTTTTATTGCTGAGTAGTATTTCATGATATGTGTATACCACAGTTTAACCACTTACCTGTTGAAGGACATCTTGGCATCTTGGCTGATTCTAGTTTTTAGCTATTACACATAAAGCTGTTATGAATGCTGGCATACTGGTGGTTGTTGCAGTTGTTTTTTTTAATTTAAATTTTCCTTTTTCTGGGATAAATGTCCAAGAGTACAGTTGCAGGTTGAATATTTAGTTTTTCTTTTCTTTTCTTTTTTTTTTTTTTTTTTTGAGACAGTCTCTGTTGCTCAGGCTGGAATCCAGCGGCATGATCATAGCTCACTGTAGCCTCAGATTTCTGGGCTCAAGCAATCCTCCTGCCCCAGCCTCCCAGGTAGCTGGGACTATAGCTGTATGCCATCCATCCTGGATAATTAAATTTTTTTTTTTTTTTTTTGTAGACATGGGCTCTCTCTAGGTTGCCCAGGCTGGTATCAAACTCCTGGGCTCAAGTGATCCACCTTTCTTGGCCTCCCAAAGTGCTGCAGTTACATGAGTGTGAGTTTTCTTATAAAAGTACTTGCCAGAGTGGCTATACTATTTTACATCTCACCAGCAGTATGAGTGTAATCCAGATTTTTCACATCCTTGCCAGCATTTGGTGGCGTCAATATTTTCATTTCATCCATTCTGATAGGTGTGAAGTGCTCTCATTGTGGTTTAAATTTGCACTTTCCTAATGCCGAATGATGTTGAGCATCTTTTCATGTGCTTGCCATACATATATATATATATATATATCCTATTCAGTCAGATGTCTTTTCAGGTCTTTTGCCCATTTTCTAATTGGATTATCTGTGTTTTCAATATTGACTTTGGAGAATTCTTTATATGTTCTAGATACTTGTTCTTTGTCACCTGTGTGATTTGCATGTATTTTCTCTCAGCCTATAGCTTGTCTTTTTTTTCTTTTCTTTTTTTTAATAAGGCTTTATTTTTTTAGAGCAGTTTTAAGTTCACAGCAAAATTCAGAGACATGTCTGGAGGTATCCCATATACTCCCTACCCCTGTACGTGCACAGCCTCCCACATTATCAACATCCCCCATGAGGGTGATGCTTTCATTACAGTTGGAGAACATACACTGACACATCATTATCACCCAAAATCCATTGGGTACATTAGGGTTACCTCTTGATGACATAAACGACATAGCTCTATGGGTTTAGATAAATTTATAATGACATGTATCCACCATTGTATACCAGGGGTCCCCATCCCCCAGGCCACACAGTGGTACTGGTCTGTGGCCTGTTAGGAACTGGGCTGCACAGCTGGAGGTGAGCAGCAGCAAGCAAGCATTACTCCCTGAGCTCTGCCTTCTGTCAGATCAGCATTGGCATTAGATTCTCATAAAAGTGTGAACCTTATTGTGAACTGTGCATGTGGGGGATCTAGGATGTGCACTCTTTATGAGAATCTAATGCCTAATGATCTGAGGTGGAACAGTTTCATCCCGAAACCATCCCCTTCCCCGTCCCCATCCGTTGGAAAAATTATCTTCCATGAAACCGGTCCCTGGTGCCAAAAAGTTTGGGGACCGCTGTCATACACAGTATTTTCACTGCCCTGAAAATCCTCTGTGTTCTGCCTGTTACTGTTCTTTTTCATTCTCTTCACATGGGCTTTCACAGAGTGAAAGTTTTAAATTTTGATTAGATTCAATTTTCCTTGAGTGGATCAAGCTTTTGGTGTCATGCCTAGTAACTTTTTCTCTGGCCCTATATCCTAAAGATTTTTTTCTTAAGTTTCTTCTTAAAAGTTGTATAGTTTTACATTTTACATTTAGGTGCATGAGCCATGCCAAGTAAATTTGGTGTAAGAGATAAAGGTCACAACTGACTTAGTGTAAAGTGTGAGAGGCAGGTCAATGCTCCTTTCTTGGCCTGTGAATGGCCACTTGCTGTAGCTCCATTTGTTTAAAGATTATATCCTTACTTTGCTGAATGCTTTTTGAACTTTTATCAAGAATCAGGCATACTTTAGGTCTACATTTCTGGGTTCTACATTCTTCTTCCCTTGATCTAGGTCTCTTTCCCTTTGCCAGTACCACAGTCTTGATTACTATGGTTAAATGATGAGCCTTAAAATTGGGCAGAGTGATTCCTCCCACTTCCTTCTTTGTAGGGAGTATTTTTGCTAGTCAAGGGCTGGGCTGCTTGTTGTCACTGGGTCTCCTTTTCTGGCTTTGCATGCCCACCCTTGATGCTACTTTTGAATCTTGGATTCATTTTCTAGGTTTCTCTCCAGAGGGGTTTTTGTTTTACTAAAGGAAATAAATTCCCCTTTTCCAGGGAATTTTTTCTTTTTTCCTCTGAGTACGCTAAAAGCTAACCCTAGAAGTTAAAATTGTGGATGTGAATGATGTTATTTTTGCCCCCTTAAACCTGCCAAACTCAGCTGGACAAAGTAGCATGTGTGTGTAATCCTAGCTATGCAGGAGGCTGAGGTGGGAGGATAGCTTGAAGTCACAAGTTCAAGACCAGCCTGGGCAACCTATCGAGACCTCATCTTTTAATTAATAAAAAAACAACAAAAAAACAAAAAAAGCCAAAACTCTTATTAAACATCTTGCTGTGAACTTGTTCTGCTTTGGTATCATCTACTCACTTGGGCATCTAATTCTTAAGTTCTTTTCATTTTGTTCAAATTTAGCTGTATGATTGAGAATGGGGATGAAGATATGGAAAGTACTTGTTATCTATGAGTGCTTTGTTTAAAAGCAAGATAGCTTTGCACTGAGTCTCAGTAAACTTGAACATAAATAGAAGTGCAGAGGGTCTGCTAGTATTTATTTATACAGAAAGTTTTCAGGGGTTATCTTCTATGGAAAATGTTTCTAAACAGTGTGACAGCAAAATGATAGTGTAAATTGTAATGTCTGTCCCGGTTGGATATATAAACATATGAAGTGCTTTTTTCTTAAAAATGTTTGGGTGGTTCATTTAGAGTAAAAAAATGATATAACTCACGTTCTAAAATAATGATAGGATAAAATAAGGATTTTATCTTTCAGTGTCATTTAGGTGCTTTGTTACTTTCCAGGGACTCTCGTGAGAAATGGAATTATGGGCGTAGCTTATTTGGGGCAGATGTTTGTAGATTGTGGTCTATAAATGAGACCCAGGTCTTTGGAAGAGAGAGGGAATAAATTCAGGGAGAAAGGATTTAGAATTATTCTTGGTGTTATAAATAATGAAGTGGTTGCGCTTAAGTAAATATAATGGCATTTTAGCCAATAGACAAAATAGTACCTAAGCCCTGTTTTCAAAGTCCCTGAGACACTAATGCACAGATGATAAATCAAAATACAAGAATGTAGGTGCTTTGTCCCTAAGCCCCACTATAGATATTGATTAAATAGGTCTGGATCTGTGGACCTATGGAGAACTCCTTTGCCAGAATGGCTTAAAATCTAAAGTAGGCCAAAATCAATTCTTCATCTTCCCAACTCCGAAACTAAAATACTGAATCTTTCCGTCCCATTACAAGAAAAACTCACACTATATTTTCTCGACTTGCCTGGGAGGATAATTCTAGTATGTGTGCCTGGTTGTCCCATAATTGCTATCATTATTATGATTTTAATAATTATTAAAGTATATCATATCATATCATATCATATCATATCATATCATTATTATATTATTTGAAGTGCTGGCTGGGTGTGGTGGCTCAGGCCGGGTGTTGAGGCTCACTCCTGCAATCCTAGCACTTTGGAAGTCTGAGGCCGGAAGATCACTTGAGTTCAGGAGTTCAAGACCAGCCTGGACAACATAGCAAGACCTTGTCTCTACTAAAAATTAGAAAAGAAAAATTAACCAGGTGCGGTGGTGTGTGCTTGTAGTCCCAGCTCCTCAGGAGACTGAGGCAGGAGGATCACTTGAGCCCAGGAGGTTGAGATTCTGTGAGCTGTGATGCACCACTGCTCCCCAGCCTGGGCAACAGAGCAAGAGACTGTCTTTAAATTAATACATCAATCAATTGATCAGTCAATAAGCTCTCCTTCACAAGAGCTCTCCTGTTTGAATGATAAATGGTATGGTCACCATAGTCTTATCATATTCAAATCAGAGACAGATCAAAAGGAAGAAATGAATGACCTGCCAGAGATGGTGCCGTATAGCTTGTCGAAGACCTGCTGAGGGCTGCTGTCCCTTGATGGGTCTAGGCTGAGGTGAGGATGGGTAGGGCACTGGAATCCAAGGGAGATGCTAGACCCATACTACCTAATGTCATGGAAGAATAGAAAATGTACAAAGGAAAAAGTGAGAGCGGTAAGGCCTTTGTCTATAGGATGCTGTCTGAGCTTTCTTGTCCCCATACTTAGAAGGGAAAAAGCTTTGGGATCAAAGAGAGAGAGAACTAATCTTTCTACCCTCTAAGCAAGGACCCTGTATGCCTTCATCCCACTTAAGAAGTAAGCCTGAAATACGAGTTATTTGGCCATATCCTGGTCCTACAGTAGTCCTAGTCTTTGCTACCACCCAAGCCAGCTTCATGGAAACTAGGCCATATTGGCATGCAAGACCGAGAGTACTGTTTTAAATAAACATGCCCTGGATTTATTCTAGTTTATAGGAAAAATAAAAATAATTTGCAAACCAGCAACAATTATTAACACAATTTTTGGTGACATTTCCCCCCACCCCTGTTGGAAAACAGTGGGTTTGAAAACCGCCGACCAAGAGTCGTGGGCCTTGAGTCACAGGCAGCGTGCAGAACCTCCTGAGGATGCTCCCTGTATCTGGTTCTGTGTTTCTGTGCCCTGGACTGCCGTTCTCCTTTCTTCTTGATAGCCTTTCTTTCCATGGGCTTTTTTATTTTTTTTTTCCGGAGACAGAGTCTTGCTCTGTCACCTAGGCTGGAGTGCAGTGGCATGATCTTGGCTCACTGCAACTTCTGCCTTCTGGGTTCAATGAATTCTTGTGCCTCAGCCTCCCAAAGTGCTGGGATTACAGATGTGAGCCACCGTGCCCGGCCCCAGGGGCATCTTGATTAAGCAATAGGAATGCAGTTAAGGAAGTGATGAAATTTATCAAAGAATCCTTAGGAAATGTCAGCTATAGCTCTTATCACCATGGCTGTCTGTAAAAGGGTGGTCCTGAGATGAAGTAGTCGCTGAGTGCTGGATTTTAAGACCTGTCTCACTGTATGGAATTCATATATCAAACACAATGAAAATGAAGCGTATGTGTGACAGTTGAGTATGAGACTTTTATTTTATTTTGTTTTTTTTTGAGCTAAGGAAGTAGGCAGGTAAACAGAAAACCTTCACTGCAGAATTGACACACTGTAGGGGAAAATTGCTTTGTCTGTCCAAAGATATGCTTAGCTGACGAGAAATTAAACAACATGATTGAGGAGGAAAACCTGAATAAGTGGAACACGGAAGTAAAAAAGGATTCTGTCACTATTTACGCCCATTATTCAAGTTGGAAGATGGGATGATTCTTAATTATTTATTTGGGTGTCAATGCGGATAGAAAATCACCATCATAGAAGGATACATTAAAATGAGTAAGAGATTTTCAAAATTCACAGAATAAGTATGTCTGGAATTTTGCAGGTTTTCAGGAGCCTGTTGAGTTCCAGGGTAGGAGAGAGATGTCACGCCAAATGACAGTTTTCTTGTTCAAGGAGCGTGAACACAACAGGCTGACAAAATTTGAAAAGAGCAGTGCTGATGAGCAAAAGGAAAGAGAAGAAAGGACGGCTCTGGGCTTCCTGCTCTCAGTGAGGCAAGCTGTGGGTTAGTGTCAGTTAACCAGATATGAGTATGCTTCCAGGAGTGTGGCATGGACTTGAGGAAGTGCCAGTTACCTATTCCCTGACATGATCTGTTCCCTCCACTCAGGGCCAGTGGACATCTGTATGTACGTTTCCCTTAATCCCATTATGTTTTTACTTGATACCAAGTAGCTCTTTTGTTTTGTTAGCAACAAAGCTTGATTTAATTTCTTGGTTTGCAGAGTAGATACTTAAGAAAAATGCAAAACTACTCTCACTTTGCTGTATAAGCAGCTAATTTTTTTTTTACCTTTTTATTTTATTTTTTAAAGGTTTTCTTTTTTTATCATTATACTTTAAGTTATGGGATCCATGTGCAGAACATACAGGTTTGTTACATAGGTATACATATGCCATGGTGGTTTGCTGTACCCATCAACCCGTCATCTACATTAGGTATTTCTCCTAATGCTATCCCTCCCCTAGCTCCCCATCCTCTGACGGTCCCTGGTGTGTGATGTTCCCCACCTGTATCCATGTGTTCTCATTGTTCAACTCCCACTTATGAGCGAGAACATGCGGTGTTTGGTTTTCTGTTCCTGTGTTAATTAGCTGAAAATGATGGCTTCCAGCTTCATCCATGTCCCTGCAAAGGACATGAACTCATCCTTTTGTATGGCTGCATAGCATTCCATGGTGTATATGTGCCACATTGTCTTTATCCAGTCTATCACTGATGGGCATTTGGGTTGGTTCCAAGTCTTTGCTTTTGTGAACAGTGAAGTGGCTAACTTTTCAAGGGACAGGAAATACAACCTGCCAATGATTAATATGGTGTTGGATTTTTGTCTTCATGTGCAGCACTTCCAGTGATTTAGTGCATTCCTTTGTGGATTGGGGTTCGGCCAAGGTGCCTCTTTTGGCATATGAAGAGTTTGACCTTTGACGTGGATACGAAAGAGTGGGAGAAAGTGCAGAGGTTCCCACCAAACTCCCATACTAACTGCAGAAAGCTGTGAGGTGTGGAGAGTGAAGGAACACAAAGTGATGATTCTCTCTCTTAAATCATAAGTCTGGGTCCAGTGTTGACTTTTAACTACCTTCCTGTTTCCACATGCTGAGATTCTTCTCTGATACCTTAAGCACTCTGCTCAGTGTTTTTCTTCATTGCATCTGTCAGTTACATGAAAATCCCCTTTGGTCACTGAGATCCAAACCTTGCCGGTGTGTCATTGAGCCAGGTCAAGTCTTCGATATGACTGTGCTCCTACCCTCAACCCAGCCTTTGGCGTTTGTGCCTTAGTGACTGCAGAAGCCTCTTAGTCTTCCCATCTCCACCTTGCTCTATACCCCTGCCTTGACCCTAGCTGGCCAATAGTAAAAATCCCCTCCCAAAATATTTTTAAGTAAACAAACAAACAATACAAAATAACGTTTAAAAATAGAAAATGAAAAGTTAAAAAAAATCCTAAATGTTTATCTCCTCACCTTATTTAGCCTAGTCTGAACTCTAAAGATTTTCCTAGTGCTTCAAAAACTATAATGTCTGCACGTTCTCCTAATCTTAAACTACCCTGAATTGTTTATCTCTTTCTCATCGTGTATGTCCCTCTCCACCATAAAATTTTAAATTTCCGAAGGGTCCTGCACAGCTCATAATAAAATACCAAGAGCACGGGAGTCATTGAATTAATAATTGTTGAATTAAATTAAGTACATCTGGTAAAATCCCTTTGAATAGCTCATTGGTAATGGAATCTGGTATGTTTGTATGTGGGGAGCAAACTGGGATATGTCGTTCTGTATTGTTGAACACAATAGTGTCCCTCCAGAAAAACACTGTTGATTTTGTGTGATTCATTGACAGATTCAAAGGATGGTGTAACCATCTGTTTTCTAAAGCTCCTGAGAAAAGAACAAAAGGATTGGGCTTGGAGTTGAGAATGAGAAGAAGGGGGTAGATAAAATGTAGAATTTTTTGCACTGCTTAGCTTGTGTAACAATTGACCGGATTAGCCAGGAACTCTGCCACCTCCTTCCTGAGTATGAATAAAAAGGAGTAGTTTCTCCTTTGATGGAGATGCTGGACACAGCTTTTCCTAGATGACCTTTCTGGCCTGGTCCAATTCTGCATTTTTAATTGGAGTGTTTTTCTTCCTTATTCTCCAGATTTATTTTTTAAATTAACAAAAGAAGTACGTTTTTTAAAAAAAATCTGAGGATTCAGAAATTTATAAACCAAAAGCCTCTGCTCCAATTACTTTTCTTGGAACTAACCGTGATTATTGCAGTCATGATTATTTGCTCTATGTATTTTCATGCTGTTTAAATAGAGACACGTGTGTGTACATGTCATGGCTTTTTTGAAAATGTGATTAAGGTTTTCATCCTGTCCTTCAGTTTGCATCTATCCTCATCATTGTCATGTGTGAGTGCGTAAGTCTCATTTCTTTTTAATGGTTATGTAGAGTTTCTCTGTATAGAGAAACACCATAATTTTGTAATTGTGCCCATATAGATGTATATTTGGGTTTTTCCAAAATTTACTGTTAAACATAATGCTACAAATAGCCTTTGTGCTTTTACTACAAGCTTGTCAAAAATATGAACTCAATTTATCACATGCTTTCTTTACATTCTTTGCTGAGATAACCATGTGGTTTTTCTCCTCCAAACTATTGACATATATAGGGTAGCTTAAAGTCGTCAAACAAGGTGAAAATTGAGTCCTGCCATAATTATCTTTGAAAATCCATTAAATCATCCCTGTTTGTGCTCTAGCATTTCTCAGTAAGAGCAGCTCAGCCCAATTGTTTTTTTCCAGTATTGGAACAGAATGTTGTTTCTTTGGTTGAACCCATATGAAGTGGTTGGCTTGTGTTCTAGAGCCATCTATTATCAAAGACAATTGTTATCAGTTTTGTTATTGTTGTTGTTTGATTTTGTCTTGTTTTTAGCTTACATCGTTGAAATTCATAAACTAGAGGTACATGTGCCGCTGTGACACTGTAATGAGCCACCTCATTAGATGGCTCCTTGAATTTTTGAATTAAGACCTACTTGGTCTGTGATGGGTTTATTTTTTTGTTCTGCTTTTAATACACTGGTGAATTCATTGTGCTGCCCCGTTTTGTGAATTCATGTGAGTTTTTCTCTGTGTATTCTTCACAAGTTCTCTAATAAATAATTTTTTCTGTGTTCTGTAATGTACTATTAATAAAACTTTCAAGTGGTATTTTTCTGGCATTTCCCCCGTTTTTAAATCACCATTTATACTTTGGCAGAAATTACTTTGAGATTGATGACTGCAGCTTTCCAAATTGATTTATTCTAGGCAAGCATCTTCTACTATTCTTGAAATTTGGAGGCCATGGAGGTTCTGTTTTTAAGGCTGATATGTTGCTGTTTCAAATTATACTTGAAACTCCGAACATATGGAGCTTTTCATCCACCCTTCCATCACCCACGTAAATGAATATCATAATTTTATTTTCATTTGGCCTCATGAATCTCAGTGCCCACACATTGTGATTGAGACTGACAGTGTGGTTGAAGTTTTGTTGGGGAGATCAGAGAGCATCTGGTCAGAATGTTTCTCCTCCTCTAATTTCTGATTCCTTTATCTTACGAGATACAGCAGAGCCAGCCCCATGAACACTTGGAAAGTGCAGCTCTGGAATATCAATGGAGCCCTCTCTCCTGTCTGTTGGGAACCAGGAGCAAAGGCAAATTGGGAATGCATTTTTCAGTGTCTACAGGAAGTTTGAAGTGTATTTATTAACACAAAATGCATCTGTTGGGCTGCAGTGATGAGATTAATCCTCATTTTTAAATATTTGATCTGTAATTGATTAAGCCCTTGAAGCTTTTGCTGTAGTACAAATTTAGACTACTGATGTGCCTGGGAAGTGCACCAGGTTCTGAATTATACAGCGGGTTGCATAGTGGGCAACCTTCAAACCAGAGAACACCTGGGGCCAGCAGGAGTGGGAATACTGAAAAAGTGAAGGGCGCACTGGAATTTTTTAAAATTTATTTTGGTGATGACTCTGAAGGGAAAGGCAGTGTTGAAACTGTCTGAGAACATAAAGCCTTGGAATTAACTGCTGCTAGAAACGAGGGAAAGCCAAACTGTGTTAGTTAGTAAAAGAGAAAGAAGGGGTTGTTCTTGTGATGCATAGCCTCTGACACCTTGGCCCCTTTCCTAAAAATATAGTTCCCATATGTGGAGTTTCACAGGCACCTCATGGGCTTGGGAAGGTCTGTGATCCTAGGGGAGAAATAAAATGACTGGTTCTTGAAAATACATTTGAGGGCTTGAATTCTTCAGCTTTGGCAAGAATCTTAACCAAAGGTCTCATGCTGATAGGGCTGAGATCGGCTTCTCTGTGCTTGTGTATTGTCTTGTTGGGCTTGTCCAACATCCAAAATCCACAGGCCATAACATGCAGAAATCTTAGCTACTTAACATCATTTTTAAGAGCTCTTTTGTTATGGTCATTGCTTATATCTTTAATGTCATCTCCTGTTGCATTCTTGAACACTAGACCTAACCTTATTGAGCTGTCGTATAAGCTTAAATTATTAGTATTTTTTGAGATGGAGTCTCGCTGTGTTCCCCAGGCTGGTCCTGAACCCCTGGGCCCAAGAGAGTCTCCAACCTCAGCCTCCGGAGTAGCTGGGACTACAGGCACATGCCACACGCCCAGCTGTGTATGCTTAAATACGAGGTGACTCTAATAGAAGGCATTCCTCCATTTAGCTAATGAGAAGAATGAGGGAGAAAATGCTTTTGTTTTGCCAACTTGAGTAGATAAGCTTTTAGGACTATAGGTGAAATAGGAAACGCCTATTTATAATATTTATTGAACTAGACATACAATAATATAATTTACAAATCTCTGTGCCCACATGTTATAGGAATGTGCACGCAGGGCTCACCAGTAGTGAGATGAGTGAGGTGTTTGTGTCTGAAGATCCAAATGACTGTTGTTTCAGAGAATGTCAGAGCTGGAAGCACCCTTAGAGATCCTGTCCATGGTCCTTACCTCACAGATAACGAAACTGAGGCTCAGTGTGGGCACACAGCAGGCTGTGGCAGAGCTGAGTTCCTACTTTTTCTCAAATTGGAGTAGGAGTATCTCTGGAGGATGTAGGTATCCAAGGTAATATGCCCCAGGGGCTAAATATGGTACACCTCAACAAATTATCTATTTAACCCGAATATTTGGTCATACAAGTTAAGTAGTTGAACTATAAATATTTTATACATGTTTTTACGTAAAAAAACAGACACAGGTTACTCTGGTATACAGCACAAGATTCATATAAAAGTTTAAGATAAACTAAGACATCAGGAAATTTGAGGCAGTTATTTTAGGCTTCACCTCCAGATCATTAGAAGAAATTCATTCAGTGTCTGGCCATGTAAAAGGGTATAAACATTAGGAGAAATGTTTAAGAGCTTCTGCACTACACCACTTAGAGTAGTGTACGGATGCTGTCCCTCATGTAAAACTTCAGTCATCGAATCTTAATTTAGGTGAACAAAAACTCGCAAGCCCAGGCACAAGTGCAACAGCTCTGTGTACCACCGACAGATGGCGCTGGCGGTCATTTATGTGATGCCCTTTTGAGTTGGGAACAAATATTTTTTAATACTCACCTTCGCAGAACCTGTCATAACACATACATTGAGAAACTAGGATAGAAGAAAGCAATTTATCATACTTGATTATGGCCTGGTGGCATATCACCTAAGATTAATTGATTCCCTTCTACTATAATTTTATACTCATAAAGAATTGAAATAATTTCTTTTAACACTTTAATAGTGGTTAGGGCCCACCCTTGATAGAGTGCACTGGTAGTACGTGCTTTAAAGGAATGAATTTGAATTATAGTTACAAGTCTGTTTCCTCCGAAATCAGTTTCTAGTAAATGGATTTATTGGTATCTGATCAACTGAATTGATAACATGCAATTTCTGAGCAGAATTCTATTGTGGTTTCATAATCCAGGACATTTTCTCCTTCTTCTCCGTGCCTTACAGACACCCTTCTATTCAGTATCCTTTTAAGGATGTTTTTCCCCCTCTTCAATGAAGATTGTTCCTATTTTTACTTTAACAACCCCAGGCACTTTCAAATGTAATCATTTTCATCCTATTTTTACACATGGGTATATAAAGTAAGTGTGACCTAAACCGATATAATCTGATATATCTATAAATTAGTAAAATTTTTTAAAAATGGCTTCTTTGTCAGCGATTTATCATCAGCAGTTTCTCCTTTGGAGCTTAATTAGCATATACAAATACAGCAAAGACTAATTCTCTAAAGTACTTTCTTGCCATGGAACAGATTTGTTTTGAGTTGGAGATAGGATCTGGGATTGTCAGACTAAAGCCTCCATGTCTGAAGTGTAGACAATGCCCACTTTTTTCTTTTGCATTTTGCTTCTTAAATGACATGAAAGCATTTCATGAATCTGAAAAGAGGAGCACACTCCCCAGTGTCATTTGGAGTCAAGGTTTCTAGTAAATTCAGTTTTGGCAATACTGGTTTGGGGATTTTTTTTTCCACCCAGGAATGCAGCAACCACTTTGCATAATGGGAAAATTGCATCTCCAATTTGGGATTCAGTTTTTACCTACCTCAGGTGTGTGAAGTGGAAACTAACCTTTTTGTAGTGATAATTGTGCCCAATTTTGTATCTATGGTGAACTGATTGTAAGTCTATCACGGGTCAGCTTTTGGCCAGATTTCCTTATGAGGATTTCCTTATGAGGATTGGAGTTGTAGGAACTTTTTTTGGTCATTACACCCTCTCTGTGCAGTGTGAATAGAAGCCTGTCAAGGAGGGAAGTGATGGGTATCTGAGTGATTTCACAGACTGGATTGTTAGCCATGGAAAGGTTTGACACACAGTCTAGCTTTGCCCACTCAGTAGCTAGATAAAGAAATTGAGGCACAGAGAGGGCAAGTAACTTTCTCAAGATGACATAACTAATTGGTGACAAATGATGGACTATTCTATGGGACCCCTTGACACTCTGATTCTCTGAATCAGTGATAAGACTTGCTATCTGCATTTTTAACCCATTAAAAATATACCCTAGGCATTTCTAATATGTAGCCAGGTTTAGGAATTCCCTACTTTCTTTCTTTTAATTTATAGCAGTGGTTTTCAACCGGTGGCAGTTTTGAATTGCAGGGGGCATTTGGCCAGCTCATTTGGGTGAGTTGGTTCCTATGGGAGACATTTTTAATTGTCACAAATGTCGATTGCTCCTGGTATCTAGTCAGTAAGAGCCGAGGATACTGCTGCACATCCTACAGTGCATAGCAATGCAGAGCAAAGATTTATCCAGCCCCAAATGCCAGTAGTGCCAAGATTGAGAAACACCTGCTTTACAGTGATTCATAGCATTGGCTCTAGAGTGCCAAATCCCGGTTCAAATTTTAGCTCTTACCAGCTCTGTAGTACTAGGCAACATAATCAGTCTCTTGAAGCTCAGTTGTCTCATCTGTAAAATGGGGATATTAACAGTTTTACTTCACAGGGTTGTGGTGAGGAGTAATGTAAAGTGCTTAGAAGAATTGCATGGCTGATTCTACATTCTCAATAAGCATTAGGTATTATGATAAATATTAACATCATTACAATTCATGAGTTTCAGTTATTTTACATCATAAAACAGCTAAAAACAGTGAATGAATAGCTCCCAACAGGAGAAAGTTACATAAAGCACTTTGGTACATTCTAGAGGCTTAATACATGCTTGTTGGTTTTTACTTAATTAAAGAATATGAATGTGGTTGTATATGTGCCTGTTTACCTTGGCTATTTTTCTGTTTATATCTAGTAAGAGTGATAAGTAGCAAATTTGCCCAGTTTCAGGGCAAGGGCTATATTTATCTGCATTAACTATGGAGACCACTGAGGTTCCCGGGGAAGAGATGAACAGTGGATAAGCTCCATGGGTACCAAACATGATCCCAGAGAAAGAAACACGTACCAACTATGTGGTTCATTAGCTTTGCAAAAAATCTTAGCAAGATTGTAAACTCATTGCAGGTAAAGACCTTTGTTATAATTCTTCTGTAGTCCATAATGTCTATGGCTATGTCAGACATATTGATGGTACTCTATAAATAATTATTTTGGGGTTGAGGATTTGAGAGCAACCTCTAAATTTTCATGAAACCTACATAAAAGCCAGGAATTCAAATAACTCAGATTCTGCTTGAGCCATATTAAAAAAAACTTCAATGTTGGCAATAATGAAGCCAAGCACTTATGTGTATATATATATATACACACATGGCATATGTGTTATATATGTGTGTATGTATACATATGTATGTATATGCATATATATGAGGAGTCTTCAAAAAGTTCCTGGAAAGTACACAATAGGATACAACTATACATGGATTTCAATGTTTTTTCCCCACAAGAAACTCATACTAACTTGTTATAAAGTAGCTGAACAGGATCTAGTTTCAGGTACTAAGAATGATGAGACATCAGTTTGAAAAGAACTTCTAATCGAGCAACATGAATTCTGCTAAAATCGAAACAAGAACAAATATCAAATTTGTGGTGAAATCACTGATGCTTTACCAAAAGTTTATGGGGGCAATGGCTCAGAGAAATCCACAGTTTACAAATGGATAATTCATTTTAAGAAAAGATGAGATGATGTTGAAGATGAAGCCCACAGTGGCAGACCATCCACATCAATTTGCAAGGAAAAAAATTGATCTTGTTTGTGCTCTAATTGAAAGGGACCGACAACAGCACAAATAATAACCAACACCATAGGCATCTCAATTGGTTCAGCTTACACAATTCTGGCTGAAAAACTAAAGTTGAGCAAACTTTCCACTGGATAGGTGCCAAAACCATTGCACCTAGATCAGCTGCAGACAAGAGCAGAGCTTTCAACTGCAATTTTAAACAAGTGGGATCAAGATCCTGAAGCATTTCTTTGAAGAATTGTAACAGGAAATGAAACATGGCTTTATCAGTAGAATCCCGAAGACAAAACACAATCAAAGCAATGGCTACTAAGCGGTGGAAGTGGTTTAGTCAAAGCAAAAGCAGACTGGTCGAGAGCAAAGGTCTTGACAACAGTTATTTGGACTCTTCAAGACATTCTGCTTGTCGACTTTCTGGAGGACCAAAGGATGATAACATCTGCTTATTATGAGAGTGCTTTGAGAAAGTTAATCAAAGCTTTAACAGAAAAATGCCAGGGAAAACTTGACCAAAGAGTCCTTCTCCACCATGACAGTGTTCCTTCCTGCTCATTCCTCTCATCAAACAAGAGCAATTTTGCAAGAGTTTCAATGGGAAATCATGAGTCAACTTTACAGTCCTGATTTGGCTCCTTGTGACTTCTTTTTGTTTTCTAATCTTAAAAAGTCTGTAAGGGACACCCATTTTTTTCTTCAGTTAAAAATGTAAAAAAGGCTGGGTGCAATGGCTCACAGGGTCAGGATTTCAAGTCCAGCCTGGCCAAGATGGTGAAACCCTGTCTCTACTAAAAATACAAAAATTAGCCAGGCTTGGTGGCAGGCACCTGTAATCCCAGCTACTCAGGAGGCTGAGGTAGAGAATTGCTTGAACCTGGGAGGTGGAGGTTGCAGTGAGCCGAGATTGTGCCCCTGCACTGCACTCCAGCCTGGGCAACAGAGCGAGACTCCATCTCAAGAAAATAAACAAATAAATAAAGATAATGTAAAAAAAGACAACATTGACATGGTTAAATTCCCAGGACCTTCAGTTCTTTAAGAATGGACTAAATGGCGGCTGGGCACAGTGGCTCACACCTGTAATCCCAGCTCTTTGGGAGGTCGAGGCAGGTGGATCACAAGGTCAGGAGTTCAAGACCAACCTGGCCAAGATGGTGAAACCCCGTCTCTACTAAAAGTACAAAAATTACAGCACGCCTGTAACCCCAGCTACTTAGGAGGCTGAGGCAGCAGAATCAATTGAACCTAGGGGGCAGAGGTTGCAGTGAGCTGAGATTGCACCACTGCACTCCAGCCTGGGCGACAGAGTGAGACTCCGTGTCAAAAAAAAAAAAAAAAAAAAAAGAAAAAAAAGGACTAAATGGCTGGTTCATCACTCACAAGAGAGTTTTGAACTGGTTGGAGCTTGCGTTGAGAAATAAAGTTTATATTTTTAATTTTTATCTTTTAATTCCATTTTTACACAAACTTTTTGAAAATATGATGTTTATGTGGTATGCTGATAAATGTTTAACACCTGGCTCTGGCAGGGGATGACTGATGTCTCTGAGTACGAAGGTAGGAAGAGGTGCTAACATTTGACTCTCATGAGCCAGTATAAGCTTACTCCAGTGCACAACTATTTAATAGCACTTGTGTGCCAGGTACTATGCTAAGTGCCTTATTAAGTGTATTCGTTCATTTAAACCTCACGTCAACCCTTCTGGTGTAGTGGTATTATTGTCATCCCCATCTTGCAGATGGAAAAACTGAGGCACAAAGAGTTTAAATGCCTAGCCCAAGGTCACATGGCCTGTTAGTGACAGAGTTAGGATGAGAACCTAAGCAGCCTGGGTTTGGAGTTCATGGTCTGAATCTCAACATTATACTATTATCTCTCAGAAAAACCTGATGTTACTAATTTACGTTTTCATTAAATTAACAGAAACATTACACAGGGAGCAAACTCTTAGTACGTAGCTATACTTGATGAAAATCCCTTGCACTGTGCCATACACATGTCCAGCTGCAGGTGGGAGTGTTAAAAAAAATTGGTTTCTTCTTGGCTGGGTGCGGTGGGTCATGCCTGTAATCCCAGCACTTTGGGAGGCCAAGGTGGGTGGATTACTTGTGCCCAGGAGTTCGAGACCAGCCTGGGCAACATGGCAGAACACCATTGCTACAAAAAATGCAAATATTAGCTGAGTGTGTTGGTGTAGTCCTAGCTACTCAGGAGGCTGAGGAGGGAGGATCACTTGAGCCCAGGAGGTTGAGGCTGCACGGAGCCATGATTGCACCACTGTGCACCAGCCCGGGTGAAAAAATGAGATCCTGTCTCATAAAATAATAAAATAAAATTCAATTGGTTTCTTCTTTAAGAGTATAGAATTCATCCTGAGAACACAGTCATTCCTCCTGGTGCTCTCACTTGTCCCACACACGCAGGCATTCCTTCCCCAGTCTGTGCAAAACACACATCACACTTCTCATGCGGTAGCATCTCTGATGGCCTTGGAAAGTATAATTAAGTTTTACCTTCTGGCTGCTTTTCTCCCAGGAATCGGCCACCGTGGAATTCTGATGAACCAAACTGTGTTCTGTATTATATTCGTTCATGCTATTTAAATCATTTTGAAACCTCCCCTCCCATGCTGGTCCACCCATCTCTGATACCCACATACTGTAGTCCTACTTTCCCAATTTTGAATTGTCCCTGAAGGCCTAGCCCATTGCCCCTTCTTCATGGGAGCCTTCCTCATGGCATCAAATAATTTAGATAAATGATTTTTGAAAATGAAAGTGTCTATAATTTGAACACCTTTTTTCCTCTGTTCTCATTCCGGGCAGAAGGAATGCCATTTTCACTCACTGCGAACAAATAGGACACTGCTGTTTATCTTGCAGGAGACCATTGTTTTTCTCATGCTCATCTTTCCCAGTGGGATAATTGTAGGTATGTCTGAAGGCTTCATCTAGTTTGGGATGGATGTTTTCATGGAGGAAAGGGTATTGAAGCGCAGCGCTCATCTCCCCCTAATGGTGGACCTTGCCTGTGGTCATGAGCAAAGGGTGCAGCTGTGGAATTTCTGGAAGAGTCCAAAGCTGTCTCCGTGATTGATCTGTGATGAATCCTTGCACTGGAGAAATAAGGGTAAGGAATTTTCATCAGAATGTGGAGATGGCCATGAGGGGGAGGTTGTTTCATCTTTTTCTATGGCCTCCACCAGCAGGATAATAAAATAACACTTCTCAGCATTGTTTCCTGGAACTTATAGGTTTGTAAAGGAAACGCATGGTCAAATCAGTTTGGGAATTGCTCACTGAAACATAGTTTAGACATGTGTCATTCCTATCTTCCCTTCAGGGCTTCTCAGAGCTTTTACTATGCTAATATGTGATTGAATGTCTATAAGGTTTTATAATAAGCAGCATTTTCCAAACTCACCTGCCTTGGAATTTTTTAGTCTCAAAGCATTCTCTCTGACTTGTGTTCAGTGGAATAGCCTTTGGAGAATTCTATACTGGAGAGAAAGATTGTTGGACATCTGGGGATGGCCATAAAAATCTATCCTGAGCATGAGTCTTGTCATCATTCTCTTAAGGAAGTATATTTCCAAATCACTATTTATAGTATCTCTGATTATCTTTTAATGCTCTTTGTACAGTGCCCTGGCTACTAAGATAATAGTACATTGTGAATGCACACACACACATGGAAAGTTTTAAAGAGGTGGGAAATTTGCCGAGAGTAACAGGGAGTTGATGGTGAATCCCTGCTCTGGACTGATCAACATGAGTCAGTGTATCTGTGATTAGTACTGAAGGGCTCCTAACTCAGCAGGTAGACTTCTGGCTAGAGTTCTGGGTGGAGTTACTTTTTCAGTGACCATATGGAAAGTGTTTGAATTTTTTTTTCCTTAATGGTTTAAAAAAGTTGTGGCCTGGAAGCAAGGATATAAGCCAAACAATTTCACAGCATGAGCCCTCTGTAACTGTAAGGCGCTCTATGGTATACAGATTTATCAAAAGTAGGAAGAATAGTTTTTTTAAAGATTTTTGTTGGTTTTGTTAGCATGATGTATCACAGTGGTTCATAAACATGGGTCTGTGGATGAGGAGCCTTTAAAACATTTAGATTTCTGGGCCCCGCTGTTGAAATTTAGGAACTTTGAGGGGAAAGCCCAGGAAATGTTCCAAGAGTGATCCACATACTGTCAGTTCTTGTTTTTGTGTCTGTGTGTAGTTATGTTGTATAAGGTCACCATGAACACTTAATTAGCAAATACTGATCTGCTAAGGGAAATACAGGATTAGGTTCCTGTGAACTTCTGGTCACATTTTCATCAACTGATCAATACATAATTGTATCTTACTTGTATTTCTGTTTAATGACACTTTAATGTTCATTTCTTTCAAATCACATATGCAGTATTTCTTTATAATAAGATGTCACTGAGAAGGGTTGAACACTTTCCTGATCCTTTACAGCAATGCTGTTCACTATGTTTTTTCAAATTTTTCTTCTCACAAATCCACAAATTTAGCCTGTTTTCCATCTTTTCCATAGCCTCATCATGCACTATAGATGTTACCTTGGCAATCTGTGGCTTGGCCTCAGATCAGCCAATTTCCGTTTTCTTTTTCTGGACATATATTATTGTGGATTCATTAACACCGAATTCACAGCTAAGAGCCCTGTAACTCATGCCTGAATGAAGCATATCCAGCACACCATTTTCTCTGTAAGGCTGGTAAGTTTTAAAGAGGTAGGAAATTTGCTGAGTGTGACAGGGAGTCAAGGGTGAACACTTGCTTTAGATTGATAGCATGAGTCAGTGTATCTATGATTAGTACTCAAAGGCTCTTCTGCCTCAGCAGGTAGACTTCTGGCTAGAATTTTGGGTGGGGTTACTTTTTCAAGACCACATGGAAGATGTTTGAATTTTTTTAATGGTTTAGGGCAGTTGTTGCTTGGAAGCAAAAATATAGGCCATATACAGCCTTCTTGCACTTAGAAACACTATATAGACTTCAGCACTACAATTGGAGGTCATTTTAAACAGAGAAATTACCATCAAAAAGCACAAAAATGTGAAAGAATGGCACTAAATAGACTGTAAAAAGCACATTTGTTCACAGTGTGAGACCTGAAACAGAAGGACAGGCCATGGTCTTGTTTGATCTCCACTGGAAACATACTCATTGGGCAACTACAATTTTTCACTGCTCTGTACATGCCCATAAAATGTCGTGAAAGTGCTGTGAGTATTGATTTTGAGGTTTCAAATAAAATTCAGTGAGTAGGCAAATATGCAAATATGGAATCTGTTAATAGTGAAGATTGACTATTTTTCTCCACAGAAACTGGAATGAGAAACCACTGGTGTGGTCGAGTTCAAATTCCTCCCCTTTGCCACTTGGATAAGTTATTTAATTTATCTTGGCCAGAGTTTTTTCGTCTGTAAAATGTGGCAATATCAGAAGCTACCTTGTAGGGTTGTTACGAGCATTAAATGAGATTATGATCTGAGAACAATAGCTTATACATATACATATTCTCTGAATAAGCGCTATTAGCCTTTATTGTTATTGGTGGTAGTAATGATGTTACTAGACTCAGAGACAGTAAACCTGAGTATAGTGTCTACCTGGGCCACGTTATGCAAGTGGCTTATTTTTTCTGGATCTCTTGTTTTGTTTTTCATGAAATACATACTGTAATAATTTCTTGGCGAACCTGTTATGAGCATTCTGTGAAATATCCTAGGTGACAATTTGTTCAGCACTGAAGCCCATTGCAATAGTAGTTGGGAACTGTTGCAATGGCATGGAGCAGTATGAATGTAGCCTACCATTTGTAATGATCATAAGTATCACTTAGTTGAGATATATGTTTCATAATGAACATATTATTTCTTCATGAGGATTTAACATTTTTGGGTTAAAGCCCTATCTGTCAACACGACTTGACATATTATAGTTGTTATTAACTGTAACTATCATTCCTTTGCTATAGGTCAGTGGTTCACAGTGGGGTTGCTTTTGATCCCTAGGGGACATCTGGCAATGTCTGGAGACATTTTTGGCCATCACAACTCGGGGAGGTACTACTACTGACTACTGACCTAGTGGGTTTAGGTCAAAGATACTGCTGAACATCTTACAGTGCACAAGGAACCTTGACAAGGAAGAACAAGGCAGCCCCAAATGTCGGTAGTGTCAAGGCTGAAAAGTTCCCCACTAACTGAAGGCTCCCCAAGGGCTGCCACTGTGGCTTGCTCACTGTCCTGAACCCTGGCACAGGAATGGATACCCAGTGGGCCCTCAATAGATACCTCTTGAATGAAGTAATCTGTAAAGACACAAAGCCCTTTAGTTTGGCGTTTCTGCAGTTGGTTTCATGACCTTTGAATTTTAGGATTCCACATTTGACTCCTCTTCTCCGTTCTGATTTTATTTTTAAGATGTTAATTGTGCTATATTTCAAACATAAGGAAAAAATAATATAAGCAGTGCCCAAAGTGTGGTCTGTGGACTGGTACCACGGTAAAACCATTATCAGTCCAGAGGAAGGCAAGAACAGAAAATGAGAGTAAAACTTTAGACGTTTTTGTAGCAATTGACCAATGCTGTGATGTTTCTGCTAAATATACATAAATATCCTTCTGTAGCAATATGGAAATTAAAAACCCTGGTAGTCTCAGAAGCACAGATAACCAACATTTGCGTTTCCACTTCCCAGGCTTCACACATGTTGACATTTTACTATGTTAAATTTATATTTGTATATTATTTTCAATCTCACTTTGTTACCCTTTAGTTCCCTTTTCAAGAAATAAAACATCGTGGACATATGTATTGAATTCCCAGTATGTGCTAGGCATGGGTAGGTGTACCTCCTTTGAAACAGGGTCTTCTTGGCTCCTCCAGCACCCGTCTCTGGTCTACCATCCATGCCCTGCTCACAACTGAAGGTGGAACTTCAGGAAGTGGACAGAAACATTGGTTAGGAAAACAATGAACAAAACCTGTCTACCAGCAGAATAGTGATTACCAGGGGCAGGGAGTTGGGGCAGAATAGAGATGTAGGTCATAATGTGTAAAGTTGTAGTTATGTGTGGTAAATAAGTCTAGAAATCTAATGTATAGTATGAGGACTATAGTTAATAATATCGTATACTGGAAATTTGCTAAGAGGGGATTTTAGGTACTGTTGACACAAAAAAAGAGGTGACTATGTGAGATGATGGCTATGTTAATTTGTTTGACTATAATAATCAGTACTTATATGCATATCAAAACATCATATTGCACAACTTAAATTGATACAATAAAAAAGAGAAACATCATTAGAACATACAAACAAACAAACATATCTGTCATACTGACCTCTCAAACTTCTATTTAGATCAGTGATTGGTAAACCACACCTGTCCCAATACAGTTTTACTGGAACGCGGCCATGGCCATTTGGTTGCATATTGTCCATAGCTGCATTCACACAAAGTGGCAGAATCAAGTAGTTGCTACAGAGACCGTATGGTCTGCAAAGCCTAAAATAATTACTGTCTGGCATTTTATGGAAAGTTTGCTGCTCCCTAATTTAGATGAGTACATTTTCATTTAAACCCAGGCCAGGCTGCTCATTTGAATGTCATATGTAAACAATTTGGCTTCTGCATGGACTGAGTATGGCTTACTTGTTAATTGAAGGAGAGAGAGGGCACAGAGTGTACCCAGTGTTCTGATTATTTTTATTTTTTTCTCCTTTCATTCACCTTGTGGTTTATTCCACTTCAGCCTCCATCCTGAACTTGTGAAAGTTCTTGGTAATTCCTCTGTTTTTTTCTTGGCAGCAATAATAAAGAAATACAAAGATGAGGCTGGGCATGGTGGCTCATGCCTGTAATCCCAGCACTTTGGGAGGCTGAGGCAGGTGGATCACGAGGTCAGGAGATCGAGACCATCCTGGCTAACATGGTGAAACCCCGTCTCTACTAAAAATACAAAAATTTAGCCGGGCATGGTGGCGGGCACCTGTCATCCCAGCTACTCGGGAGGCTGAGGCAGGAGAATGGCATGAACCCAGGAGGCAGAGCTTGCAGTGAGCCATGATCTCGCCACTGCACTCCAGTCTGGGCAACAGAGCGAGACTCCATCTCAAAAAAAAAAAAAAAAAAAACAGAAAAAAACAAAACAACAAAAAAAGAAATACAAAGATGATTTTAAGAATACTAAAAACAGGTAACACTAGTGCCAGGTGTCATGCTATGAATTTCATATGCTTCCCATCACAGTAAGTTTATCCTCTGTTTTCAAATGAGGAAACTGAGGCTTAGAAACAAGAAGTGGCTTGCTCAAGGTGTCTGGTTTAGAAGAAGCAAAGCCAGGATTCCAATGCAAACATCTTGACGATAGTCTCAGACTTTAACCATACAGCAGGGCTTGATGGTTATTCATATGTTGCTGTGGTTTATTTGGACCCACTTTTTTCCCTCTGAAAACCAAGATGCCATTTTAAATGGCTTCTTTCCTCTGCATTTGCCCTTGTTTAATTATGAAAATGACTTGTGTGTTTAATAAGGTGCCACTTCCAAAACAACATACAGAATTCATTTTGTTGACAGGAAATCACTCATTCTGTAATTTACATATGATAATGGGGGTTTTGCCTGACATTTGCTTTTCTCCCCACTAGTTCTAGATTTTAGACTAGGGATCCAAAAAGGCTAATTCTACCCCCAGGGGACATATACTCACAATTAATCTAGTTATACACCATCCTGTGAGCAAATATGTGTAAGAATATACATTGGGGGCTTTTCAATTTGTTTTTTATTTTTTAGAGCTCTAAACTGATGTCAGGAAAGATGGTTCTGTGTCCTGAAGGTTACCTAATTTACTTTAGAAAATTAGTATTCATCTTGGAATCCTGGGGTGTAGTTTAGTGTTTTGTTTGATGTGCCTGTGAGGTGTCAGTTTGATGAGTGTATTTTTGCTTGAACGTGATGCATTTTTCTTTACCTATCTTGTTCCCAGAATTAAGATTCTAGTAATAATTGGTCCTTTGGCATTATGGATATGGGTCCAAAGTATTGTAATAGCTTATTATGGAAGGCGAGACATGGTGGCCTCCCATAGAGATGATGGTCCCTCTTCATCTTCTTTCATTATAGCAGAATTTGTTTAATCTGAAAGTGAAAAGCATCATTAGAAGACAGATGTCAGAAAACTTTCTGACTTTCCAGCTTTCTGTGAGTTTAACCATAGTTTGAAGTAATTATATGTTAAGAACAAATATTGGGTTCATTTTTCCCTAATGAGATCTGGAAACTTTTCCAGAAGACAATAATAATCTTTGTTTGCATTGAATGCGTTGATTTCAGAGTTGTCAGAGGACCATCACTTTGTGTAACTAGACCTCCCTGTAGAAGACTAATCAATGTCCATGTTTGTTTATCTTAAACTTGTCTGAGTTTCCTAGGATGTATTGTCTGTGCCCCTAGACAAGGTCAAGTTTCACAGAACATCTTGTACTTCACCCTTGTAGTGTTCACCACTATTGTGATTATTTGTATAATTATGCATTTAATGTCTATCTGTCCTTTTTGACTATAAACTCAGAGAGGGCGAAGCCCGTTTACCATGTTCACCTTCATGGCGTTAGTGCCTTAGAGAGTGCATGACATGAGACACTCACTTAGTGAATATTTGTGGAATGAATGAATCAACAAGTCAATGAACTTTTACCTCACTATGGTAAAAGTTCACCACAATGAACTTTACCTTTACCTCTAAGAAAGTTGGACTTTCTTTGAAGCTGAAATTATGCCTTCTCTTTTTTTGTATTTGCCCCACAACATGTAACAATTGGCATAACGAAATCATTTTGTAAATACCAGGTAGATTAAATGGTTGAGTGCTTTCTATGTGGCCAACTTGTAATTTGTGTCTTGTCAGTATGGTTCTGGGTGGGTCATAAACTATGATCTTGATTTAGCACAGAGAGATTGTAACCAAACTCTGGAAACCTTTGCCATCCACTCATTTGGAGATTGGGGGTTGAGAAATGTAGAACCCAGGCCAACATCACTGTGACACAGAGAGTGGTTTTGGTTTGGAGGAGGTCCCCAAACGCCGGTGGGACTTCAGTTCCAGCTGATATCCAGGCTCTTGGCCCCATTGCAAGAAGGAATTCAAGGATGAGGCAGAAAATAGTTCAAGTAGCAAGATTTATTGCAAAGTGAAAAATACATACTTAAGAAAGGGGAGTACGGGTTTACTCAGGAGAAAGTCATGCCGTGGGGTTTGCGGTTTCCATCTTTATGGGTTTCTTTAACCAAGGGGTGGGATATTCATGAAAACTCCTGGAAAAAGGTGGAGATTTCTCTGAACTATGTTGCCTTCCAGTTTTACACCAAATATGAGTGTTTTTGGAACCGTCCTGGCACTGGTGAGTGTGTGGTTTAGTATGTTAATGAGCATATAATGAGGTTCTAGGTGAAACCTAGGTCAAATGCAGCACCATGTTGGGTCCAGTTGGTATTAGCCAGCTTGGTCCATGCCTGTTTTTCAGGGTCTTATCAACTCATAGCTTTTGTAGCTATTTCAGTAGTCTCTTTTTTGCTAGTTATGTGAAATTACTCCCTGGAATTTTCCATTCTCCTGTGATCACCCTGTTTTATTCCTGCCTCATTTTCATGTCATTTTTTTTTCCTCCAGAAACAGAACTGGAAGTTCTCGGGTAACTGTACTTCATAACACAGTGGTTAAGAACATGGACTTGAGAGTCAGACTGGCTCTGTACTTCCTATCTGGGTGACCTTGGTGAAATTATTTAGTCTGACTGAATCTCCCCTTTTCTTCTATAAAATAGGAATAAAAATAGGACTTACCTGGCTGTTGTTGGCATTTATCGTACAAGAGGAGCCGGCAAGAAGTGCATAAAAAGGAAGCAACTGTCATTAATCCACAAGTAAAGAAGGTGTGGATATAAGTTCTAGTTGATTTCTAGTATTTATTGTGCATTATTGCATGCTCATGTGGATATGTCAAAATACAGGGCAAGAAAACCCTCAGATTTAGACTGGACACAATATTGTGCTTTGCACTTATTTCACTTCGTTTTGACATTGGACAGAAACTTCCTCTGAGATGGGAGGGCAGAAGATGGCTTGTGAACGGATGAACAAGTCAAAGCTGGATTAAAAAGAGAGAGAGAGGGAGAGAACTTGTGTTCCATAGCCTTGCTCCTCCCAGCTGTGGTCCAGGGACCAACAGCATTAGCATCACCTGGGAGCTTTTTAGACATGCAGAATGTAAGGACTCATCCCAGTCCTACTGAATCAGAATGAGCATTTTAACCAAATCCCTAGATAATTGAGATGCGTATTAACATTTCAGAAGAACTGGTCTGAAGAATTCAGTTGTTCAGTCAGTGTTACAATTTGGTTACCAGTAACTGGAATCTCAGTGCTTATACACTGTGTTGGAGAACAGAGCAACTAAACATTTTAAACAGTCAAACTGGACTGTTAAAATAGCAACATTTTACCAGATCATTTGGTTTTCTCTGAATAGCAAATGCAGGAAGTTTTGTTCCTGTACTGATGTATTGCTATTTGGTCCATCGCGTCCTTATTAAAAGTCAACAGTGATATTTATAAAGAGAACTGTAACATTCTCTAGAACCCAAAAGGAAGGGTTTTAAAGTGATTTTGAGCCAAAATCAGTTAATTATAATCATCACCTCATTCTACCTTCTCAATATAAATTGTTCTTTTCAGCATTAAGGCTCATTCCCCCAGGGAACACATGATAAAGTTCGTGATTTTCCTTCGTGTGACTTCCACATCATTTTAAAGTCCTAGCATATTAAATTAACATTAAACCTCAAATTATTTTCTGTGTGCACACTTAGTGATTCATTGGTAATTATACCAGACATTGTGCAAACCATTTCACACACATTATTTCAATTAACAGTGACCTTCTAAAGAAGGTATTGTTATGCTAGTTTGACAGATGAGAAAATTTCAGTCCTATAATGTAAGTGACCTTCCCAGTATCATCTGGCTATTCAGTAGCAGACTCAAGATTTAAACCAAAGTTTTCATGCTATCACTTCACTGGGGGTCATCATGCAAGGTGGTTTGATTTTTATTGGACTTGGCTCCAAACTTAGGAGCAAATTTCATTGTTACCAGACAAAGCTCAGCTTAGAATGCAGCCAAGTAAAGATTTTAAAGGAAACAAACAAAAAAAATTTCTTTTAAACTTTCGTGATGTTGTCATTCCCCAGTTGCTAGGGATTCAACTTACTGACTCCTTTAACAGAGAGTGGTGTTCATTTGGGCAATAAGTACAACTGGCTCCCTAAATAAGTAGCTTCCTACAGCTTTCCATGTTGCTCTCTGTTGTGTGCACAGAATAGAGGACACTTCCCCCACTCCTCTTAATTCAAAGACAAATTTATGTGTTTTTTTTTTTTTTTTGATAGAGATGGGGGTCTCACTGTTTTGCCCAGGCTGGTCTCGGACTCCTGGGCTCAAGTGATCCTCCCACCTCAGCCTCCCAATGTGCTTGGACTACAGGTGTGAGCCACCACCCCTGGCCTCAAAGGCAATTTTCTATTTGCTTACCTGGGAGGCAGTATTACCACTGGCTCTGAGTTTGAATCCCAGTGCCACACTTATTGTATCTCCTTGGGTAAGACACTTACTTAGCCTGCCTTTACCTCCATTTCCTTATCTTTAAGTTGGGGATAAGAATAGTACCTACTTCCTAGGGATGTTGCGTGGATTCCAGGTAGGGGATGTATGTAAAGTTTTTAGCCCAATACTTGGCATGTAGTAGACATTCCATAAATATTAGCCAATGATATTGTTATCCTTATCTTCATTATCATCTTTTTTGCTATTGTGTCTTTTTTTTTTTTTTTTTTTTTTTGAGATGGTGTCCTCCTGTGTCACCCAGGCTGGAGTGCAGTGGAGTGATCTTGGCTCACTGTTCAAGTAATTCTGCTGCCTCAGCCTCCCGAGTAGCTGGGATTACAGATGCATGCCACCATGCCTGGCTGATTTTTGTATTTTTGGTAGAGACGGGGTTTCACCATGTTGGCCAAGCTGGTCTCGAACTCATGACCTCAAATGATCTGCCCACTTGGCCTCTCAAAGTGCTGGGATTACAGGCATGAGCCGCTAGGTCTGGCCCTGTGTCTCTTTTTTGATACCTCTTGATATATTCTATGTTTGATGTGGAGTACAATAAATATCCTTTATTCCCATCTTTGTTAGGTGGCCTTTCTTCAAATCCGCCTCCCACCCCCACTCGGAGTAAGAAGTTTGCTCTAAAAGATTTTCAAGTGTTCTTTTTCCTTTGATGTTGTCTTATTCCATTAACCTCTTATATTCCATAACATTTTACTTGCATAATGTTTAGAATTGAAAAGCACCTAAAACATGTGTACTGTTTTGTGTTTAATGATGGTTTGGCATATAAAATTTGGTTCTCTTTTAATCTGAGACACTTTGAAAACGGACACCAGACTTCACCTCATTTCCAATATTAAGCCCTTCGGGAGGCCAAATGGAACAGACCCTTGCCAGTTCAGTGTCACAGGCAGCTTAAGAGACAGTAAACTGCATCAGAGGCAAAGGGGCTTTGAGATGGATGCAAGTTTTCTAACTTCTGACTAAGGAGAACAAAATTTTCTCAATATATGGTCCAGAATTTCCTTGGTGATATCGAGGGAATTTTTTTTTTTCAAATTTAACACTTCTGAAACTTAATTTTTCTGTCCCCATTGCAGACTTGATGACATTAGGAGATTATATTTTTATTAGGAAACTGAAATCCAGAATGGTTAGTGAGGAGGCCCACACCTTCATGCATACATAGACAGCACTAATGTCTGACACAAGAGCTTTCTGGGTTATCAGTGAATTCAAGATGTAGCCAAGATTTGAAGAGAGACAGAAATAAAACCTGAAAAGATTATTTCTGTTAAATAACATGACTTCTCACACAAAGTGTGGAAGAGCTTCGACTTGGGAACTGAACTGGAGTTGGAATTTACCTGGGCATTGGAATTGGAATTCAACTGGACATTGGAATTCAACATTGGAATTCAACTGGAATTCAGTTGCATTCAAGTTCAAATCCAATTTCTACCTCTTACTAAGCTGTGTGAACTTGGGCAACTTTCTCAGCTCGTCTGTGCTTCCATTTCTATTCTGTCTGACTGAGGTAATGATAGTTCCCATATCAAAGAGTGGTGAGGACTGAATTAAATAATGTATGCGAGCACTTAGCACTGTCCGGCAATAAATTGTACTTATCATGGTGATGGATGATGACAACTCAAAAATTCTCCTCTGCATGTCAAGTTGAGGAAAATGGGAAAACTCTTTGAATTAATAGATCTGTATGCATTCCATTGTACCATCAGTGGAAGGAGGAACAGAAGAGCTCTTTATTTTGTCATCTGTGTTTTGCTGGAGTTTGACTCAGTTATATTTCAGAAGTCACAGTTGACTGTGTATGTAATAATCTGTACCATAACTATGTATGGTTGGATGTAGATTTTTTTCCTTTTAATTAGTGCATTGCTTTATGTGTTTTTTGAGCCTTTATGGGTTTACAGTAAAGTATCTTCCAATGCCATCTGGGACTACAGGTGGTGAGACACTGTTTTTTCTCCGCTCTACGTCTCTGTCTGTCCTCACAGTCATCATATTGTCATAATGCTAGAAGGCCGGGAAGTTGAATGAGACATCCCCGCTCCACTCTACCCTGCTTTACACTGGTAGGAAGACACACTGTGTGTAATAAAGGGAGCTTATAAAGACTCCTATAATGTTTGCAACTGGGCTTGCTATTCCAAGGCTGGAGCCAGTATTCACCTTTTGAAATTGATATAAAATAAATTGGGTAATGGCAAGATGCATTTTCATTTGAACTTAAATGATTTGACAATTATAAAACACATATAATCGCTCCATAGGCAATCTATGCTTAAACTTTTACATTTTTATAACAACTGGGCAATAAAGTCAATGTAGCTTGTATTCTTACATTTGAGCCCAGCACTCAGAAATTTAGAAAAAGAAATGCAGTGGGCAGTTGACAGAGCAATTGGTGGGCCCCACACAGATGTTCACTTCATGCCCTGACCAAGACCCATACTGCAGCTTCTGGGTGAGTAGAGGAGAGAGTATGTAACATTTAGCACATGGGTATCTAATCACACTCATCATGTTATACCCATAATGAAAAGGATATTCTTCAATGTAAAAAAAAAAAGTCATTACTCATATGTCACTAGCACACAGAAAGAGACTCAATGGTGTGTGTTGAATGGAGATTTGAATTTGAAGCTTTTAATATTCATGGAATCTTCTATTTGAAAGTGCTGGCAGAGAAAGCTTTTCACTGATTATTATAAGGCTGCCATACTTCATAACTGTTTTTCTCTCTTTGTTTACAGTCATGATAGGTCACCATTCCACAAAACGGCACACAGGCACTAATATTCAACTGCAACACTTAACAGATTCACTGGACATTTTTACGCCCTCAGTTTTGTATATCTCCGTGTGTACGTTAAAAACCTTAGAGATGATTGATTTTGGGGATGACGTGTGAAAGCATCAAATGACAACAGTTTCCATTCTGGGGCTGTTATCTGGGCATAAAGATCTGCAAACTGAGAAGAATCAGGGCAGGTGATAAATCTTTTCATTCTAAAACAATTTAATGTTACCTTTGCCATGTATTCTATATCTAGGTCCATATATTAATATAAAGACTTAAAGTAACCATTTAGAGTTTAAAAAAATTCCATTATTGATAGTGGAACATACATGAAAGTATTGAGAATCAAATTAATCATCTCTAATCTCACCATCCAGAGATATTCCTGTTCACATATGGCTGTATTTCTTTCTAGTTCATTTGCCTTGCATATTTCACTGTGTGTAGCAATCCCCTCCTCCTCACCATGGAAATATAACGCCTATGTGTATGCATATTTTGAACATAGTTGGAGTTGTGTTTTATATACTGGAGTCACATGGTAAGTGCAGTGAGACTCCACCAGTGTAACAAAAACTCTTTATAAAAAGAAAGAGAGAGTGAAATTTTGTTAATTATGCCTCTTCTTCCCCAACTCACAACCCTGCTAGATTTAAAATAACCTTGGCCTAACTCCCTTTCACTGCCTTAGGAAGGGTACAATAGAAATGCAAAGAGAAACTTAGAGGGGTTGATTCTTGGCTTTTGAGCTCCCAAAAGTCCAGATTCTGGAAGTTTAGGGAATTGTTAAATGCAATTTGTGCTATCAATGATTCGGGTTTTATAAACTCCTGTAGTACAAAATCCTGCATAAGTGTGATTTCATTGCACATGACATTGTGTTCTGTGCCCCACATCCATGACACCTTATATTAAGTCATGGTCCTGATAACACGGAAGCTTGCAGGTGTCTGTAATTTATTCTAAGCACATCGGAAAGCCCATGAAAGAATGCAAACTGGAGAAAGGCAATCAGATTCGTCTTTTAGAAAGATTGCTTTATGTCTGGTGGAAGGGGCCAAAGTGGAAGGTAAGCGACTGATTAGGAGGCTTCTGTAATGGTCTAGTAGTGAAAGGTGTGTTGGAAAAGAGTGGGCTCATTCAAGAGCTGTACAGGAGGTGGAATTAGAAGAACTGGGCAGTTGATATGTTGTGAAAGATATGGAAGATGGAGGGAGTCAAAGGTGACTTTGTGGTCCAAGAAGGTGCTCTTTATTCCTACTCAAGTTGTGATATTAATGCATATTTCCGCTGGGGAAGAAAAAAAAGTATACAAGTTTTCTCATCTCATTGAGATTATTCTGAAACTACAAGTGACCCGGATTCTTGCTGGATAAGCTCTCCTGGTAGACTTCTGATGACTCACATGTCCTGGACTCCAGCAATTTAGGCTAATAGGTGGTCATATTTTTGATAGTAACTTAGGCCAGGACTATAGCTTTCTTGTCCGAAGTTTTGGGCATCATGGCTTTCTCAGGTATGCCCCATAATAATTCCGGTCATTGGTGTCAGCCTTCCGAATTACATCTTTAGTCTCTTGAAAACCAGTGGCCAGTTAATATTGCCATTATTTCAGTCCCTGTAAAGCCTCGCCATGGCCTTGCATTACATGAAAACCTACTAAAACTCAGGTGATTCCTAAAATGTGGTCATAGGAAGCTAAATGGTGACAGTCATTCTATTGGGTTTGCAAACCACGAAATCCCTAGAGGGCTAAAGGAGAGTTGAGTTACATTTGAGAATTCAACTAGGTTGCCCTAGTCCCTAAGTTAAAGCAGTAGCTCTCAACTGAGGGTGATTTTATTTTCCAGGAGACATTTGACAATGTCTGGAGATGGTTTTGGTTGTCACCAGCTGGTAGGGAATAAGTACTGGCATGTGGTGTCTTGTGGACAGAGACCAGGGGTGCCGCTAACATATCCTACATGCTGAGCAAGACCCCCTTCTCCCAACAACAAAGAATTATCTGGTCCCACGTGTCAATAGTACTAAGATTGAGAGCCCTGATTTAAAGTGATAATTTATTTTTGTAGGTTATCTCTCCCCGTTAGTCACTTTGAATGACTATGAATCCTATTTTCTTCTTGAAACATTTAAATAATGGCAATGGCAACATATCTAGAAGTGAAAACAAAAATTTTTACAGTGTTGAATTATTTATCTACCCCCTTTGATAATCAGAGTTTAAAAATATTTAAATAATGGCTCCACTGCACAGGCGTGACTAGTCTAGACACGATAATAAAACTCATTTTAACCATTTCTCATTTGGTTTTCATTTTGGATTGCATGTATATAAATAATTGTTGAAGTTTGGAAGTAGATATTGTTTTGTTCATCCAACTTAGCATTAGTGCTTTAATTAGAGTGGGGTTTTTTCCCTTCAGCATAATAGCTAGAGAAGATACGTTTTTAGATGTTTACATATAAATATTCCTAGAGCATGTTTGAACTGGAGAGATACATTCTCCAAAGATGAGCTGAAAAGTTTGTCTGAAATGTAGTCACTTTGAGATGAGTGGGGAGAAGGTTGACTTATAGGCCAAATCATTAGAAAAATTAACTTTGGAGGTGAATGGGGCACATTGTTGCTTTCAAATATGCAAAAAAGGATTCTCTCTTGGATCCTCTGGATATCTGGTGGTGTTTTCTTGGTGTCATATGCAAGGATGGCATGCCTGGGATGTCTGTCTGCAGTGAGAAAAAGAAGGAGACAAATAATTTGACAATTGACTCACTGATGAACAGTTAATTGACTTCATTGTCTGGTGGATGCTGATTCCACATGACTGGCAAAGTGGGCTTAATGTGCAGGTCCACATGCCGCAATATACAGGGAAAGGTCTCCATGTGCACAGCTAACCACCATGACCATCAAGGCACTGAGTGTTTCCTGGGGTTCTAGCTGCCAGATCTGCATCCTGGAATAAATGTAGACCCAAAGATTTGGACTTGCATGGAGTATGGCTCTACTGGCTACTTTGCCTTAGCTCCAGGGTGTGTTTGAACTGCTTTGGGTGTTTCTTCAAAAGATAATTATCTGGAGCAATGTTTTGTTTTGTTCTTCTTATATGAGGTTGAATTGGCTAAAACCAGGCAGGTTCCTTGTACACCTGGTTGTTAATGAGCCTGGATAAGTCCATAATGTGGGATTTCATTCTACTGTGTGACGCGTGATCCTAGAAGAGCAGTGGGCAAAAAAGGCAAATGCCGATCTTCATGTAAGTCTGCTGGCCTTAAAAAAGTTATCATAAAATAAATTAGCAGAATTATAGAGAATAAAATGAGGACTAGGTGGGGTTGGGGGAGTTACAATCCCTTCACCTTAAAGAAACAATTTTTTTGGTCTTGCTTATTTTCATTCAGACTTTGACTATATACACACCAAGAAAAACTAAAAATATGCATTTTTCAGATATGCACCTTACTTATTTTACACGTTGATAACTAAATACTTTCTACATTGGTACAAAAGTCATTGCTGTAAATTGTAAGAATCGTATAGTAGTTTATGTCAATGCCTCTCATACTTTAATTGCATTCTTATCACCTGGGAGCACTGCTTAAATCCAAATTCTGATTCACAAAGTCTGGATCAGGACCTGAAAATCTGGACTCCTAATAGGTTCCCAGGTCACTGATGTGGCTGGTATACTCATTTCCTGTGGTTGCTGTAAGAAATTACCACAAACTTGTTGGCTTAAAAACACAGATATTTATTCTCTCACAGTTCTGGAGGCCAGACGTTGGAAATCAAGGTGTTAACACAGGGATGTGCTCCCTCCACAGGAGACTCTGTCCCTTGCCTACACAGAAGGCCCCCATTTGGCATTTCTCATTCAGTATAATTCCCTGGAGATTCCTCTAGGCTGTTGCATGTATCAATAGTTCCTTCCTTTTTATTGCTGAGTAGTATTCCATGATATGGATGTGCCACAGTTTGTTTAACCATCTATCCTAAAAACACGTGTGCACAGGTTTTTGTGTGGGCATGATTTTTCATTGTTGTGGAATTAATGTCAAGGAGTACTGTTGCTGGGTGTCTTGGTCCATTTTGCATTGATATAACAGAATGTCACAGACTAGGCAATTTATAAAGACAAGAATTTTATTTATCATAGTTCCAGAGGCTGAGAAGTCCAGGGTCAAGAGGCCTTCATCTGGCACAGGGTGGAAGAGCACCAGAGCATTTATGCAAGAGCATGAGGTGCAATGCAGACTCATCCTTTTATGAGGAACCAGCCTGTTCTTGAAATAATAGCAGTAATCCAGTCATGATCACCTCTTAAAGGTCACACCTCTCAACATTGTTGCATTGGGGATTAAGTTTCCAAAACATGATTTTTGGCAAGATACACTTAAACTATAGCACTGGGTCAAATGGTAGTTGTGTTTAGGTATTTAAGAAACTACCAATCTATTTTCCAGAGTGCCTATATCATTTTAACATCCCCACAGGCAGCGTATGAGTGATCCAGCTTTCTGTATCCTAGCCAGCATTAGGCGTTGTCAATATTTTTGCCATTCTGATAGGTGTGTAGTAATAGCTAATTGTGGTTTTAATTTGCATTTCTCTAATCACTAATGATGTTAGACATCTTTTCATATGCTTATTTGCCATCACTATCTTCTTTAGTGAAAAGTTCATATTTGGAGTCTGTTCATATCTTTTATCTATTTTCTTCTTGGGTTATTTGTTATTGTTGTTTTACTATTGAATATTCAGAGTTATTTATATGTTCCAGATAGACACTAATCCTTTGTTAGATATATAGTTTGCAAATATTTTCTCCCAGTCTTTTCATCCTCTTAACAGAGCCTATTGCAGGAAAAAAAGTTGTTAATTTTCATAATGCCCAGTTCATTATTTTTTCCGTTTATGGATTATGGTTTTGTTGTCATGGTGTGAGAAAACTTTGCCTAGATCCAGATACCAAAGACTTCACACATTTTACTTTATTTTATTTGCTTAATTTTTAGAGATAGGGTCTCTGTCACCCAGGCTGGAGTGCAGTGATGCAGTCAGCTCACTGTAACCTTGTAATCCCGGGCTCAGGCAACCCTCCTGCCTCAGCCTCCCAAGAAGCAGGAACTACAGGTGCACACCACTCCACCTGGCTAATTTTTTGTATTTTTTTAGAGATTGGGGTGGGGTGTCTCACTGTGTTGCCCAGGCTGGTCTTGTACTCCTAGCCTGAAGTGATCCTTCTGCCTCAGCATCCCAAGTTGCTGGGATTACAGGTGTACTTCATTTTTCACACACTTTATAGTTTTATATTTAAGTCTACCATGCATTTTGGGTTAATTTTTGTGTAAGATATGAGGTTTAAGTTAACATTTGTCCTCTTTTGGCTGTGAATGTCCAATTGTTTCAGTATCATTTGTTGAAAAGGGTGTCCTTTCTCCACTGAATTGCTTTTGTATCTTCATGAAAAATCAGTTGGGCATATTTGAATGAATCTGTTTCTGAGTTCTGGATTCTGACCCATTAATCTGTGTGTCTGCATCCCCATCAATACCACGTAGTCTTAAATATTGTAGCTATATATTAAGTTGTAAAATCAAGTAAGCTGATCTTTATTCTTCAGTTTCAAAATTTTTTACTATTCCAGTTTGTTTGCCTTTCATATGAATTTTAGAATAATTTTGTCTATATCTACAAAAAACATTCATGGGATTTTGATAGGAATTACGTTAAACCTAGCAGTTTGAAGAGAATTATACTATATTTACTGTGTCGACTCTTTGAATTCTTGATTGTGGTGTATCATCACTATTTATTTAGGGGATCTTAATTTCATCACTGTTTTCTAGTTTTCAGTAAACAAGTACTGAATTTGTTAGATTTATACCTAAATGTTCTTTTTATTTTGATTTCATTGTGTTCATTGCTAATATATAGGCATACATTCATTAAGGCCAGGTGCAGTGGCTCACACCACTTTGGGAGGCTGAGGCAGGAAGATCCCTTGAGTCCAGGAGTTAGTGAACAGCTTGGGCAACATAATGAGACCCTGTCTGTGTGCACGCGCACGCGCACACACACACACACACACACACACACGGCCTGTAGTACTAGCTTCTCTGGAAGCTGAGGTGGGAGGATTGCTTGAGCTCAAAAGGTTGAGGCTTCAGTGAGCTGTGATAGTGCCACTGCACTTCAGCCTAGGTGACAGTGTTTCAAAAAAGAAAAAAAAAAAAGAAATACATTCATTTTCAGATGTATATCTGGTATCTTGTGACTTTTCTGCATTCACTTATTAGTACTAGGAGGCTTTTTGTTTTTAAAACAGATTCCTTGGGATTTTCTATGTAGATAATCATGATATTTGAGGAATAACAAGACAGTTTAATTTCCTCCTTTCTGATTTATATGCCTTTTATTTACTTTTCTGGCTCTTTTTTGCCAACACTTTGGCCAGAACTTCTAGCTCCTTGTTGAACAACAGTGGTGAGAGCCTTGTGCTGTCCCAATCTGAGGGGGAAAAGTATTCCATTTTTCACCATGAATTATTACGTCAGATGTAGGGTTTTGGGTATTCTTTACCAGCAAGATACCTCTATTTGTAGTTTTCTTTCTTTTCTTTTTTAATTTCACATAAAGAATGGAACTTGCATATTTGTAGTTTTCTTAAAGTTTTTGTCATAAAAGAATGTTGAATCTTATCAAATACTTTTAAATCAGTTGATATGATCATGTGGTTTCTCTTCGTTAACATATTAATATTGTAGATTATAATAATTGATTTTCAGGTATTGAACCAACCTTGCATCCCTGGAATAATCACCCCACTTGGTCATAGTGTATATTGTTTTCATATATTGCTGGATTCAGTTTGTGAGATGTTTTTTGTTTGTTTGTTTGTTTTTTAGAATGCTTACATGTAGGTTTGTGGGAGATACTGGTCCACTGTTTGTTGTTGTTGTTGGTACTGTCTTTGGTTTTGGTATCAGAGTAATACTAGGTTCATAAAATAAATTGGGAAATCTTGTTTTCTCTTCAATTTGCCTAACAGCTTTCAGACTGTCCAAATTATATATTTTATATGGGATGAGTAGTGGTAGTTTGTGTTTTTCAAACTCCATTTCATCTCAGTTGTCAAATGTATGTTTGTAGATTTGTTCATAATATTCCTTTATCCTTTGATGTATGCAAGGTCTTTAGTGATATCCTTTGTTTGCTTCATATTGTTGGCAGTTTGTGTCTTAAGTTGGTTTTTCCCTGTTGTCAGTCTTGCTAGAAGTTTATCAATTGTTTGGTCTTTTCAAAGAATCATCTCTTTGTTTTATTGTTTTCTGTTTTTACTTTCATTGATTTGTTCTCTTTTCCTTATTATTTCCCCTTTTCTCCTTGTTTGGGTTTATTTTGTTCTTGTTTTTGTGGGTTCTTGAGGTGATAAGAGAGTTTATTGATTTGAATCTTCTTTTCTAATGTGATCCCTGTAAATTTTCCCTTTAGCACTGCTTTACGTGTAATTGTACAATTTTGACACGTTGTTTTTTTATTTATGTCGATGTGTATTTAAAATTTCTCTTGAGATTTTCCCTTTGATCCATGAGTTTTGTTTTAACAAGTGTGATTTCTAAGCATTTAGAGGTTTACTCCTATTTTTCTTTTATTTATTTCTAGTTTGGTTCTCTTCTATTTAGAGAACACATTCTGTATACTTTCGACGCTTAACATTTGTTGAGATTTGTTTTATCATACACAACACGGTCAATCTTGGTATATGTTCTGTGGGCACTTGAAAAAAATGTGCATTTTGCTGTTGCTTGGTCAATTGTTCTGTAAATGTCTTTTGGATCCTGTTGTTTGAAGGTGTTGAGTTTTTCTACATCTTGGAAATTTTCTAATTCTACCAATTATTGAGAGAGAGAAAGAGAGAGAGATGTTAAAGTCTCTAACAACGATTGTTGATTTGTTCCTTTCTCTTTTCTGTTCTATCAGTTATTGCATTATGTATTTTGCAGCTCTCTTGTTTAGTGCACACACATTTAGGATTGCTATGTTTTCTTGGTGGGTTGACCCCTTTATCATTACATAATGTCTCTTCCTGTCTATGTTAAGTTTCTTTGCTGTAAAGCCCACATTGTCTGATATTAACATAGCATTTCTATTTTATTTTCATTAATGTTTGCATATTTTTTTCTATCCTTTCACTTTCACCATGCCTATAGTGTTATATTTGAAGCAAGTTTCTTGTTAACATAATATAGTTGGGTTATGTTTTTAAATTTATTCTGCTAACCTCTGTCTTTTAATTGGTGTGTTTAGGTGATTTACACTTCATGTAATTATGGACATGTTAAGCCTTAAAAATTATGTCTTTTTATTTTTTATTTTTCATTTATTCTGTCTTATTCTTTTATTTTCTTTTTTATTCTTCCTGTGGGTTGAGCATTTATTAGCATTCTATTTTGATTTATCTATAATGTTTTTGAGCATATCTCTTTTTAGCCTTTTTAGTATTGCTTTATGTGTTACATTATATATAATACTAAAAGGGCTGTAAAAATAGATATACTCAAAAGTATATAAAATAACTATATGTAGAATGGTCATTTTACCAGTTTGGCTGAATTGCTGAAACCTTACGTCTCTTTACATCCTGGTTTATAATATCATTGTCTGAAATATTTCCTCCATGTACTCTTAGAGCCACATGAGATAGTTGAGCTTCAAACCTAATTTAGAAAACTCAGTAGGAGAAGAGAAATGTATTTGCTTGTACTTTTACTCTTTTCATTGTTTTTCTTCCCTCTTTTTGTCCTAAAATTCTTACTTTTATAACCACATTTCAGAGAACTTCTCTAGTCATCTTTTTAGGATAGGTTTACTGTCAATGAAGTCTATTAATTTTTTGTTACCTGAGAATCTCTTGATTTCACCTACATTCCTGAAGAATATTTTTACTGGATGTAGAATTCTGGGCTGACAGTTCGTTTCTTCTAGGACTTGAAAAATGTTGTACCCTTTTCTATTAGGTTTCCATGGTTTCTGATGAAAAATTTACTGTCACTCTATTTTTTCTATGTAAGGTAGTATTTCTCTCACTGCTTTCAATATTTTTTTTCTTTCAGTTCTCAAAAATTTGAGTATATTTTGGTGTGGATTTTTAAAACATTCTATTTTGGGTTTGCTGACCTTCTTGAACCTCTATTTTTATATATTTTGCTAACTTTAAGAAATGTTTTGTCATTATTTCTTTAAGTAAATGTTTAACTCTTTCTTTCTTTTGGGCCTCCAGTGACATAAATTTTAGGTCTGTTGTTAGAGTCCCAAAGATCCCTGAGGCTCTGTTTCTTTTTTCCATTCATTTTCACTGTTTTTTTTTTCTTTCTTTTTATTTTTTTTTTTGAGATGGAGTCTTACTTTGTCACCCAGGCTGGAGTGTACTGGTGTAATCTCGGCTCACTGCAACCTCCGCTTCCCAGGTTCAAGTGATTCTCCTACCTCAGCCTCCCAAATAACTGGGATTATAGGTGTGCGTCACCATGCCAGCCTAATTTTTGTATTTATGGTAGAGATAGAGTTTTGCCAAGTTGGCCAGGCTGGTCTTGAACTCCTGACCTCAGTGATCCATCTGCCTCAGCCTCCCAAAGTGCTGGGATTACAGGCGTGAGCCACTGTGCGTGGCCTTTAATTTTTAATATCCTACCTTCAAATTGACTAATGTTTTTCTACTGTCTCCTCCATTTTCTTGTCGAGCCTATCAACTGAGCTTTTTATTTCATTGGTTATAATTTATAGTTCTAAAATTTCTATTTATCTTTATTTCTTCCTCTTCTTTTCTTTGAAACAGGGCTTACTCTGTCACTCAGGCTGAGTGCAGTGGTACGATCACTGCTTACTGTAGCCTCAACCTCCTGAGCTCAAGAAATCTGCTCGTCTTAGCTTCCTGCCCTGCTATGTCTTCTGGGTTTTTTTTTTTTTTTTTGGGCTGAGGTTTTATACTTCTTTGTTTGTTTCAAGTGTGTTCATAATTGTTCCTTGAATCATTTTTAGGATGACTGTTTGAAAATCCTTGTCAGATAATTGTAACATTTTTGTCATCTTGCCTTTTTCATTCAGGTTGAGTTTTTTTTATTCTTCATATGATGAGTGATTTTCAATTAAAATCTGGACATTTTGCATATTATGTTATGAGACTGAAACTTACTTAAACCTTCTGTTTTAGATGGTTTTATCTGACACCACTTTGTTAGGGGAAGGAGATATGAGACCTTGTTACAGTCCAGTGGGGGTAGAAGTCTAGGTTTCCCACTCCTCTTCTTCCTTTGACATTCAGTGGGAGGAATGACTTCATATTACTGCTATGTGGGGCAGAAGTGCTGAATTCCTCTGGGGTCTCCAAAGATGATGAAGAGCGGATAAGGAAGAGGGGATGTGGGGAGAAGAAGAGATTCCACCCATGGGGTCGAAGATTCTGTCTTTACTCAGTCTTCTTTGACAGTACCCCAGAATGAGGAGCAGAGATTAGGTGACCCCAATACAGTCTGAAAAGGGCGGAATTCTAAGCTCCCCATTCAATCATTGCTGGCGTGGGTGGTGGTGGAAGTATAGTCTTTTCCTGTGGTATTTGGCTGAAGTAGAGCCGTTATTGTGTAACAGTTTTCCTTATTGCCAGTTTCCCTCCTTCTTCCCTAATTCTTTAGCTAGAGAGAACAGGCTTTGTTGTTGTTGTTGTTGTTGTTTTCCTTCATCCCACTTGGTTTTTACCCATTCCTGGGTTCTTCAGCTCTGATTCTGGGATATATGAGACATAAAGAAAACCCATGAAACTCATCACCATGTTGAGGTTTGTCCCAAGGTTCCTAGTTGGTCTGCCTTTTTCTCTTTACATTTCAGACATCTTCTTAATTTCCTAGATCCAAGGCCTATAGTTGTACTTAGTGGGAGGAATAGGGAAAGGTATGTCTGCCCTATCTTTACAGAAGGGGAAGTGTCACCCTCTTTATTTTTCGTAGATAGCAAATGAGACATTGACTTGACTATATAATCCAGAACACTTACTAACAAGAGCTGTTGAGTTGGCATGAGGTGTTTGCTAGTAACATGGTTTTAAAGTAGAATAATAAGTACTAAGAAAACTAGTTCTATGTATTTATCCAGTTCTTTTATTTCCAGCTCTTCTAAGGGACCCTGAACTGAGAAGTCACTAATGGAAGGGAAAAGTGGGTGAGGAGCTGAGAAATGAATAACTCACCCCACCATCTGGTCTGCTGCAGTTCAGAAAGTCACATGGTGCTACCAAGTTAGATCTTCTCCTCTGTGTTTACTGGAGGTGCCAAATGCTATATTTAAGCCAAGAACTGATTTTGAAAATATTTTTCTACTTCTGTTTTGTCAAACGTGTTCTCTGGCATATTATGTTAGGGCTTGTTCTGCTAAAGCTTAGCAGAGCCTTCTGTTTCTTCAAGCTGATTTGGCTTGCACCACTCAAAACATTAGACCCTCATTTTGGAACAGAAGTCTTCTCTAGAGAAAGCACTAAGTATGATTTAATTTCCAGGCAGGTAATACCTATCAAATGAGAGATGGAGCTTTATTCCTTAATTGTTATTCTTTTATATAAGGCACTTTTTAAAAAAGCTATTTTCTGCTCAAGCCTGTTTGACTACATTTTCTCTTTCCAGAATCTTTCTAATTATGGGGAGAAAAGCAAATGTTAAGCTAGCCTTCTTTTTATCAAGAAAAAGGATAGAAAATGTAACCGATTTACTTTCATGATTTGATTTTGCTTGAACTTTTGAGATGCCAGTATGACTTCAGTATGTATAAACAGAGCTTACATATCAAGGTTATAGATAGGGCGGACTGTCTAGCTAAGTCATTATAAAAACACTTTATTCAAAATTTTGGTATCTGGTTGAAGAAGATGGTTTTCTGCTAGCCTTAAGTA
The DNA here is from genome assembly GCF_000001405.40 of Homo sapiens. Taxonomy (NCBI): domain Eukaryota; kingdom Metazoa; phylum Chordata; class Mammalia; order Primates; family Hominidae; genus Homo; species Homo sapiens. The sequence goes on along the minus strand of NC_000003.12, from coordinate 65,642,451 downwards.
TTTTTGGTTTGCTGATGTAAAATTCTCAAAGGCTTTTCATTCCCTTCGAGTCTTCCGGATAGAAGGTTTGATGGTCATAGCATGTTTGACCAGTGGCAGAATAATGTCTCATTAAAGAAAATTGATTGTTCTTGTGAGCACTGAAGGGCTTGATCAAGATATGGGAGTGGCTGCAAGCATTCATTGGTGCTGGTGCTTGAAGAAACCTTTTGAGGTAGCACATGGTTCAGTGTTAGCTGGAGTGTAGAATCCATCAACGAGATAATTACCCAGCTCACAGCAGTCATGTTGAGTTGTGTTTAATTTTGGGGAGCCTTCTATTTGTTCTTTCATCTTTTCCAGTGCTTTCTAAATGTGTTGGTGCTTTGTGCACCTTCAGAAGTCAGCCTGTGCAACTTTTAAGACATCATTATTATGATTTCAGTGTGGGAAAGCCCTGCATTTGTGATCCCAGCAGGCCCTTTCTCACCTTGTTCCTTGTCATCGATCACAGCCTGGCAGAAACCTTGGGCCCCTAACCCATCCTTTGTATTTGATGTCTGTTCTTCAAACTACATATCAGTTACTGATGACTTTTCTCAGGAATTGGTGTGAAAGAGAAAAGCGTGGCTGAGCCACAGTGAGAGACATCAAAGTACAGGTCACTTGGAGTCTCCTGATTCTTTTAGATGAAATTTCTACCCAGCTAATTTCAGTTTTCTTCCTTAGTCAGGGCAGGCAGAAACACGATTTAAATTCCCAGGGCTGTGACTCTAAGAGGGTGTTAGAATTTTTCCACTTCCTTATCTCATTGATGTTCTTCACTCCCGTACCACTCTCTGCACCTGGTTCAGAGTCTTATATTTCTTCTTTGAAGCTAAGGGCACTTCATCTTAGGAGATTATACAGGATGCTCTATCAACAGAAGATTCTGTGTGTATATTTTGACAATTAGTGAATCTACCGTGAATTCACAGTCTGAGAAGTAGGCTAGGCTTAGAACCCTGGCTACACTTTGGAATTACTAGTGGAGATTAGAAAAAAAATACCGATGCCTAGTCCTTCCCTATAGATTCTGAATTGGTCTGAAGTGGGGGCCTAGGCGCTGGTGCTATTATAGACATGCCCCAGGTGATTTCAGTGTTCATTGAAGTTTACTTCCCTGTCTTAGAGGTAACAACATTCGGTTGCCACTTCCACTCTGAGTAAGCCTGGCTGATGCCTTGTCGTTAGAACATTCCAGGACCCCAAGAGAGAGCAGCTCTGTGCTTTTGCTGTTAGAGCCATGTGGGGAAGCTTAGTGAACTGAATCCCTTCAGGTTCTTACTATAGCTCTCAGTCACCATCACCTACTTTTTTTTTTTTAATATAGGCTTATTAGAAAGCAAAAATTCTCAATTGTGGTTTGGTATCTCCAAGGGTGTGGTTTGGTCTCAAAGGGCATTGCAAAATTTATTTAAAGTCACATGAATGGGTAAAGATAATTTTCTTTCTCATAAGGACTGGTTTGGAATCAAGCAACAAAAAAGAGGGTGTCACAGTTCCCAAAGGCTGAAGTGTGGACCTATTTCAGTTTGTTTCAGTGACAAACGTTTGATCTCCTTCTGTGTTTTGGGAACTATAATGTGTCAGGGACTTTCTTCCCTAATAGGAACACTCGTTAGTTGGATTTATTGGTGCATTTGGTATCTTCCTTGCAGTTTTAAAATGTTATTTTAGGATTCGGGTAAATACGTCAGTATATAAGCAATATATTCGGAGAGGAAGTTAAGAGAATTCAACTGCTGCAACCCTTGTTGTGAATAAACATACAACAATGTTGAATTTTTGTGAACTCTTCAGCTTCCTTCCAAAAAGGTGAGGACAATCAAACCAGAACAGGTTTCTATGTAGCTGGAGCCTGTTAGAATTACTTCTAAGCTGATTAGCTGGGAGGGAGCTTTGTCGCTTTTTCTGAGAAGCACAGCCGAATTAATTTTGGTGGAGGACACCTGAGGGAAAAGGAGTCATTGGAATGGAAAGGTGAGAGCAAGATAAGTATCAGAGGCTCTTAGAACAGGAGAGGCCTCTGGGGTTGTCGAATCCAACTTATTCATTTATACATATGTGAATTAGAGCCGATGTATTAGACATTCCAGCAATATTCATTAAGAATTGAGTAGAATGCTTCATGCTATGTTGGAGCTAAAGGAGGCAGATGATGTATTAGTCAGTGTTCCCTAGAGAAACAGAACCAGTAGGATGTATATATAGAGAGAAGGAGATTTCATTTAAGGAATTGGCTCACACAGTTATAGAGACTGGCACATCCCAAGACCTGCACATGACAAGCTGAAGACCCAGAGGAGCTGATGGTACTCCCAGTTTGAAGGCTGGTGGACCTGAACCCAAGAAGAGCCCATGTTTCAGTTCTAGTCTGAACACAGGAAAAACTGATTCCCAGCTCAAAGCAGTCAGACGGAAGTAATTTTTTTTTTTTTTTTGAGACGGAGTTTTGCGCTTGTTGCCCAGGCTACGATCTTGGCTCACTGCAACCTCTGCTTCCTGGGTTCAAGCGATTCTCCTGCCTCAGCCTCCTGAGTAGCTGGGATTACAGGCATGCACCACCACGCCTGGCTAATTTTGTATTTTTAGTAGAGACGGGGTTTTTCCATGTTGGTCAGGCTGGTCTTGAACTCCAGACCTCAGGTGATCTGCCCACCTCGGCCTCCCAAAGTGCTGGGATTACAGGCCTGAGCCACCGCACCTGGCTGGAAAGTAATTCTTTTATTTGGAGGAAGGACAGTAATTTTGTTCTATTCAGTCCTTCAACTGATTGGATGGGGCCCACCCACACTAAGGAGGGCAATCTGGCTTACTCAGTCCGTTGATACAAATGTTAACCTTATCTCAAAACCCCATCACAGAAACACCCAGAATTCTGTTTGACCAGATACGTGGACATGCTGTGGCCCAGTCAAGTTAACACATAAAATCAACCCTCCCAGATGACTTCCCGAAACTCAAATACCTGTGCAGATTTAAGTCTCAAATCCAGGCCCCCTGACTCCTTGCCCAGAGTTCTTCTATTTCGTTATTTTGTTTTCTGACTCATCTGTAGTAAATTAATAATAGAGAAAAAATAACCATAAAAATTGATAAATTAGACTTCATTTCAACATAGAACATTTCCACTCATCAAAAGGCATCATTAAGAAAATGAATTGGTAACCACAGACTGGGAGAGAATACTTGAAAAATGTTTTTCTGCAAGGGACTGATATGAGGGATATATAAGGGGCCTTTACAAGTCAACATTAAGAAGACAACCAATATACACTGATGAACAATTTGAATAGAAACTTAACAAATGAAAAGACACTTCTGTTAGTACTTGACAAGACTAACATTGTCAGTCATCAGGGCAATGCAAATGAAAATAATGGGCAGCATGCAGTGGCTCATGCCTGTAAACCCAGCACTTGGGGAGGCCAAGGCGGGAGAATCGCTTGAGCTCAGGATTTTGAGACCAGCCTGGGCAACATAGCACAACCTTGTCTCTACTAAAAGTCAAAAAAATAAGCCACGGCCACGCCTGGTGGCTCACGCTTGTAATCCCAGCACTTTGGGAGGCTGAGGTGGGCGGATCACCTCATGTCAGGAGTTCAAGACCAGCCTGGCCAACATGGTGAAACCCCGTCTCTACTAAAAATATAAAAGTTAGCTGGGTGCAGTGGCACATGCCTGTAGTCCCAGCTACTTGGGTGGTTGAGGCAGGAGAATCACTTGAACCTGGGAGGAGGTTGCAGTGAGCTGAGATCGCACCACTGCACTCCAGCCTGGGTGAAAGAGCGAGACTCTGTCTGAAAAAAAAAAAAAAAAAAAAAAAAAAAAAATCAGGAGAGCATGGTGGCGCACTCCTGTAGTCCCAGCTACTTGAGGCCTGAGGTGGGAGGAAGGAAGGAAATTCTGTCTCTGCTTGCACACCTTCGGCCATACAGTGTAGTACAAACAGAAGCGGGCGTGTGAAAGCAATCTGGTGATAACACACCAGTTTTAATTAGTTTGCAGTCTGGAGATATGGAAAGGCTGGCTTGTTTAACTCATTTGTTTTGTACATTGTCATAATCATGAATCTTAAAAAAAATTCTTTTCTGTTACCTTCTTGGAGAATAGAATTTCATGAAAGGTATATTTGAATCATGTCACTTTCAAGTCAGATGATGAAGGAAAGGGTAGCTCACATTAGTGAGCATTACGTTGTATATTCTCATTTAGTCCTCATGACAGCCCTGTCAGGTAGATGCTATTCTTATCCCCATTTTTCTGATGAGGAAATGGAGACCCAGAGTGATTAAGTAAGTTGCCCAAGAACACACAGAGGCAGCAGATGGCAAAGTCAGGATGGGAACTTAGGTCTGCCTAGTTCTGCTTTAGCCACTGCCTGTGTCATTTTAATTAGCAGTATCATCCTTTATTCACTCACTTGTTCAGTCACATAGTCTATGCCAGCTCCTCCTGTAGTCCAAGAGACTCTATTCTAGGCTAAGAGGATCTCAGTCTTCATAGGAAACTCTCATGGTTTGGGGGGTGGGGATGACAGACAATAAACAAGATAAATATATAAATAAGAATTTCAAAGAATCATAACTGCTATGAATGCAATAAACCAGAGCAATAGAACAGACACTGATGGAGCAGTGTCTTTTAGATACAGTTTTCAGAGAAAGCCTTTCGTACCTGTGTTCCCAGCCCTAAACCGTGCTGCCTTTCGCACAACAGCCCTGTGCTAGAAGAAATGTATGGAAATATATGCATGTGCATATCAAATCTCAACAATTTGGAATCATCACCAATATAAGCCCTTTTGCAATTTTCTTTCTTTCTTTCTTTCTTTCTTTCTTTCTTTCTTTCTTTCTTTCTTTCTTTCTTTCTTTTTTTGGAGACAGGGTCTCAATGTCACCTAGGCTGAAATGCAGTGATGCCATCATGTCTCACTGCAGCCTTGATTTCCCAGGCCCAGGTGATTCTCCCAACTCAGCCTCCCAAGTAGCTGGGACTACAGGCATGCACCACCATACCTGGCTAATTTTTTACATTTTTTTTAGAGACAGGGTTGTGCCATGTTGCCAAGGCTGGTCTTGAACTCCTGGGGTCAAGTGATCTGTCTGCCTTGGCCTCCCGAAGTGCTGAGATTACAGGCAGGAGCCACCATGCCCAGCTTGCAATATTTTTTTTTCTAATATGCTCTTTGCTCTAAAAGAAAAATAAGAAAGAAGATTCCACATATGTGTAAAGGGGCACTTAAGTATAACTGTTCCCAATTTCTATATGTTTACCCAACCCCTGGGTGGGACTGTCACACTAGGTTTGTCACAGTAACTAGGGAATACACCATGCATTTAGTTTGGAGCTGCCAAGAACAGGGAGGCTGAATGTCCAGAGTTTCATGGAACAAATTCACAGTGACAAAGAATTGTCCTGCCCAAGATGGCAGTGGCACTCCTTTTGAGAAACACTAGGCAAAGCCTGCAATGGGCTTAACCTTGTGTATATTGAAGCCTTTGTGCTGAGGGGATAAGATTTGGTCGGCTGGGTCTGAAGTTTTTTGTTTTTGTACTTGGAATTCATTGAGGTCTTTCCTATTTGATGGCAAGTGCCAGGATTTTTACCTGATCCAGTTTACTTCATTCTATGCCTTCTCTCCTTTCTCTGGATATGTTAAATGACAAGACAGAAAATAAATGGCTTAATGTGTGTGTGTGTGTATGTGTGTGTGTGTGTGTGTGTATGTGTTTTCCCTTATAAACATAGTTTAAAAAAAAAGCTGTAGAACTTTGGGTTGCCCGTTTGCTCTTTAGTCAAGAAAAAAATGATCATTAAGGGCAATGTTAATACGTGACCAGTGAGCCTGTCAGAGGGGAAACCAGGATGGCAGATGTGATAGGGTTGTCTTACATAAATCACCTTCCATTGTCAAGATTGGCATATGGCCAGTGAGTGTCCTAATTACTGAATGGCTTTTATAGCCCCATTATTTATAATCACTTTTGAATAGCAGCTGGAAGACTACAGTGAGGTGGAATGAAAATAGTGGAGTGTGCAAATTATAATCGTTTATGGAATTATGGAGATTAGAAATATCTGATAATCAGCCTAGAACTCTCTCCCCTAAATATTTTTTAAATAAGAGCACTATGTACCACATTCTTGAAAAATGAGAGCTGTGGTCAATCAGAGAGATGAATCTTAATGGTTTGAGAATGTTTAACTTAGTGGGTTGGCAACATATGAAATAAGTCTAGAACTTGTTTTGTACACAACCACATTTACATAAAATAGGTGCCCCTCTCCTCCCGTATCCCTCTTCCTCCCTCTGCCCCGGGACCATGGCGATTACTTGTGACTCTCTCTTTTGTTTCTGAATTTGAAACTATTTAAAGAGAGGCGCTGTGTAGAGAATAGACTCAAGGATGCTCTGTTGATGGGAAATTGTGTCACTTTTTTCAGACCCATCAAATGATGTGTGTATCACAGTGGTTTCTGCTCTCACAGTCCAGTAGAAATTGAAGTGGCATGCTATACTGTAATGCAGTCAGAATGAGATTTCCCAATGTAGGTCAGAGCACCTAGAACTCTGGCCCCAGCCAACTGTTGCATGAATGACGTCAGATCATATTAGAATACAGTTTGCAATCCAGATTATCTATTCCAGTCTGTGAATAAATTGGGGTGAGGCTGGGAGGGTAGGAGAACATTTGTGTTAATTACTATGGATGTTCAAGGCTGTGGAATACCAATGGGATCTCAGTTGTATTTGCATAAAAACATTTAAAACATCTTACCTGTCAGCAGATTCCTAAAACCCTGGATTACAAGGGTTTACCCCTGGGTGCTGGCTCATGGAAACAAACCTTGCTCTTATGCCTTGGCTGAGTGTTCTCTGGAAGTCTGTGCCATTCAGATGTCACTCTCTTGGTTTCTTCATATGGTAGGCATTGAGAGGGCCATTTGGACAACTTTATGATGTGGCAGGTTAGAAGGAAAGTCAGTCTTTGGTTTTTATATTGAGATTCACATAGATGTTTTACAGTGTCCTTATGACTGTAACTGCTTTTAAAAATAATTATTGGCTGAGTATGGTGGCTCACACCTGTAATCCCAGCACTTTGGGAGGCCGAGGCAGGAGGATCATGAGGTGAGGAGTTTGAGACCTCCCTGGCTGACATGGTGAAATCCCATCTCTACTAAAAATACAAAAATTAGCTGGATGTGGTGGCACACACCTGTAGTTCCAGCTACTCGGGAGGCTGAGGTGGGAGAATCACCTGGACCTGGGAGGTGGAGGTTGCAGAGAGCCACGACCACACCATTGTACTCCAGCCTGTCTCAGAAATATATATATATATTTTATTTTACTTTTTTACTTTGAAAGTTTCCAAACCCACGCTAGTGTTGAAAAAACAACAAAACATGTACTCCCATCACCAGGATTCACCAGCTGTTAACATCTTGCTACACCCATGCCATCTGTCCATATTTACACCTATTTCCATTTTGCTAGGTTATCTGAGTTTAGGGTACAGATATCATGATAACTCATCCCCAAATAACCAAAAATTACCACAAAATGATGACATTTTCCTACAAGCCATGATGCAGTTGTCACTTATCAGCATTCGTTCAGTAACATCATCGAACTTTGAGTTCATAGTCAACATTCCCTTAGCTGAGCCATAAACGTCTCTGTTGTTCTTATTTTTTTAAATTCCAGATCTAATCAAGCTTACACACTGCATTGTTATGAGCCTTGGTAAAAGTAACAATTTACTGCACACTTACTATGTGTTATACTGGATATTGCGTTAGTGCATGATCTCATGAAGCTGCACAGCCCTTTTGAGCAGATACTATTATTATCCCCACCTGATAGATTAGGGAACTGAGGCTCAGAGAAGTTCAGCAACATGCCCAAGGCAAGCTGGTGAATTTGGGGCCTCGATCTGAACTAATCAAGCCTCGCTTGAAGTTCAGCACTCTTAACCATATACTACTGAAAGAAACACACTCTGTGGGGACACTGATCATATCAACAAATTTCTACAGCACCAGCTATGCTTTTGGGAGACTTCCCAGAATCAGGCACTGGCTTAAAAACCTTTGCAAGTACAAGAACTTGAATTTAGAAAGAATATGTGTTGGTTTTTTGCTTTTATTTTCTATACTGGTGCTTCCTGGTTTGTCTTTATTATCATTCTGATTGTGAACATTTCCTAGACCTCTCTGGTCAAGAACACAGACAGTCATACTCCCCCGGATTTGAGTCCCGTCTCCTCTGTTGCTTGCTACCTGGGTGATGGGGCAACTTCTGAGCCTCAGTTTATACTTCTGTAAAATGAGACTAGTAATCTCATTGGGTGGGAGTAAGGATTATAAAGTTATTGCTTCATATTGCTATCTGGCTCATTGAAAGTACTTAATCAGTGTTCACTGTCATCTCGAGTCCAATTGGTCCAGTTAGAATTCTAATAGAGTATCTTTTCAAGAATTTAGAATATTCTCAAAGGGCACAGACACCCGTATCTTTAGATTCCACTCAGCATTCTGAATGTAGAGACACTTGATTTCAGCTTTTGGTGAGGCTATGCAGCTGTTTACGAGGGCATGCCATAAGCTCACATCAGCTATATTACTTTACCAATAGGGGAACATTGTCTTTCTGCTTTCTGTATATAAATCCTTTGTTATTTTTTTTCTGAACAGATGTTATTCCACTATCTTAGTGTAACTGGAATAAATACAAGAAGCACCAAAGGCTGTAAATAATGAAAAAATCAAGATGATGGCATTTAAACCTAAGCTTGCTTTTCTTTCCATGCTTAATTCAAATTTTTTCTCACTGCGGGATGAAATTTATAATAAAAAGATTCACCAAGAGAAAAGAACAGAGAAGGCAGGCAGAAAATAATAATAAAGTGGATTTCCTGAAGTGCTAGCAAAATGTTTCATGCTTGCTCATGTGGGGAGTTAAATGTAAATAGTAGCTTCTTGAGCTTCATCAGCATACATAAATCTGTCTCGCAGCCTCTCTCTCACATCACACTCACCACACGTTTCTTTTTTGTTTGTATTTTTTAACTTTTACAGAAACATGACTAAAAGAACAATAGTCTTTGTACCACTCGGGGAATAGCTTCCATCTCTGCATGTGTGTTGAGGTACCCCGTGTCTGGAGTCATGTGTGGTGTGTGCCTGTTATTGTCAGCCGCACAGTGGGGTGGCAGCACTTGAGATTAGCAAGAGATGAGGACCTGCTGTGAGAAATAGAGCCTAGCTCCCCATATTTCATTAGGACGTTTTGATGTGGCTGAGACCATTGGTCCACAAACTTTAGCAGGTATTAGAATCATCTGGAAGGCTTGTTAAAACACAGATTGCTGAACCTCCACCCCTAGAATTTCTAATTCTATCAAGTCCTGGGGTAGAGACCAGTCATTTTTATTTCATGTAAGTTTCTGGGTATTGCTGCTGCTGCCAGTCTCATGGGACCATACTTTGAGAACCACTGGCATAGACTAACCTGGGAGACAAGGAACACCCTCCACCTCCACACCAAGTATTACTTGAACTCTACCCCAACAATTACTTAAGGAGAATTCCTTACCTGAAGAGGCATGACCAACATCTAGACCAGGATTTAGAAACTATGGCCCAAGGGACAAATCTGCCTCTTTCTGTAAATAAACTTTCACTGAAAAACAACTTCATGTACATCTTGTCAATGGCTGCTTTCACACTACAGAAGCAGAATTGAGCAGTTGGATAGAGTTCATGTGCACTCTCAAGGCTGGAAAATAGTTATCTTAGCTTTTTATGGAAATATTTTGCTGACCCCTGACCTAGACCAATGCTTGAATGTTTAGAGAAGGGAGGTTGGAAGTAATTGTGTAAAGAACACATCCACTGAATGTTCTTTATTTGTGTATTTTTTAGATGTGAGAGTTTTTGTTTTTTTAGTTGAATAAATATGATCATGGCAGTCATTCATTATTTCTCACTAAGCCATACTCCAAATTAATTTTCTTACTAGAACAAGCAGTTTCTCAAAATGAAAGGGGACAGTTTTACCATCATGTGGTCTCTTTAATACATTGTTGACATCTGTTCAAATTATTGGTGGAAAATTCTTAAAAACCATAATTAAAATGGGAAAAATTAGTCTCATTTTGACACTGTAATTGTCAGTTGAGTGATGCTGAATTTCTTCCAGATTTGGTAGAAACTGCCATAACCTTTAGGTAATGCATTTTGTGAGTATTTATCAAGAACCTTTAAAATAATATTCATACTCATCAATCTAGTAATTCTAGGAAATTTCAGCAAATTTTATGTTTAAAGTTTTTTATTACAGCATTATGTATAATAGTTGTTTTAAAGAAAGACATGCAAATATCTGTTTTTTTTTTTTTGAGACGGAGTCTCATTCTGTTGCCCCGGCTGGAGTGCAGTGGTGTGATCTTGGCTCACTGCAACCTCTGCCTCCTGGGTTCAAGCAATTCTCCTGCCTTAGTCTCCCAAGTAGCTGGGATTACAGGTGCCTGCCACCACGCCCGTCTAATTTTTTGTGTTTTTGGTAGAGGTGGGGTTTCACCATGTTGGCCAGGATGGTCTCGAACTGCTGACCTCATGTGACCTCATGTGATCCACCTGCCTCAGCCTCCCAAAGTGCTGGGGTTACAGGCATGAGCCACCGCATCTGGCCACAAATGTCTATTAACATGAAACTCATAATATTGCCATGAGTTTACGTACCTACTTTGGAGCTATTTAAAATAAAGCTGGAAGAAGGAAAGCTAATATGATCTTTCTGGAGGGAATTTGTATCAAGGGCCTTAAACATTTTTTGTGCTTTTTGTTTCAATATCTCCAAAGATCTCAAGAAGATAATCAGAAGTACACAGATAGATTTTGTTCAAGGAGGATAATCAAAGTAGAAACAATTTTTATGCCTACTAATTGGTAATAGGTTAAATAGGTTGTGATGAATTGATGAGATAAAATACTACGTAGCCCTTAAAACTATATTTTTGTACACTAATATTGCAAATGCTCATGAATTATTTGTTAGAAAACATAGATATAAATCCATATATGTGGCATGATCCTACACATCCTACACTTAAAAGATACCTAATAGATCTCTGTATTCCACTCAAAGCTGTTCATTACCAGTTAAGCACAAACATTGGATTCCTTTTTGACTCCATTGCATGTGGTGTCTTCCTCCATCATGTCACCAAACTGTATCAGTTCTAGTTTTAAATTACATCTCTTCTCTGCCCCTTCCTGTCCTTCTTCCTAGACACTCCCTTAGTCTAGGCTACTTCAGGACTTGTGTGATCATCAGCTCTACTGGCTTCTTCTGACTTCCACCTCTACACATGACCCTGCGTGTGCATACACACTACACAACTGCAAAAGAAACGTTGATATTTAGACCACGTCCTCTACCTCCATGGCTCAAATCCTCTCAGTGCATTGTTACACACGTAGAATAAAATGCAAGCTCTTTATCATGGCCTGCAAGGCACAGAATTGTCTGGCGACTGCTTCTCTCTCTCTCTTTTTAAAAATTTCAGTAGTGTTTGGGGTACAGGTGGCTTTTGGTTACATGGATGAGTTCTTTAGTGGTGAATTCTGAGATTTGAGTGCACATGTCACTGAGCAGTGCACACGGCACCCAGTGTGTAGTCTTTTATCCCTCACCCACCTCTCAATCTCCCCTCCTACATCCCCAAAGTCCATTAAATCACTCTGTATGTCTTTTTGTCCTCATAGCTTAGCTTCCACTTATAAGTGAGAACATATGGTATTTGGTTTTCCATTGCTTCACTTAGAATAATGGCCTCCAGCTTCATCTAGGTTGCTGCAAAAGACATTATTTTGTTCCTTTTTATGGCTGAGTAGTATTCCATGGTGTATAGATATCACATTTTTCATTATCCACTAGTGCTTCTCTTTTTAACCTCAACCTGAGCCACCCTCTGTCTGAGCTTCATGCTGTTTCTCTAGCATACCAACCTCTTTCCTCCTTCGAAACTTTTGCATATGCCATTCACTCTGCCTGGAATAGTCTTTCCCCAACACTTTGCAGACCTAGCTAGCCTCTCATCCTCCTTTAGTTCTCACCTTAACAATTGTCTCTGCCTGGAGGTCATGTCTGTTCGTCCTTCCTAAAGCAGGCATATACCCTGCTGCTCAGGGGCTCTGTATTGTCCTTGTTGCATCCTCAGGGCTCACAGGGTGTTTAGCTCTAGGCACTTAATAAATACATGTTGAATTAGTGAATGAAACTCCCCAAATGTTTAAGTGTATTATAAGTGTGCATGTATGTTTATAGGTACATAGGCATACAGAGGACACTGTACCAAAATATTAATTGTGCTGTAAATGAAGTCACAGGTGATTTTAACTTTGTTTGTTGTACGTTTGTGTATTTTTAAAATCTTGTGATTAATTCATATTGCTTTTTCATTGTGGTTAAATATATATAACATAAAGTTGACCATTTTTCCCTTTCTTAAGTATGTGGTTCTGTAGCATTAAGTACATTTATATTGTTGTGCATCCGTCACCGCCATCCATTTCTAGAACTTTTTCAGCATCCACAAGTGAAACTCCGCACCCATTAAAGGGTAACTCTCCAGTGATTTATATTGCTTTTACAATAAGAAAAAAATATAGAAAAATATATTAGAAAAAGCAAGTAGCAAACATCCTTTTCAGATAAAGCTCACTTAAATGAATTTTGGATTGTAAGTTTGAGTGACTATAAAACAAGCTAATTTGTTTTTCAATTTATAATTTTGTGTTTAAAAAATCCTATTCTTTATAAAACTGAAGTGCTGAACTGATGGATTTTTTTTTTTTTTGCTGTAATAGCACCACTGCAGTACATACCATTTGTTGTTGTCCTAATAAATGGACTTTTCCTACAACTATAATCATTTTTTTGAAGAAATTGTGTGCTAAAGCAGAATCACCTGAAAGTGTGATTAGTTCAAAATCCTTATGCAGGTTCTCCTTAGCATTGAAAATTTGAACTGTATTAAAGTGTCAATTCTAATTGTAATGAAATACCATTCTTTGACCTTCTGGATGTGGATGTAGCTGTGGAGCACATGGAATACACACAGGGAATTGTATTCTGCCCTCTCGGTCACAGATGGATACATTAAGAAGACTCAAAAGTGTTCTCTTGGGAAACCTGGTTTCTTGACCACAAAGATTCTTTCTACTGAGCAACATTCCTTTTCAGATCTCTATCCTAGGAGATAGAGATCAGTCCAAGCAGGGTCCCCTCATCATCCATCACCTTGAAAAGATGCTTCTGGTAAGAGTTGGTATGTAACAGAAAAAGAGACACGACACAACTTAGTTATATTAGGGGATCATTTCATGTTTAAATAATGGCAAGAAAAATTTATACCATAAATAAGTGCTAAAGGAACCCTATCTAGAATATATAAGAATATCTTTTTATCAAGAATAACTAGATAACCTAATAGGAAAACGTATAAGAAATGTGAACAGGCAAGTCACAGAAAGGAAAACATAAAAGACAATTTAAAAACTATAATAGAATGCTCACTCTCAGTTGTAATCAGTAATTATAAATTAATATAACACCAAGATATCATTTTATCTTTAGTAGATTGGGAAACATTTATAAAGTTGGAATGTGCAGAAAAGAGTTAGTGGCAGCTGGATGGAATGCTAAGGTGGCCCTTGGCTGGCATCTGGGAACTTGCATTTCAGGGAATTTCTTCTATTCTGATAACTGGTAAGAGTGGCTCACTATGTCTAGACTGCATGCCCAAATGCTATCATTTATGCTTTTTTTCCCCGAGAGTCTGGAGATTTATTTTGTGCCAGGCAAAGGCTGCTTACATGACCAACTCCCGGGCCCTGGGTGTCTAAGGAGCTTCTCCGGTGGGCAGCTTTTCATATGGGTTCTTTGGGGAATGTGTGTGTGTCCTGTGTAATGCCATTTGGAGATGACACTTGGAAACTTACACCCGATTTTCTCTGGACTTTGTTCTGTGAGACTTTTTCCTTTGCTGATTTTACTTTGTATCTTTTTGCTGGAATAAACCATAGCCATGAGTACAACTATATAACGAGTCCTCCGAATCTTCCTAGTGAATCATCCAATCAGGAGTGGTCTTGGGGACCTGAAAAATAGTGACAATAGCCAATGTTGGCCTAAGTGTGGGAAAACAGGACCACCAAAACTATTTATGGAAAGGCAAATTGGTACCACCATTTTGGGGATGAATTCAGAAATGTTAAGATAAATCAAAGATATCTATGTCCATTTTCAGGTTTAGATAATCTAGAGGGAAAAACCCCACACATTTGCTAAAAAAAAATTAGGGGAGGGAGGCATTACAATGACATTTATAGCAGCATTGTTTATATTGGAAATAGCTTAATTTTCTATGAAGGATAAATAAATTGTGGTTTATTTTAATATTGAATATTATACAACATTTAAAATAAGAAAAACTACATCCATCAAACATGCTTAACATTCTGTAAACTCATGTGGGTGAGAAAAGCAGAGTTACATTGCTGTAAATTTAGAAGACACAGAATTCCAGATATATAGATAAGATACAGAAATATAGCTGGGCTCAGTGGCTCAAGCCTGTAATCCTAGCACTTCAGGAGGCCAAGGTGGGCAGATCACAAGGTCAGGAGATCGAGACCAACCTGGCTAGCACGGTGAAACCCCATCTCTACTAAAAATACAAAAATTAGCTGGGCATGGTGGTGGTCACCTGTAGTCCCAGCTGCTCGGGAGGCTGAGGCAGGAGGATGGCGTGAACCCGGGAGGCGGAACTTGCAGTGAGCCAAGATCGCGTCACTGAACTCCAGCCTGGAGGACAGAGCAAGACTCCATCTCAAAAAAAAAAAAAAAAAAAAAAAAAAAAAAAAAAAAAAAAGATACAGAAATATAAAATAACGGCAAATCAAGAGAGCATCTAAGCCCCATTTTCCTCAGTTAAAATATAAAATTGTCTTAGAATAAACTCTGAACCCCTTTCTTGGAAAAAGTTCTATATATAGTCATGGTTGTTGCATAATGACTGGAATACATTCTAAGAAATGTGGCCTTAGGTGATTTAGTCATGCACACATCATAGAGTGCACTTACATAAACCTAGTTGGTATGGCCTACTAAACACCTAGGCTGTATGGTATAGCCCGTTGCTCTTGGGCTACAATCTGCACAGTATGTTACTTTCCTGAATACTGTAGGCATTTGTAACACAATGGTAAGTATTTGTGTATCTAAACATATGCAAACATAGAGAAGGTACAGAAAAAATACGGCGTTGTAATTTTGGACCCATGGTAAGTATGGCTTTGACCGGAACTTTGCTATACAGTGTATGACTGTGTTTCTGACCTATGTTCTCTTTTCTATTTACAAAATAAATCTTGAATTTCAAAGAAAGTGAAGATGCTATGACAAACTGTCTTCCAACTTATTTTATTGGCTCACTGCCCTTGACAATTAGTAGACAATTTATAGACATGTCTCTTGAATAATTGGCAATTAATTTGAGATTAGATGCCAAAATGTACAGTATTTTTAATAGAATGTGAAGGTTGAGACTTTTCATGTCCAAATGTCATGGAACTCAGAGTAAATGTTAACTGGCAGCATAGTAAACTCTGTCTTTTTGCACATCTGCAGTAGAGGGGAGTTTTAGTTTGATGACCATAAACCCTAGCTACCTTGGCTAGTTTGAATATAAGCTTAGGTGTAAACCAAGAGCTTATACTTAAGAATGCCTTCCAGGTGGGGCATGGTGGCTCACACTTGTAATCCCAGCACTTTGGTAGGCTGAGACAGGAGGATTGCTTGAACCCAGGAGTTCAAGACCAGCCTAGGCAACATAGTGAGAACCTGTATCTACAAAAATTTAAAAAATAGCTGAACATAATGGTGCATGCCTGTAGTCCCAGCTACTTGGCAGGCTGAGGCTGGAGGACTGCTTGAGCCTAAAAGGTCAAGGCTACTGTGAGCCATGATCACACCAATGCACTCCAGCCTGGGTGATAGGGTAAGACTCTGTCTCCAAAAAAATAAAAAAAGTAAAATGGTTTCCAATCTATATGTCCCTGGTTTATCTTGATAGTTACCACATATGATCCATAAGGATGTACAAATCTTTGTTATATATGTGATAAAAAGTTACTGTATCTGAAAACTCCTTTGGAATGTTGCTTTTGATTTAAGCATTTTGGATATCATAGACGTCTTTGCCGTGGCTCAAATGATAAATGTTAGTGTCTTTTTAATGTCAAGAACTCTTGTCACCTAAGAGAAATTTAAAACCCTACATTGCAGGCAATGGGAATTTTGCTGGTAAACATTATTTTTTTACTCAATTTCTAGAGTGCCTTATACCTCAAGCTGGAGTTAGCAGGTAGAGAGATCACATATCAGTGACTTACTAGTTGATTTCATTTCCTGAACTTCAGCCCCAGCACAATGCCTGGAATACATTAACCACACACTAAATGTTTATTAATGAGTTTACATAGGTCCACACTATTTTAGCACAGGTAGATTTTTATTCACTTCTAGAAACACTAGAAATATCCTTTCATCCAGATCTCCTTAGGTCTATATTTTGTTTCTGGCTATTTCTAAGCCAATAGAATAAATTTGGTTTGCATGGATTTTTTTAAAAAAGAGTAAGAGTTCATGTTTGAACTGATTTTCTTTCTTTGCCCCCTCACCTCAATAATCGTCCATTCAACAACATCATAATTATAATTTCCATCTTTCACTGAGTGTTTTCTTTTTGCCAGGCACTGTCTGAATGTATCATCCCATTTAATCCTCACAACAATCTTGTGACAGAGCTAATATTACATCAGTGTTCTATTTTTACAGTTGAGGAAAGCAAGGTTCAGAGATTAAGCCCTGTTCTCAGACTCACCAGCTAATAAACAGTTGAGCCAGGATTCAGAAGTAGGCACGTCTGGCTTAACTACCTAGATTTACTTTCTTTTTCCTTTACTTCAACTCTCTAAAGAGAGAACTACGCAACCTGAACATTGACTCACACATAGTACTCATCCAATCATCCAATCACTGTATATATTTTAAACTTTTGAAATCGATTTTATTGGTATAGCTTACATATAATAAAACATACTTGTTTTATGTATACAGTTCTGTGAATTTTGACAAATATATAAACCAATGTTATTAATCTCAATCAAGAATATTATATTGGGGCCAGGAGTGGTGGCTCACACCTGTAATCCCAGCACTTTGGGACGCCGAGGTGGGCAGATCACTTGAGGGCAGGAGTTCGAGACCAGCCTGGCCAACATGGTAAAACGCCATCTCTACTATAAATATGAAAACTCGCTGCGCGTGGTGGAAGATGCCTGTAATCCCTGCTACTCGGAAGGCTGAGGCATGAAAATCGCTTGAGTCTGGGAGGCAGAGGTTGCAGTGAGCTGAGACTGTGCCACTGCACACAAGCCTGGGCAACAGAATGAGACTCCATCTTAAAAAAAGAAAATATTATATTGGCATCTCCTCCAGAATCTTCCCTTGTGTTCCCCATTTTAAAAACTGATGTTAAAAATATTATATATTCACAGGATATTATAAAAAATAATATAGAGGCCCCGTGTATAGAATCCTCCATGTATAGAAGTCATGTAGAAGTCCTTCACCCTGTTTTCTCAATTTCCAATGGGGAAGACCCATAGATCCATAGATTTTATTCCCTTATGCCCTTTGCAGTCAGTTTTTGCCTACCTTCCGCTCTCTGTAACAACTGAACTGTTTTCTCTCACTATAAATTAGTCCGTTCCAAAATTTTTTAGTCCATCCCAAAACTTTCTATATGAATGAAATCATGCAATATTTTATCTTTTGTGTCTGACTTCTTTTGCTCAACATTCTGTGTTTGAGATTCATCAGTATTAATGCATGCATTAGTAGTTTCTTTTAATTTCTATGTAACACCCCAGTGCTTGATTATACCACAGTTTGCTTATTCATTCACCTTTCGATGGACATTTGGGTTGTTTCCAATTTTTGGCTATTTGTAAGTAAAGTTGCTGTGAAGATTCATCTACGAGATTTTTTTTTTTGTGGACTTGTTTTCATTTCTGTCATGTAAATAAGGGTGGAATTGTTGGGTCACTTGGCTATTGAAGGTATGACTTTCTAAGATATTGACAAATTGTTTTCCTAAGAGGACGAACCATTATGCCTGCTAAACAGTATATTTGAGTTCCTGTTTCTCTACAACCTTGCCAACACTTGATACTTTCAGTCTTTTTACTTTTTGTTATTCAAGTAGTTACTTAGTGGGATCTCATTGTGATTTTATTATTTTTCCTCTAATGACTAATGATGTCTAACATCTTTTTATATGCTTAATAGTCACATATATTCCATTGTGAACTGTCTGTTCAAACCTTGTGCTGATTTTTTTGGGGGGTGGCTTCATGTGGCATGTGGGTGTCTTCATTCAGTAAATACTTGATGAATGATTGAATGACCTAAGATTGGTTTGAATATATGTATTTTTCCTTTCGGTGACTTGAAACAGTAGATAGAATACCAAATAAAATAGCTCAAATTGGGTTTTATTATCTATTTCAAAATGAGCAGCTGTAGCTGGAATCTTATATTGAATGTGATATTAAAGTAAAGATCAGTAGTTTCCTGCCCTAGGTAGGAAATACCATCATCTTAACCATCACTGTCATCCTCATGATTTACTCTTTTTGACCATAGGGAAGTTACCATTTGAAGGCATGAGTTTTGTAGCTCACGTGACTCCTGGGTTGCTGCATTGTTTCTCTAAGGCTAAAAATGCTCTTACCTAATTTGTATCTTGTCTAAAAATGGAAAGACAGTCTCAGCCTAGTTATTTTTAGCTGTCATTGAAGCATCTTTCTCCATTAAGAGTGAATGCTAGTTAGGTTGATCTACAAGCCTTCTGTTGATCCTGTAGACTGTAATTTGTGATTATGATTTTTTCAAATGTATCTCTTTTCTATGACACATTTTTGTGATAATATAATATTTTTAGCTTTTCTTTTGTTCTCTTAAGTGTAGAGAATTGCAAAGAAATAAACACAGACTCACTTAGATAACTATGCTTAACAATAACAACAACAACAACAACCAAAAAGCAACATACATTTAGTGTTTGAAAAGCAACACAGGATAGGGAGATGTCTATGTCTATGTCTCTCTCTCTGTCTGTGTGATGAAGAGTGAAGTCTACTTATTTATCCCCAGCTCAAGTCCTTTTTTGTACATGAAACTGTTGTTAAAACTTTCATATGATTCCTCGTATTACCCAGTCTCTCCTTTTCCAAATTCATTTTTACAGAAAAGGAATCAGACATTATGCACAGTTCCACACATTTTCTCCCAATGTCAACCCATGAAAATCTAGCTTATGCAAAGTAGTTGTTATATGGATGAATTGTGCTTTAATTGCTCCCTTTTGGTTGTTTCCAGGTCTTTGTTTTTATTTATTTACCGTCATAAAAAAAGCTATAGTAGGGCCAGATGCAGTGGCTCACACCTGTAATCCCAACACTTTGGGAGGCCGAGGCGGGCGGATCACTTGAGGCCGGGAGTTTGAGACCAGCCTGTTCTACATGGTTCTGAAGCCCTGTCTTTACTAAAAATATATAAATTAGCTAGGTGTAGTGGTGGGTGCCTGTAACCGCAGCTACTCGGGAAGCTGAGGCAGGAGAATCGCTTGAATCTGTGAGGCGGAGGTTACCGTGAGCTGAGATCGCGCCATCGCACTCCAGCCTGGGTGACAGAATAAGACTCCGTTTCAAAAAATAAAAATTAAAAAAATAAAAAAAGCTGTAGTAAATTCATGGAAATTTGAAGAGATTACAAGTATACCTGTAGAGTAAATTCCTACCATTCGAATCCCTGGTCAAAGAACATTTTATGATTTGACAGTTATTGCTGGATTGTCTTCTTTAAGGTTTCAGTAATTTATGCTTCTAGTAATAGTGTCTGCAAGTGTCTATGGCACATATTTAAATGTAATAGCCTACATTAAACACTTTGATATTTTGGCCTTCTAGTATTATGTGAGATAGGATCTCTAAATTAATGCATTGCCAGTGCTGTTTTATCTTTATGACATTCTGGCTTGACTTTACCCCTGCAGAGGAAAACCTAAAGTACATCCTCCTAATGACTAGGGGTGGCAGGCTAGAACTGCATCCTGTGGCTTTCTTGCAATCAGTTCTTGGCTACTTCTTTTCTAGGAGGCCCTGTGTTGATGTGGTATGTCTATTTTATGTATTTCCTGCAGGAGGAAGGCTGAACAAGGACCTGCGACATTTTCTCAATCAGCGATTCCAGAAGGGGTCTCCTGATCATGAGCTCCAGCAGACCATAAGGGATAACCTTTACCGCCATGCTGTGCCTTGTAAGTAGTTGGACTTTGGCATCTCACTGCTGTGTGTGTGTGTGTGTGTGTGTGAAAAGTCCAGGGGAGAAAGGAGATCTCAACAACTGGTTCTGGAACACCTGGTGGTTGGCCTACTGAGTGACTCCTTAACTCAAGCAAATCATAATTCAATAACAGTGTCGTGGTGTGCCTGGGTTTCAGTCATGGCTCTGCAATGTGGGGCAAATTATCTACCCTTTGTAAGGCCCACTTTTCACATTAGTGGAAAGGACGTGTTAGTAATACTAGCTTCATGGAACTGCTATGAGGAGTCAATGAGATCAGGCACAGAAGGCATTTTCTAAGGTAATGGTGTGCTGTGAGCCTCCATAAATGTTAACATTTGCTGTTATTAATGGAGTAGACCTGGCCAGCGGCCTTCGGACTGACCTTTGTGGAGACCCCCAGTGAAGGGAATACCCCAGTGGGCTCTGTCTTCCTTCCCAGGGTTCTCCTTTTGGCCAACTTCATCAGATTCATAAGTCAGGATTTTATGTATAATTTTGTTCAAAGAAATGATTTCCACAGATAAAAAATCCAAACCCCCAAACCATTAGATTACACCAAATCTGAAAAAACAAGACACAGAACATAGGAATGCTGAAAGCAGAGTGTCTTTAAAGAAAGGCAGCCTGTCTGTCTATGGTTGGATAAATTCGCAGCTCCGTTGTAGTGAAGTATCACTGTACTGTGGCACACTGTGTTCCTGGTTGTTTAATTTCTTTTAAAATACAAGGGAAGAATGATTCTGGTTTTATTACTTAGAATTTATTACTTAGAATTTTCCTTTCTCCTCTCTATCACCCAGTCCTTTATTTTCCTAGACATACCATTTTTTGAACCAGCAAAAGAAAGGAAGAATAATTTAATGTTCCAGGTATCGTGTTTATTTCTATGATTTGTTTGCTATAAATGGTTTTCTTTTAAAAAAAAAACTTGCAAATGATATGCTAGAGTGCTAATGTTTTCTGATAAACATTAGCTAATTCTTTCTGTAAAAGAATAAGCAGAACTAATCTCAGGCATTCTGTAGATTTTAAAGGACTTAGACTATAGTTCTAGATGATAACCTCCACAGATCAGATTCTAGAATAGCCCCTGGCTTTCCATTTTACTCATTAATAAAACAGAGGCTATGAGAGGAGAAGAGGTTTGCTGCAAGTAACTTGGGACAGGGCCCCAAGGTTGCCTCTGTCCATGGAGTGGCTAAGCTGCATTTGACGGAGAGGAGGTTGTGATGATGTGTTAATGTGAACTTGTGGTCCTCAGTTCTTTTAGTCTTTTAGCATTGAAGTTATAAACTGTAGTCCTAGTAATAACCTCGTAGTAATTTCTTATATTTTGGCTTAATAATAATTAATTCCTAATGCTAATCACATAGGTAGGGCAGGGATTATCATTCTATTTTTACAAATCAAGAAACTGAGGCAATGAGGAAGCCAATAAAATTAAAGCCATAGGTGATCAGGGCTTCGAGTCTCCTGAGTTCACCATTGCCCTGCTTCTTCTGCACTGTCAGGCATTCCTCCTATAGTAACCCTTTGAAGTTGGGGGTCTTTAACACCCATTTTACGGATGAAGAAACAAAGTCACGGGGAGGGTCAGTAAGTGGCAGATCTGGTCTTTTTCACTCTTATGTCATCTAGGGCTGTTTTCATAGGTGCCCTGTAGCTGCCTCTGAAGTTATAGTACAGCAGGTTGAATACAATTTTGCAGAAATCAGTAATTGCAGAATCATGATTGTTCTCTGTGTAATTTTTCCCCTACTTAGATTCCAATTTAAGAAATGGGGATGAAGCAAATGAGCACACCATTTCTTGATGCATCTGTGGTGTTACCATGGTTACATTTTGGCATGCTCTCCCATTTATTTTTTCCACTGATTTATTGGACCTGACTGTGA
The DNA here is from genome assembly GCF_000001405.40 of Homo sapiens. NCBI lineage: Eukaryota > Metazoa > Chordata > Mammalia > Primates > Hominidae > Homo > Homo sapiens. The sequence continues at coordinate 65,620,047 of NC_000003.12, read as the reverse complement.
GCTAAATGGCTTGATTTTAAGCTTACCACTATGTAGGAATTGGGGCAAAAACGAACTCTGTCTTTTAAAAACAGTGGAAAAATCATGTTTGTTTTTGCTGGTATAAAGCCCCTTGGCATTGATGTTTTATGGCTGTGAAACCAGTAAATCAGGAATTTGGAAAGCAGAAATGGTGTTCCTACTAAAAGAGAAAACAGGTAACAATTCATTTTACACTTTCTTCATAAAATGGGAAGGAAATTCAGAAGAGGTCTGTTTTGGAGTCTGGTGGAGCGTGTGTGCCTTTGAACATGAGTAGACTGGGGCTTACTTGGGATTCTTTCGACTTATGTTACTCTGGCCACATTTGTGTTTATTTTGATTCTATGGCCCATGTGACTGAGAAAGCCAAGCTCTCCACCAGCCTGTTGTGCTAATGGATTAGGAAGCCGTGGATTTGGGGAATGCATTCTCTTGATGATGATGTAACTGTGCTGCAGGGAAATGGGCTCGTGTAATCTGTATATTCCAGAACTTCCTGCCACTGACATTTCATTGACTTCGGTATTTTGAACAGAGGTGACCTCATGAACAGGTGCTTGTGGTGGGGGTAGACATCTTTCCCTGTGCATTTTAGGAGGCTCATGGGTCATTGGAAATGAAGAAATAAAGCTCCTTCATTCTCAGGTTATTTTTAGCATTGCCATAATGTAGTGGAGCTGTATGTGCATCATAGCACACTTTACCACTTACGGCTCAGTTTATCTTAATTCTCTGGCAAAGGAAATGCAGGTAATAGCACCCCTGTTTTACTGGCCAAAAGATGAAGCAACAAAATTGAACTTTCTCAAAATTGTACCATTTGAAATGCCATATTACTCATTCCTCATCTGCTGCTATTTTACTTTTTAAAATTTGTAACGGCGTTGTTGAAATATAATTCACATACCATACAACTTACCTGTTTAAAGTGTTCATCCAGTGCTATTTTTGTTACAGTTATTATTATTCTCCACTCCCCTTTTATCTTCCCTTTATTCAAGAACTTTTATTATTTCTACAGTAAGAAGAAAGGGCATGTTAGTTGAAATTTAATTATATTTACCATTCAAAATACCACTAGAAAAACCCCAACAGAAAAGAGATGCAGATGCAGAATGAGTTCAGGGGCCTGTTGTGAAGTCTGAGGGCTACTCTGCTGGCTGTGTGGCCTGGCACAAGTCACATAACCTCTCTGAATCTCGTTGACCCTTCAGTAAAATGGAAATAGTAGTACTGACTCAACCACTGTCTTATCAGATACACATAGCAATCCTATAAGGTGAGTCTTATTAAAGGAAACAGAGGCTCAAGAGAGGTTAATAGTTTGCTTAAGGTCACACAGCAAGTAGCATTGTCAGGGTTAAACCAATTCTTTGTAACTCTCAAGTTGGGTGTTATTAGTAATAGCCTGATTAGAGTAATATACAAACAGACTATTGAGAGTAAAAGAAAAAAAAAAGTTTCTGATGGCTGAATTTAGAGCTCTAGTTGCTTAAAATAATGACGTTTTATCTGGTGGGTTTGGAAGCAATGGAAGGCACAATACCTTAAAAATAAGTATATTCTCTCTGATGTTCAAGTAATTCACTGGTTGTACAATATAATTTTAATAATGATTATTCAGATTCAAAAAAATCATTACATGATTTTCTTAGCATATCTAAGTTTATCTTATTTTCCATTAGATCTTTTCTTTGTGTACCTATGGAAAACCTTTGCAATGCTTGTAAACATGCCTACTTCTCTCATTCCTCAGAACCATCTGGCTAATATTTCTCTTTCTCCTCCTCCAGTTTTGGTCACATTCCCAACCCCTCCCACTCTGCGCTTCAACCCTACAAACTTCATATTCCAAACACACTTTGTGTCTTCTTATAAATGAGTACATATTATTTTTTCCTATTTCGCTGCCTATCTATCTGACCAGTTCACAGTCTTCTTTTTAAGTTTTAGCCAGATGCCACTTCCTCCACGAAGTCCTCCGTTGCTTCTGCAGATTGGGCCTGTTGCCCTCTCCCCCTACTCCCCAAGCTGCACTCCGTGACCTCCTTCATGCCTGTTTTGTGCCTGATTGTAGTGCCTGCTGCATGCCTGCCTGTCCTAATTAGATTCTAACTTTCATGAGTCAGGCAGCGTATCTAACTGAGTGACCAGGCCACTCCTAGCTTAGTGCCTGGACTATAGGATAAGTATTTGTTGAACGCATGAACAAATGAAGAAATGGAAAAAGATATTCTTTCTTTTTCTTCTTTTATTTTTTTCTTCCTTACTTAACATTTGAGAAAAACAGCAGAATTGCTTTGACCATAACGCTTTCAGAATATAAGGAAGGTCAGAGTCTTGAGCCCCAAAAAGGGTCATAGATGACTGATAAGGACTTCACTAATTACTTGGCTGGTACTCGAAGCACACAAGAAAAATGTCAAAGCTCCCATGAGCTTGGAGCTGGAGTGCCCGTTCACAGCTCCTCTTAATTGTAGTCTAGATATCACCGTACCTCCTGCATTGATAGCCTTCTTGTTTTATGACTTCTTGTCCTAGCTGATGTGACAACATCTGAGATTCTTGCTTTGGAATGGCCGCTTTTCCCATGAAGATAAATGCATTACCTGACAGGGCTTGTCATTTACTATACTGCTGCTGTCAAAACGAGATACAACTCATCCAGTAGTTCTGGTTCTCTGGAATGCTGTACAATGCCCCTCCCATTCCTCCTCACTTTTCTGGACTCAACTGTCATCTTTCTTTTCAAGCAAAGGTCACCTAAAAGAGGAAAGGATAAGTCAGTTTTGTTCTGCAGCTTAACACTTTGTTCATCAAGGCTCTTCCCAATACTGAGACCATTGTAACCAGTCTAAGAGGTATTGATCATTGACTTAAAGGACTTTACGGAGGGATTACATGTGTTTGATCTACAAGGCAATTTAAATTTGATGTGGTAAACATAGGTGATACTGGTCTTTATAAGATAGCCATATTCAAAAGGGCATTTTAGCATCTGCTATCATTGCCTATTATTTTAAATGGGACCATAAATTACCATTAGTTCTATTTGAACTTACAGTTTTCTCTTAAACATAGTTGTTTCCAGGATGGCTTGCCTAAAATCAACCACTTTTCCTGTGATCTTTGACAATTAGAGCTGATAACATGAACTAGACCTATTTGTCAGCAAGTGTCCAGGATAAAGAACTGGATGTTGGAAAATAGTTTGTCTCCTGGAATGTGCATACCTGTGTTCAGGTTGTGTTGGACACTGGTGGAATGCTTCCGGTCATAACTCATGAACTTGAGAGTTCTGCAAGCATCATAGGACTGATCAGATAAAGAGATAAAGGTCACTGGAAACTTTCTCTCTATTGCTGTTTCTCTGCCCTTGTCCTCTATCTAAACTAAGGGCTGTCTAAAAGGATTGCTTTAGCCTTTACAAAGCCTAGCCTGTGGCAAAACTATGACTAGTAACAATAGCAATAGCTCTCCAGCTTTTGGGTACCTACTGTGTACCGGATCCTCTGTCATGATATCTCTCTCTATCCCTTTCTCTTTCTCTATCATGTCATCTCTAACTTTGGCTTCATCTAAAGTACAACTCTTAAGGATCTGAACGCTTCGACTCTATCTCTTTTCTATTTAACCACAGATGTTTGTTGCGTATAATGTAAACAACATTTATCTTGATCAGCTTTCTACTCTTTTTCTCCCCTTCTCTTCTACCCATCATGACTGTATTTTCCCATGTGCCCTTGGCTTGTCTGTGATACGGGGACTCCTCCCACCTACTGACCCACCCCTTGCCTGCTTACACCTGTCCTTCTCCATTGAAACGTATTTGCTATGCATCGGTTTGCTAGTGGGCTTCCTTTAAGAAGACAAGCATTAGAACAAAGAAGTGAATGTTTCTTATTGTGGTATGAGGTTCCCTTGTCCATCATATATTTGTGACTTTAAATGTGGTTCTGTCCAAATTATCCTGTGTAAGAGGATGTTCCAACAGAGGACTTTCATGGCTAGCAACGAATTCTTAGGCTTTTGATTTGTTTTTGTACTCCTCATAATGTTTAGCACAAACTGTGTACATAGAAATCACTTTAAACACAAGATTGCCCATGTCAAGGGCGTTACTGTGTCAAGGATATCACTGCACTGCTTGTACGTGGTTTCCTATTTCACCATGTATAAGGTGAGCTATGATTTATGTTTCGCGAAGTAAGGTAATAGTCCAGGCAAGGAGTTTTGTGCCAAATTAAAAAATCATGGGATTAGATAACAATACTTTTTGTTTAGATGTGATTTGGAGCTTAGAGTATGGGCTCAGATAAGTGTAAACACATTTTTATCCATGGGACTCTCCGATGGAGCACTGGAAGGTGGTGAGGGAAGCGGGAAGGTTCTTTGTTATTCTGGAGTTTTATTCATTGAGGAACTTGGAGCATCCCTGGAACCCTCCTCATAAATGCCAGCAGCATCCCCCATATTTGTGACAACTCAGCAGAAAACCACTTTGCATTTCTACAGTGCCCCTTCAGGAGCATTGAAGTGTGGAATCTATATTTACCTCTTGCTAGGGGAGAAGTGAGTTTTCCTGTTAGTGAGTTTATGAGAAGGACCTGGACATTCCTGACCGTGACAATTCCTCTTCTCTTGGGGACTCTGTCTGATCCCAGGGAAGCGTGCATTCACTGTCCATCCCTGCTGGAAATCTTTGGGTGGGTCTCACGGGGAAGACAGTGGTTTTGAGATTTGCTGGGGAATGGGTTTGGTAAGTGTAATTTTGGGGGTGATTTATTAACAGTCCCCTTGTTAACAAAGATCTAAAGCCATTTTCTCCATTGTAGCTTTTGTCAGCAATAAAACTGACATTGTGATGGGTGGATTATGCCATTTATTACAAGGCTTTGTTTATGCTAGTCCATGTCAGTTACTTCTATTGATACTCCACCTTACTTACCTTTTTCTTGCTTGGTTTTTCTCTTTCCTTCTTTCTTTCTTTCTTTTTTTTTTTTTGGAGACACAGTCTCACTCTGTCTCCCAGGCTGGGGTACAGTGGCATGATCATAGCTCAGTGCAGCATCCAACTCCTGGGCTCAAGTGATCCTCCCACCTCAGCCTCCAGAGTAGCTGGGACTACAGACACATGCCACCATGCCTGGGTCTTTTTTATTTCTGTTTTTGATCTTATGTATTTTATCAGTCCTTCTCCTTACAGCTTATCTAGAGCCATTTTTTTTAAAGCTTTTAGATCGGCTCTGAAATTCTAAATTCTGCACTAGACAGGGCAGCTGGCATTCATCACTCTTTGTCAGTAAAGAGCCTACGTACTTTACAAATATTGTTTGGTTAGTTGTACCATGATGCTAGTGGTAGTTATTACTGTCATTACATATGAGGTAAAGGGGGAGCAGAGAGGCTGAGTAACTTATCTGATACCATGCTTTCTAATTTAAAAATTGATACCTTTTTTTAAAAAAACCAAGTTGTGTTTATTGAGTATGCCCAATGTGTCAGGAACTCTGTTAAACACATTACTTACATTATTTCCTTTTATCCTCTTAATCTTTTGAAGTATAAGCTATTATTATATCCATTTTCCAATGAAGAAAATTAGATTTATAGAGGCTCAAGTGCATACACTTACAGAGCTGAGTTTGATTTCAGTCTGATAGACCCCAAAGTTATTATCTTAAACCACTGCATTTTACAGCCATTTGTACTATTAGTTTACTTTAGCACAATGGCGTATGTAATGGAAAAGAGAACCACTGGAAAGGCCCTTCCAGCACCTTCAGGCCACCTTTCAGGGCCCATTCAGCATAGTACACTTGGACTCATGCCCTGCCCCTGTGTGTCATTAGCGCTTGTCTTGTTGAGTCTAGAACATTCAGATGTGATGGGCTTTCAGGTGTGGTGGACCTGAGAGGCTGGCAGGTTCTACCACTTACCAGTTTTGTTGGCTTGGGCAGGTTACTCATGCTTCCTGTGACTCAGTTTCCTCATTATCTTTACTGATGTTTAGAAGAAGTATGGACGCACCCAGCCATGAGCTTGATACTTTGTAGGCCCTCTGTTAAGACTGATCCTTCTTCCTTACCCCTTTCCCTTCCCTTTCTAGCATGACTTCCCAAACACTCTTTTCAGTTTCTCTTTAGGCTTTGAGGCCTTATTTATATGAAGATTCTTTTTTTTCTTTAAACAAGCTAAGTTTTAAAAAACTGACTTTCCGGCATTTGTTGAGTAACAACCCAACACTAGATGCCAGGCAAGAATATAGTGAAGATTAATAATTGGATGATTTAGCCAATAATAGGCATGCTTGAAACAGCACATTTTTTGCCTTTTCCCAGCATCAGCTAATTCCCCAATGTTCTGTTTCTTTGTATTTCTTATTATACGTTGTTAACCCTAATTGCCATTGTATAGTTGCTGAGTGGATAGAGTCCTATTGGAGAAAAAATGGGAAAAAAATTACAAACGTAAAAGCTCATAACACTGGACTTGATTTATATGTGTCTGTTAATAGATTCAAATAAACATGGTTTGGCTGGTGTTCTTTATTGTAAGGTTCTCAGGGATGTAGAAAAGGGAAAGCCATGGGAGTTTTAGATTAAATTTAATTAGAGTTGTGGTAATTTATAATCTTCTTGTGAAAACATGTTAGATCAGACCTCACCACTTAATAATAACATCTGTCATTAATTGAGCACTTACTGTATGCACCAGGCACTGTGCTAAGTGATTTACAAGCTGTGTTAGCCATCTCTGAACCCTGTAGGGCATAGTGTTATCAGTCCTGTATTCTGTATTCTGTAGTATGAGTGCAGCATTTGAGGTGTGGAGAGCTTAGGTAGTGGCATCTCCAGGGAGGCACAGTTAAATAATGATGGAACTCAGATTCAAACCTAGTTCTAACCACCTCCACAGTCCAAGCTCTTGGTTTATTTTTCTGCCTGCAATCACCTTAAAGACCATTTTTAAAAATTAACATATTAAATTTTAAAAAAGAGTCTCCTCCTAATAACATATGGATTAGTATTTGGCTGAGTGTAGGATACTAATATATCTATTTGGCAGTCATGTTAATTTATTTAATTGCTTTATAATTTTAGCTGACATTTTCCATCAAGATTTGTTGCAATTATAAAGCAATTTCCATGACGATTTATGAAGGCACATGAAAGTTTTCACAGTATCCTTACCATGTATTATTTATTTTGAGGAAAGGATATTTTAGTTTCCCAAGAATCATTTGAGTCAAGAGAATGAGAAATAATATATTTTAAAAAATTTCCTTGTATCAAATGTGTTCAATAAACGTAAGTAAAATTTCTGGCTTCTATAGTGGATTGTGTGTATTTCTTCTGTGGTCCAAGTAAGGAAATTTCACCAATTGTGTTCTGATTGCCCTACCTAGTTTGTGTTGGGGAATGAGCTGCCCAAAATTTAAACAAGAAAACGTCAATTGTGTTATTTTCACTACAATATGAATAAAGTAGACTTTTAAAATGATCAATGACATATTTTTTTATTGCATTTAAAATTAACCAATAACACATCATTATTTTTAGGAAATACATGCTAATGTATTTAGGGGTAAATGGCCATGGTGAATGATGCAACTTATGCTCAAATGGCTACAAAACATTAAAAATGGTTACAAATATATTATGTGTGGGAGGAGGGAGAGAGAGGACAAATGACAAGCTGGTAGGTTAAAACGTTAGTAACCAGCAAGCCTGAGTAAAGTGTGTATGGTGTTATTTGTACTATTCTTATTCTTGCACTGTTCTGTAAATTTGATATTTTCTATAAAAGGAAAATCAACCTATACCAAAAAATAAAAAATAATCAAACAATTATAGTTTGGGAGAAAGGGGATTATATGTGAATGTTATGTTTTTGTCTCTCTTCCCCCTTACTTATATCAGTGTTTTTAGTCTAGAATTGAGATTTTGTTACTATGTTGATAGATCGTGTTCATTAAAGTATAGAGAGACTAGCCTGAAAGATATTGTGCACATATTAAAACAAGAATCTAGCACTTACAGAATACCAAGTTTATGCTAAGTGTTTTCATTATAGTTTCCTATTGAATACTTGTAGAAATCTTATAAAGGAAGTAATTACTATTAGTATCTTCACTGATGAGGAAACTGAGGCTAATAAAGTTAAGTGGCTTGGCTTACAATTATCGAATAGGACTGCAGCTCAGTCAGGTTGGTTACAAGAACCCCCACTAATAACCACCACTGTTTCTTTCCTCCGACTATATATGTGTATATATACTATGTATGTATACACATACAGTATATAAACATATACTATATACTGTATATACACATGTATGACACTATATATAGTATACTATAATAGTATAGTATATATAATACTAGTATATATATATACTGTATATACTAGTATAGTATATATATACTGTATATACTAGTATAGTATATATAGTGTCATATATGTGTATATACAGTATATAGTATATATAGAGTATTCTATCTGCTGTATGTACATATATAGTATATGTGTGTGTATACATGTGTGTATGTATAGTATATATACAGTATAAACAGTATACTATATATACTGTATATACAGTATACATACATACTATATATGTATATACAGTATACAGTGTTCTGTATATATGTATATATACTGTATATAGTATACTCTATATAGTATATGTATAGTATATAGTGTACATATATGTACATATAGTATATACACATAGTATACTATACTATTTATAGTATATATACTATATATGTATATAGTATATATAGTATATACTATAGTATATAGTACTACACGTGTGTATACACACATATATACCATATGTGTATATACAGCATAGATGGAATACTGTATATATACTATATACTATTTATACTATATATTATATACGTATATAATATACTATATATTATATATGTATATAGTACATATACTATACACTATATGTATGTATATATGTATATAGTATATATACTATATACACACTATATGTATGTATATATGTATATAGTATATATACTATCTACTATATAGTGTCTATATACTATATAGTATATACTATCTACTATATATACTATCTACTATATAGTGTCTATATACTATATAGTATATACTATCTACTATATTACTATCTACTATATAGTGTATATGTACTATATAGTATATACTATCTACTGTATATATACTATATACTATATATACCTATATATACTATATATACTATATACAGTATATATATATGCTATATATATACTGTATATATACTATATACTATATTTGTACCTAAATGAACCTGACGTTTTTCTCCTTTCCCGTCTCATAGGATAAGATTACAAACAGACCTTATAGAATTATTGGAGTTGCAGTTTCTGTATTCTTAGATTTCATCAATTGACTTGAGGGATACATATTCCTTATTTCCATCTCGAAATGGCTTTACACAGTCTCAAGTTCACTTAATTAGTGACTTGGGAAAAAAAAAGATATATCTGTTTCAGTGGAATTTTGAAAAAAAATAGCTGCCTGAGTTGTAGGTAAAGTGTTCTTTAAATGTATAATATGACTTGGAAATAAGACATCATGTGAAATCATCAGGTGGACTGAAATTCTGTTCGAATTCTATCAGTGTTGCCTGCCTGACCCTAGCTAATTCTGGGAATCTAGATGGCTTTTTCCCCAGTGGATAGAAGTTTGTGGCTAATACAGGTTTCATTAACTTTTTTGTTTGATGTTCAATTCTAGTTCTCCCAGAGGCGAGCTATTGAAAGGTGGGCATTCAGTGTCTTGCATTGCTTCAGAATTAGATACCCCATTCCAATCCACTTGAGTCAAGGATGCTGTAGGGGAATTTTGTAACTTCTTAGCTTACTGTTGAGTGGATCATTTATAAATCAAGAAACAGTTAGATATCTAAGGAACATGGAGTAGGTAAAAAAAAAATGTTGTTGATATAATAATTGCTGTTTTGTTCTGAATTTGTATTATATACTTAAGGGTCTGGCCTGTCCGGGCACATCAAAGTTTCTTTCTCTTATTCCAGATTCTGGCAGTAGAATGCAACGATTGTGAACAATTGCTTGTGCTAGTCATATGCGGGTTCTAACAGAGACCCTTTAAAAAAACTGAAGGAAGCAGGGCGTGATGGCTCAAGCCTATAATCCCAACACTTTGGGAAGCCAAGATGAGCAGATCATTTGAGCCCAGGAGTTTGAGACCAGCCTGGGCAACATTGGGAGACCCCATCTCTACAAAAAATTACCCAGGTATGGTGGTGCACACCTGCAGTTCTAGCAATTCAATAGGCTGAGGTGGGAGGATCACCTGAGTCTAGGAGGTCGAGGCTGCAGTGAACTATGAGCATGCCACTGCACTTCAGGGTGGGCAACAGAGCCAGACCTTTTCTCAAAAAAAAACAAAAACAAAAAACAAAAAAAACCCGGTGGCTCGTACCTGTAATCCTAGCACTTTGGGAGGCTGAGGCAGGTGGATTGCTTGAGGTCGGGAGTTCAAGACAAGCCTGACCAACATGGTAAAACCCCATCTCTCCTAAAAATACAAAAAATTAATTGGGCATGGTGGCACGTACCTGTAGTCCCAGCTAGTTGGGAGGCTGAGGCAGGAGAACTGCTTGAACCTGGGAGGCAGAGGTTGCAGTGAGTCAACATCAGGCCACTGCATTCCAGCGTGGGTGACAGAGCAAGACTCCATCTCAAAAAAAAAACAAAAAAAAGAGAGAGAGAGAGATAGAGATGAAATAAATATAGCAAGTTATAAAAATCTTAACTGCATGGTTTGGTAAATTTTTACGCACACACATGCACCACGCACACTCATCCATATAACCATTTCCCAGGTCAATATTTTGAACACTGAGGTTTTCAGCAGCTCCCTTGTGTCTCCTCTTATTGAACGCTTCCCTTCCTTCCCAAAAGTAACCACGATTCTGATGCTATCACCCTGGATTATTTTTGCCTGTCTTTGAATTTCATATAAATGGAATGATAAAGTATGTATTCTTCTGCTGTAACTTTGTTTGCTAACATTACTCTCTGAGATTCATCCATGTAGTTTGAATGTAGCAGTAGTTTGATTTTTTTAATTGCTGTGTAGTCTTTGATTGTATGAATATACCATGATCTGCTTACCCATTCTTCTGTTGATTTGTTTCCAGTTTTTAGCTACTGTTGTGAGCATTCTTATACAATGGACATATGTGCACAATTCTAGGAGTAGAATTGCTGGATTACAGTGTCGTCATATGTTCTGCTGTAATAAATATTGCCAAATAGTTTCCAAAGTAGTTATACCAATTTGCACTCACACCTACACCGTGTAAGAGTTCCAGTTGCTTCTCATCCTCACCAACATTTGGTATTATGAGTCTTTTAAATTTTTGCATATCTTGGTGGATGTGCAGTGGTATCTCATTGTGATCTTAATTTGCATTTTTCTGATGTAGAATGATACTGAACACTTTTTCAAATGCTCATTGTCTATTTGGATATCCTCTTTCATGAAGTTTTTATTCAAGTCTTTTTCCATTTGTCCGTTTTTTGTTTTTGTTTTTTTTTGAGATGGAGTTTCACTCTTGTTGCCCAGGCTGGAGTGCAATGGCGCAATCTCGGCTTACTGCAACCTTTGCCTCCTGGCTGATTCTCCTGCCTTAGCCTCCCTAGTAGCTGGGATTACAGGCACCTGCCACCATGCCTGGCTAATTTTGTATTTTTAGTACAGACTGGGTTTCACCATGTTAGCCAGGTTGGTCTCAAACTCCTGACCTCAGGTGATCCGCCTGTCTCACCCTCCCAAAGTGCTGGGATTGCAGGCATGAGCCACTCCACCCGGTCCCCGTTTGTCTTTTTAATCGGATTGTCATTTGCTTTCTGATTTGTAGAAAAAACTGGGTTTTAAATTTTGATTCTATTGCTTATTGGCTGTGCTTGCACTGGTTGTCTAACCTTTTTGAGCTGCTTCTATGGAATGGGGCTAATGATACCTGCTTTGTAGGTTGTGGTGAGAATCACACGAGGATTAAGTAGTATTAAAACATTTTTTTAAACCTATTCTTAAATTAGGTGAACAGTTCATTAAGTTATTCTGACATTTTTTTCTTCTCTTTTCTTATGTGCTATTCTCTTTTTTATAGTTGTAGTACAAAAGGAAAGACAGTGGCCGCATGCATAATACGCAGTAAGCCGAAACACCTGATTTGTTCAAAGGAACACTTGAGGTCATATCAATTCTCCTAAGAAATTTTTCTTGTGATGGGAACAAATGAGGACCAGAAGTGAGTTTCCAAAAAGAGAGAATAAGATAAAATATAGACATAGGACTCAATTAAAGAAATTTACTTGTCCAGGGTAGTAGTAGGGAGCACATAAGAATAGTCAGTGAGCTTTGTGTTTTATTTCCTCTCACTCCCTTGTCAGTTTCTCAGAGACTCAGTTTTTTTTCATTTGCAAAGCAAAGATAACAATGCCTATTTTAAAGGGTTGTTGTGAGGCCTAGAACAGTGCTTGGACTCCTGTAAGCACTTTATATAATGGGGGCTGCTGTGATGTGTAATGGTCATGATGGGAGTGAGGATGATGTTGAAGGTGATGAAGATACCACTTCTGTTAACAGAAGCATTGCCTGCCTTTACTGTTGCCTGTTGGAAAGTTGCTTCAGGGGCATATACAATAGCAGTTTCAGGGAGTGGTGTGACCTGTAGCAGGAAGGGGAAAGTCAGGAGAAAAGAATTTTCTTCTCTGCAAGAGACTGGGGTAGGTACCAGCTATTTGACAGGGAGGCACTATTCTTGGATGTCCATCTGCACACTAGATTCATGAGTGTTGGGGATTACCTGGGCATCCCAAACCATATTACAGTGAATTATGTTATTGTTATTTATTTAACATGTACATATATTTTCAAAATATATAGAAAATGTCAGAATCGGAAAAAAAATCATAGGGACTTAGGCAGTTATTGGAGCTTGCTTTAAAAACCCATATCAGTGTTGACCAGTATCTGGGTTTCAAGAGAATTGTCAGGAAAAGCAGTCTTAGGTCAGGAGTGGTGGCTCACACCCATAATCCCAGCACTCTGGGAGGCCAGGGTGGGTGGATTGATTGAGCTCAGGAGTTTGAGACCAGCCTAAGCAACATGGTGAAAACCCATCTCTACAAAAAATACAAAAATTAGCCGGGCTGGGTGCGGCGGCTCACACCTGTCATCCCAGCACTTTGGGAGGCTGAGGCGGGTGGATCACTTAAGGTCAGGAGTTCGAGACCTGCCTAGCCAACATGGTGAAACCCCATCTCTACTGAAAATACAAAAATTAGCCAGGCGTGGTTGTGGGTGCCTGTAATTCCAGCTACTCAGGAGGCCTAAGCAGGAGAGTCACTTGAGCCTGGGAGGTGGAGGTTGCAGTGAGCAAAGATCATGCCACTATACTCCAGTCTGGGTGACAGAGCAAGATTCGATCTCAAAAATAAACAAACAAATAAATAAATAAACATCCGGGTGTGGTGGCATACACCTGTAATCGCAGCTACTCTGGGGGCTAAGGTGGGAGGATTGCTTGAGCCTGGGAGGCACAGGTTGCAGTGAGCCAAGATTGTGCCACTGTACTCCTGCCTGGGTGACAGAGCAAGATCCTGTCTCAAAAAAATAAATAAATAAACAAAATAAAAAAATAAAGAAAGTAAAAGTAAAATAACCTTCAGGGCACTGAGAGGCACGGTGCAGTGGTTGCTGAGTAAACATAGGTTTTGGATGTGGAAAGATACGTGTTTGACTCATAGCCCTTCTGTCCTCTGGCTTTGTGATCTTGGATAAGTTCCTACCCGAGGTTTTGCAATTTATAAAATTGGGACAATAGTATTATCCCCATAGACTTGTAGGGAGAGTTAATTAACATAATACATGAAAAGCACCAAGAGAGGCTCTGGCACATAGTAGGTGCTCAAACTGCAAAAATATGTCCATGTATCTGATGAGTAGAAATGCACATTCTGTGCTAATTGAAATAATCATTTAGTAGGCAGAGTTGAATGGATGCAAAGGAGGAGGGAAGGGATGTTTTACATGTAACTACCCTGCACAAAGTAGGACTCGCCGGATCTCCTCTCTGGGTTGTGGGTAGAAGTGGACTTTCATTTCAGAGTTTGATTCTGTAATTCTTTCGTCAAAATATTTGATGTTTCCTAGAGCAGTTGCAATTGAGATATGTTTCCTATATAAGTAATCTACCATTGAACCTGAGTTGGACAATGTATACTTTACTAATATAAGGCACACTGATGGGCACACTTAAATAGTAAGTGTGATATTGTAGACTTATTTTTTCTCTCTCCTTCATTAACTCTTATCTGCTGAAAGCCCTTCAGCATGCTTTAAAAGTAGGTCAGACACTCTAGAAGGGTCTGGTTGGCCTACAAGGGCTGGTTTTTCTTTTATTGCCAACTGTTAGGCTCTCCATCATTGAGTTTGTCTGTCTGCAGGAAGAAGAGCACTTCTTACAGTTGTGCATGGCCTACAGGAAGCACAATTACTTTCATATCATACTCCCCAGCAAGTATCAAATCTATAATTTCTCCCCCCTTTATTTATTCACTGTGGCAGATTTTTTCAGGAACTCATTTGGCTGGTATGTGAGTGTAGTGTAAAGTTTCACAGGTGAAATTTTTCAAAGATGCACATGGTGAACATGATGCTGAGAGCCATAATTTGTGTTCTGAAGCCAGCAAGAGTCACAACACAAAATACAAAAGGATGATACCAGCACAGGTTCATTGTAAATTGTGCAATTTTAAGGATAAGTGGATGTGGTCTTGTAAAACAGGTCATTTATAGTGAGGTCTCGTCATGCAAATTGAAAGGGTCGTTATGACATCCCTTGTACAATAAATGTTTGAAGTTTCTGGAACTTTATCTTTGTTAGAGCTGTCGTAGAATGGTTCTTCTCTCATTAGCTATCTTAAGTTGCATATTTTCATGGCATGAGTCATTTTCAGGCATAACAACTGGAAGCTTGCTGCTTTTGTGTTTTCTTGGAAAGCCTGTAAAAGAGCCCATTTGAGTACATTCCAAGAAGATGGTCATGTTTTGCACCTTGGAGGGAAGTACTGCTAAATAGTAACACATTAAGGAAAATGTTCCACATCTGTTCTATTTTCACTTCTTGTTGAAATTTACAGTCATAGGAATTTTGTTTATTCCCCATTTGCTGTTTGATTTTCCAGTTGACTAATAAAAGCCAGAGACTTGTCAATAGTTTTTTTTTTTTTTAAATAAGCAGTTCACTTCTTCACACATTTGTGGCAATTCAAGTTAAAATCCAGTAGGAAAATAGCATTTCAAGTTGGTGTTTTTGGTTTCTTTTTTCTTATATGATGGAAATCAAAGGTTCTTATAAGGAAAACCCCCATCTCTATGAATATATAAATAACTGTGAAGTGATTTATTATTTGTCTCTGACATTATATGAAAGTCATCGTATTCCACAAGCCAGGAAAAACATCCACAGTAGCAACTCTGATATCGTTTCTCTGTTATTATTTTTAGGCCCTTGGCCAATTTAAAAAGCATCAGATAAATTGAGGCACTTTTGTTTTGCTTGCCTTTCTCCAGCAGTATTTGCTATTTCTTAAATAATCATTATATATTAATATCAATATATAACTAAACATCATTATCCAGGCACAACTTTGCTGTAGAATCCAACATAGCTTCAAATGTTATCATTGGAAGAGTGTTTTTCATTTTTATTAGTGTCTTCTTTGTCATATAACACCAATATTTCTTGATCCTCAGATACTTTTTTTTTTTGCATTTGGATGTTTTTAAACATAAATGTGCATATTTAATGCCGTAGTTTTCTTTTCCCCTGAAAAGCCATAAATTGAAAGTTGAATCTTATAATTAATTACATCTTAGAACTAAGGAAATTTTGATATTGTGAAAATTACAAAGTGCTATAATGTGAATGTATCACCCAAAATTCACGTGTTGAAACATAATGGCCAATATGTAGTAAGAGATGGGGCCTTTCCGAGGTGATTCAGTCATGAGGGTGGAACCTTCATGGATGGGAATAGGATCCTTTTAAACAGACTTGAGAGAGTGGGTTTCCTTTCTTCCAGTCTTCTGTCATGTGAGGACCCATCATTACCCTTCTGGGGGATGCTGTAACAGGGCGCCATCTTGGAAGGAGAGACCAGGCCCTCAAAAGACAAACTTGCCAGCACTTGGATCTTGGAATTCCCTGCCTCCAGAACTATGATACATTTCTGTTCTTTATAAACGACTGTCTCAGGTATTTTCTTATAGCAACACAAAGAAAGACAAGGCTATTCCTTTTTGTTAGTTCTGCTTTAACTTTATATTCAGGCTTACAAGACCAGCATGTAGGCTTTTCAGTTTCTTAGGGATTTTACCTACAATTAGAATAACTTTCTGTTCGATGGCAGTAATGCCTCCCTTTTATCTACGTTCTATGGTTCAATCAACTAGACAGAAAATTTAATGCATGTTTCCAAATAATACCTTAATTTTTTATTCCAAATAATTGTCAAATTTTTATTATGTAGATTGTCATATAAATTTTTTTATTCAAAATGGAAGCAGCATCGTGAATTTCATTGTCCCCTTTGACCATCTCAACACTGTGCTATATATATTTTTTGGTCTGTTAATCATAGATTATCATTTTTTAAATATTCATCTGAGATCTTTTTCTAATTATTCTTAATATGTATGAACCTGTAGAAAATATATAATAAACAGTATGGAAAGTATTTGTGTTTGGAGTTGTATAAAGGGTATCACACTTTTCTTTGAAAGCTTGGTAAAATCTGTCCATAAAATATCCTGGCCTGGTACGTATTTTTTTCTTTGCAGTAGCTAGGAAAAGGGAAGGAGGAGATAGTTCTTTAACTTCATTTTAGTTACAGTCATTGCTCTATTCACATTTTCTATTGCTTCTTAAGATAGTTTCATTAATTTATTATTCTAGAAAATGAACCATTCTGTCTAGATTTTAAATTAATTGGTATAAAGTTGTACATGGTATTCTCTTATACATGAAAATAAATCTTTTTAATATTTGTATTGCCTCCTTTTTTGCTCCTAAGGTTGATCATATATGATTTCTCCTTTCCCCACTCATGGTCCTATTTGCCAAAGGTTTTTCTATTTTAATAGTGCTTCCCTAGAAACAGTTTTTGTCTCTATTTTTTCCTTATTGCCAATAGTGTCCAGTATAAATTTCTACCTTAATTTCATTATTTCTTCTTTCTACCTTTTAAAAATAGTTTTATTGAAATATAGTTCCCATACTACATAATTGACCTATTTTTAAAAATCATTATTTTTTAGTTTATTCTCAAGGTGTACAACTGTCACCACAAAATTATAGAATGTTTTTATCACCCCGAGAAAGAAACCCTATATGCATTAATAGTCACATCCCATTTCCTTCTAACTCCCACAGCTATAGGTAACTTCTGATTTACCTTCTGTCTCTATACATTCACCTATGGTGTAGATTTCATATAAATGGAATAACACAATATGTGACATGTTGTGTCTTCTTTTACTCAGCGTGATGTTTTCAGGTTTATCCATGTCGTATCAGTATTTCATTCCTTTTTATTGCCCAATAGTATCCTCTCATATGGGTGTGCCACATTTTATTCATTCATCAGTTAGTGAACATTTGAATTATTTCACTTTTTGGCTATTATGAGTAATAATGCTGCTATAACATTCATGTATATGTTTTTATGTGGATGTATGTTTTTATTTCTCTTGGCTGTATACTGAGGGAATCATTTGGTCATATCATAAATTTAACTTTTTGAGAAACTGCCAGACTGTTTTCCAAAGTGGCTAAACCATTTTATATTAGCATACAGGACACTTCCAATTATCAACATCGTTACTTACTTGTCCTTTTGATTATAGCCATTTTAGTGGGTATGAATGGGATGTCATTGTGGTTTTGATTTGTTGAGCATCTTCCCATATGCTTGTTGGCCATCTGTGTATTGTCTTTGGAGAAATGCCTATTGAATTCCTTTGCCTATTTTTAATTGGATTATTTGTCTTTTTATTGTTTAGTTGTAGAAGTTTTTCACATATTCTGGATACAAGGACCTTATCAGATAAATGCTTCACCAGTATTTTTTTTCTTTCCATGGGTGTCTTTTCACTAACTTGGTGATATTGTTTTCAGCACAAAAGTTTTAAATTTTAATACACTCTAATCTGTCTAATTTCTGTTTTTTTTTTATTTGTGCTTTTGGTGTCACCCAGGATAAAAAAGATTTACTGCTTTTTTATCTTACTCTTAAAAGAGTTTTATAATTTTAGGTCCATGGTGCATTTTGAATTAATCTTTGTGTTTGGTGTGGAGGTGGGGGTCCAACTTCATTCTTTTGCATGTGGATATCCAGTTGTCCCAACACTGTTGAATTTTCTACTTTTGTTTTTTAATTTATTTCATTTTAACTTTTACAGCATCATGCATAGAAAGCATAATTAATTTCTGTCTCTCTTATTCTCTAATAAATGCATTTAAGGCTATAATTTCCTTCTGTGTGGGCATATGGGTACATCCTGCAGATTTTATTATGAATTTTTGCTTTCCCTTTGACTGTTAATGGCTGTTCTTACTACATTTTAGTCAGTGAATGTGGCCTGTGTTATGTGAGTTCATATTTTATCCAAAGGACATTTCTATTAAAAAAACAAACAAACTATAAAACCCCTTTCTGACCCCATGGATATATTCTGCCTCTTTATTATATCCAACAGAGCTATATGCTTGGTATGTGCTCAATAAATATTTGTGGAAAAACATATGCAGAGCAAGCATTTAGAGGGAATCCACACCTAAGAGTTAGCGTGTTGATGTGCCAGTAATAATACTTAGTCAGCACTTTCTCTGTGCCGGGAACTCAGATCTAAGTACCATGCCCTCTATTCACCCAGTTAGTCTTCATCACAGTTCCATGAGGCAGGAACTCCTTTTACTCTCATTTTACAGGTGAAAAAGTAGAGTCATTGTAAGGTCAAGTTTGCCCAGTGGTTCACACTGAGAAAGCCAGAGGTGGGGTTTTGAACTGGTCTAGCCCCAGATCCCACTCTCATAACCAGTATGTTCTACTGCCTCGCAAGTGGTCACTTTTCCACAGCATTTATTGTGATTCCTAAACATTTCTCTAATTACTTTCAATGTGTTCAGTGAGAGAAACTCTTGGCCTTTTTCTCACAGTTATTTCTCAAAAATTGCCAGTAAAGAAGTGTCTACATTTCACTGCCTCTCTAAACTGTGCTCTCAAGGCACTGCAGCCATAGCTTGCCCTTGGCTCTATAAGCCAGGCGCCCATGAAGCTGGCTAGCCCAGGACCTACTGGTTTTAATTTTGTGTGTGCGACAAAAGAGACTTTAAAAGAAATGCAACTAAGCATCTCTCCTGGCTTCTGCTGGAGACCACACAAGCTGGGAGAGCCTTGGTTTTTGAGATTGAGTGTGTCAAGATACTACACCTCTGAGAAAAACCAAGTAGATTTTCATGGACTCTTTTTCCTGTGCTTCTCTTGCACATAGAGAAACCTGGTCTTTGGAGCTCTGATTGAAAATAATTTGTTATTATTAGGGATATTTCCTAACCAAAATGACGGCTATTTTTCTTTCCCTATTGAAGACTGGAAAGCTACATCCTTGAATACTTATTGAATAAAAGTTCCCTTCTTTCTCTCATAAAAAGAATGCCTTTTGTATTTTTGTTCCCTTCAGGGAAGTCTCTATGCAGATTCCTTGCAAAAGAGCAATTTAATTTGTACTGTACAATCATTTTCTTGTGGAAAACTAATAAAATACAAATTCCATTTTTCAGCATTAGCTTGTGGCAAAAGGCTTTTGAAAGTTTTATGTAGTATCTGCTTTTCTTTTTCCATTTTTAAAAATAATGATTGAGAGGAAAAGTGATGTAAATGCTCGTATGTATTATGTACATGGTTGATAAAGTATTCCCTTAAGTTTATTGTTTCTCTCAAACAAAATAGGTAAGCAAATACTTTGCATGTAACTCTTAAGGCCTTTCACCTTCCTGCAAGTAGATGTGAATCAAGAATGAAGCCAGCGAATCTGTGTTTCTTCCGAGACATCTTACTCGCTTTTTTCTGGCAGGTCCAGGATGTCTAGGGTTCTGGTGTTTGCATTTCACTAATTGAAGCCCTGGGAGCTGTTCCATTTTGCAGGTCCCCTCAGTAGTAGAAGATGAACACTTTCATTTGGTTGAGATGTTTTATATAGAAACAATCATAATAGTAGCAGTAGTGATAGGTGACATTTAGTGAGCACCTGTTATGTATGGTGAACTGTACCAAGCACTTTGTATGTGTGATCTGTATAACAAGTAGAGAGTTTTTGTTCCATTTTGTACACCAGGGGAAACAGGCAAGTAATTATCTACAGTCACACAGCTGGAAAATGGAAAGATGGAGTTGGAACCTAGTGAGTCTGACTCCAGTATTGAGTCTTTTGACCACAGTGAGTGACTAGAAGGAAAAGGGGCCTTAGACATGCTGTCCTTCCACACCCTGGATTTTTCAGATGGACATGCCTAGGTTTACTGAGTAGCAAATATGAAGGAACAACATTTATTTTCTCATCTGCTATGAAATCCAGCCGATACTGCATTCGAAGGAAAGATCTGTGCTGCCTTGTTATCTAAATGGCCCACTGCCCTCTCACCTTTCTCCCGCACCCGTAAAGCCTGCTTTGCCATCCTATGATCCACCCATTTGTAATCTAGCTTCTGCATTGCCTCCCCCAACATACCCCAGAAAGAGGTATGCCCTTGCTTCCTTTCCCCTCTTGCCCTATTTTCTTGGCATTCTTCCTCTCAGAACATCTTGCAGCCCCTTTATCTCCTCCTGTCCAAGTTGTAGTAATGAATTCTTGGAGGATGCTTGCACGTGACTCTGTAGCACCTGGATTATGAGAAGGAAGGCAGTGGATAGCGTCCTTTCTTTGACAGTCTGGAGGCATTCACTCTCTTGCTACAAGGTGTAGCTTCAGCAATGACTGACCATTTGAAAATAGAGAAAACTTACCTTTCCAAAGCTAGAGGTCTCTCAATAAAGTTTTCTCACTAAGGTGGATGAAGAGGAAGGATCCCTCAAAAGAAACAGGGTGGAGGTGATACCGCCGGCTCTTAGAGAATCTTTTAAAGAGGCAGCTTTGCCAACCATCTGCACCAGAGGCCAGCCTCCCCCTATCCACTATCCTATCACTCCTTAAAAACAGTGAGTTTTAATGACATAGAGGTGAGCAGTAGAGAAGCAGCTTGATTCTGAGTCAGATTGTACCTTTGATTCTTGAAGTGTCAATTCCTTGAAAGTGGATCCTTCAAATTCATTTTCTAAGCCACTCCATCGTCTTTATTTTAACTCCAAAGGAAGACAATTATTTCAAACATAAGAGTTATTATCTATTGGAATTCCTTCCAAAGTTGGGGAAGAGGCAGAAAGGCAGAAGTCAGTTTCATCAGAAGGGACTTCTGTCCCTTGCTCTTGGGAAGTCAGGGTTGTATCCCTAACCAAGAAAGGGAGTCACGCCCCTTCCCTCGCCCTCACCCACCCACTCATGCACTCAGCCTCCAGCATGTCGCAAATGGGGCAACCCTATTTCCCGCCTTTCCATGTCCAGGGGCTCCCACAGGGCCATGCGGGTGATGGGGACCTGACACGCCCCAGCAGGGAGAGGCTCGCTCAGTCCCCGCCCCCTCCGCAGGTGCAGCCCCCTAATCCCCCCGGCCTAGATATCCGGCAGCCTCTAGGAGCCCGGGCTCTGTGATGTAATGCTCTTTTTTCACACTCCCGGCTTAAATACAGATGGAAATTGTTGTCATGTGTTAGAAATGTCGCCAGTAATATAAAAGGCGCAAGCCTGGGCATCTTCTCTCCCTTCTCGCACCATCAGCTGCTCCTGCTGCCAGCACCTCTTCCCTCGAAAAACCGCTCTGTGGTCAGGTGGCCGAGGCGCCCCCAGCTCTCCCAGGAAGGGGTTCGGTCCCACCCCCCCCCCACCCCCGCCTCTCTTTACAGCCGCTGCAGAGCCAAGGACCAGCGTGGTGGGAGGCGGTTTCAGGCTCACAAAGGGAAGGATTAATCTTGGCGATTGGGCTGGGGTTTGCAGGCAAGTACAAGTGGTCCATGATCTCCTCTCGCCACCCCTCCACCGCCCCCTGCCCACCTCTGGATTCGAACGCTCCGCTGCCGGAGGAAGCCTGGGGACAGGCAGGCGGCGGCAGAGGCTCCCTGCCACCGGAGGTTTGAGCTTGGGTTGTGGGAATATCCATGGAGGTGAAGATGCCGTGTGTGGTGTGTGGACCAGGGAGGAGGGGCGGGGAGAAACCCGGCCAGCTTGGGAGGGCCAGATGGCTGCGGCTGCGTTTTAATTCACCAGGCAGGCCCGTTTGGCCAGGCTGGGAGGAAGGGGGAGGGGGGAGAAAAAAAAATCAGAGGTCAGTGGATAGGGAGAGGCCGGGCTCTGGAGCAGATGCCTGGCGAACAATGGGGCTTTTGAAGGGGATGCTGGAGGAAGTGTGGCGCGCGCTTTGTATTGCCTCCTCCGCATTGCAGGTTGGAATCGGGCAGCTAAATTTTAATGAAGTGCATTCCAAAGTGTGCTCGTCAGCCCGGGCTTTTGGAGCGAGGGGCTCGGCTGAATGGGGACTGGGGGTGGGAGGGGGAGGGGGCCGGCGAAATGAGTTCCTGATGGATGGTAAAGGAGGAGATGAAAGCCTGCTCAGTGTGGAGGGCAGGGGAAGGGAGGGGGGAAAAATCAGTACGTCCCCGTGCATATTAATAGGCTCCAGCAGGTGTTGGTAAATGTATGTTGCTGCATTGTTCCGGCGCCCAGGCTGGGGAAGGCAGGGGAGAGGGAGAGCTGCTTCCCCGGGCAGCGCGGTGGGCAAATGCCTTTGCACTTTGGAGGGCTTTGTAAGCTCTCGGGGAAAATTAGAAACGGAAGGGCTGCGATTCTCCTCTGTCCGTTTTCCTATTTCTAAAAGGAAGAATGTACATGCGGAAGGCTTTTTAAGTTTGCTTCCTGGAAATTAACATTTGTATGTTAGAGCACTGTGTTATCTAGGTAAGAGATGTATGTCTGTGGGCATCAGAAAACAGAATCCAGAGTCTGGCTTGCTGAGTGCTTGGGAGCTAAAAGGCTTTTCTCCCTGTCTGGTTCTGTAAGTGAATGGGCCAAACCCGGAAGGCTGGGGGATTTTTGAAGATTCAGGAAGGCTATGCCTCCCTTCCTCTTCCTAAGTCCTAAGTCTAACTGACCTGGGTACCAGGGGGCAATGGAGTGTACAAGGAAGCTGTCTTGTCCACAGTGTTGGTATATAGACTTTGTCTCACACACAAAGGGAGTGGATTTGTGCCTGAACTAAATTATTTGAGGGTATGTATGGCTTATTTTTAAGGATTAGGTATGTTGGGCCCTTTTCTCTTTCCCAGAGTTTACCATGCTCAACACCCTGTCAACTGAGAATCAATTAGGAGACTACTTATGAGTGTGTGCTAGCCAAATAACCCTTGCTGGTTTATAGTGTTGTTTGTTTTACTACTCCTCTTGAATGAGTATTCAGTGCTTTCAAAAGATTCGGACACATTTGTTGGGGGTTTCAGTAAAACGGGAAGCTTTTGCATGAGGGCATTGTGACTTTTATATTGAAAACATAAAAATTCCATATGCACATGGTAACCCACGGAATGACATACTGTCTTTGGGGTTCTGGGAAAATAAATGCATTTCTTAGTTGAGAAAAGCTTGTCTTTTATCATCTATAAGGCTCATACTTTCTGAAAAACTGTTGTTTTTTGATCACTTGGAAGCCTGTATTAATTAGATATGAAGTTGGATTCTTTTCGTGATTTAACTTGCACTGAAACTCGTCGACAAGGCGCAGCTCATCACTTGCCAATGAATTTTAGTGCTGTTGAAAGCTTTAGCAGTTTAATGGTATCAACAGAGACTCGATTCCTCCATTTCTCAACTGAGCAAACAGAAGCAGTCTGCCCCTGTCTCTCAATGCCTTTCCTCTTTTGGCTTTGGGAAAGGGGATGGGGCAGAGGGAAAGGATTCTTGATGAGGATACTCCTAACTCCCCACCCCCACCCTACCCACCCTACCCACCCCAGAGAGTTAAAAACGGAAGCTTACCCATTTGCTTCCCCATGTAGTTTCTTTCTTAGGCTGTATATTTCAAGTTGTATTTCTGTGTTTAAAAAGATGCTTGAGGTTTGGTGTTTGGATTTGTTGTGTTTGTGCTAGAGAGACGTGGAATCGGTCCGTTATTCTTTTTACTCAATTATGGCTCTTAAATCGGTCTGTTCCTATGATTAGACTTGAGGCTCCTCTCCCGATCCTTGCTGAGCAAAAGCATGGGCATGTGTGTTTGATATGAAACCACCCCCAGGGGAGACTAGAGCCTCACTGCCTCTTCAGTTTAACTGTGGCCAGAAGAGGCAATTTGTGAGGTGGCCCCTGGTGTGTCCACTGGAACTACCAACCCTGAGTCTAGATTCTCTAAAAGCTTGTGGCAAAACAGTTTCACATGGGCTTTATTAACAGAAAGGAGCTCTTTGAACCTATACGTTTGATACCCAAGACTGTTTTTGTGATAAACAGTTGTATGGATCTTTGACATTCTTGTGTATAAGAACAGAAACTATGCCCATGAATTAATGGTGCCATAGAAGTAATGACTATAGCTGATTTTACTAAGACACATCTAGCAAAGGCTTCTGATGAGGCAGCCTCTCCTTTCCCCTTGTTTTCTATTCATTCTTGGCATATGGATGGGGGTAGAGGAGTGGAAAAAGAAGACAGAGAGAATAAGATCTCCATATTTACAAAGGAGCTAAACACCGTGCTTAATTGACACCAGTTATTGAAAAATTTAATTGTAATTTCTCTTTGACCCTGTGCTGCGTAATATAAAGCAGGTGATGTGATACCGACTGAAACTGCCTGTTTAATGATTTCAATAAATAAATACACAGACCCATGCATTATTCTGATGTTGGCTTATTAGGCTTGCATGGAATAGAATTTGGGAGACACTGAGCACTGAAGGTAAAAGGGTTTCTAAAGCTGAAAGTAAATATAGAGTTGATAGTACTAGAAAAAGCTAAATCAAAAGACACCCCCCCATCAGAATACTGCAGATATTTCTTTTTCTTTGCAACTGTATTTGCATAACAAAATTCTGTTCATTTAGTAATCACCATTTTCTCAGCATGTTTGTTTTTTCCTTTGAAAAAAAAATTTCTTATGTTGATAATCAGACCCCAAATATTTGAATGTAAGCACATCCCTCGCAGTCATACTGACACCCTCTGGCACCAGAAAAACTGTCATAGCATTTTTTGAGATGTCTGGTGGGAAGAAAGCAACAATGCCAGCCATTAATTCAGTAACTCTGCTGATCTCTGTGTCTGATAGTAGGCCAGCTGTTGATGACTTTTAGGCTTTTGAAGTGTTATAAACACTAAAAATGTAAAGATGCTGCCTTCCTTTGCTTCCTCGGTCTTGTTGACAAGTTTCTGCTACTGTTGGCCTTCAGTAAATTTACATGACTAATTTGGGATGTCAACACTCAGGAAAATTATGACTAAACAATGTTTCTAAATAGTGGGATCTGGGATTTGCCATTTTGTTATTGGTAAACCTGTTTGACAAGTGATTCCATTTGATAAAAATGGCACTCAATCCACTTGCTTTTCAAGAATCTAGTGAGTTGATGACTGATGCCATCTAGATATCTGGTTTGGTTTTGTTTTTTCAAATACAGTCCTTGAGCTGCTGTTGCTGATTATTATTTCTTCATCCATGGCGGTTGACATCCTTAAAGTTTTGATAGGTGGCCAGATTCAAGAATAAAAACAGGATGGAGAAAATGTTACCTGACTTTTACCAAAATGTTTGAGAAGATCTGAGGCATGAGAGTAAAGGGGAGGTCTTGGGCTTGAAAGTGACTCATCAGGCTGAATGTTCTTGAGCGAAAAGATTTTTAAATGATTATCTGACCTGAAAGGGCAGGAAAAGAAAAAAACATATTTCTTTTAATTCCATTCTGTGAGGCTTTTGTTTGTGGAGATTTTTAAATTATTTCTCTTTCAATATCCCAATATAACTATATCCATATAATGAGATATCAATATGTTTCCCGTATTTCTATATCTAGTCGTAAGCACAATGCTTAGCAGGTAATACACGTTCAATAAATACTTGAATGAATGGACACATTAAGAACTTTGACCTTATGCAGTCATTATGAAGTTCAGGCTGTTTCCTAGAGTGCTATTGTAATTATCAAAGCAATGCAAAAAAGTACAACTCCTTGAAAAATCATTTTGAAAATAGAAAATGAAACATAAGTTTGTTTGTATTTAATGATACATATTATTTTCCACCAACCAGATAGTTTATCCTATATTCTATTGGAAGTAAAAAATCATTTAGATTTCTACTCTGCTCACTGTTGAATTGTTCTGAAAAGTTCATACTGCTCGCCTGATTAAAGAATCTCCTTTCCCCCCCATCCTTCACAATCTACTAGTCCTTGCATCTGAATTATTGCACTGGGTATATTTCTTTGCCACAATAAAGATTAGATCAGTGGGAATCTACAAATTTGACAAAGACTGTATGAAATAACTTGGCTATAAGACAGTAAGTGCTATAATTTTCTCATTAATTGTGGAGTCATGCCAAAGAGAGTTGCTTTAAAAATACATGATTATAGATAGTGACCTGAAAGGGAAGCCAAAAAAGTCTGTAAACATTTAAACTCCTTTTTATGAGGCTTAACACTCCAGTTTATGGATGCTTTTGCTATATCCCTTTCTAGCTTGGGACTTTTTAATTTACTACTTTTAATTTTACCTGAAGGTGACCTTATATTGAGAATAACTTATAATATTTGAGTGCCTACTATGTGGTAGGCGCTTGTTAGGCACTGGGGAATCATAGCCCCATCAACAAAATATAAAAACCCCCTGCCCTCCTGTAGCTTGTATTAGAACCCATCTTAATTTACTTCTAATAAGATCAGGGAATAGGGAATAAGGTAAAAATGATTAGTTAAAATGAGATCTTTCCACTATGGGAAGTTTTTCCCAGAAGTTACTGTGGTTGGCAAAACAAAAGTTGGGTTCGTTGCTTGCAGAAAAGTCAAGCACAATGGAAAAATGCAGCATAAAATTACACACTAGCCCTCATTCTTTCTGAAGTCCAACTCTCCAAAAGTAACTGCATGTGCGTGTGTTCCTTTGTTTCCCTCCTAACTTTTCTGCACTAATATATATATGCACATAGCTTTTTTCTTTTTTCTTTCAAAGAAGATGCTATCACACTCTACCTCCTGTTCAGTCAGTAAGTCAATTTCTTTTCCCCATCTGAAATTGACATCTTAATATGTAACACAAATATCCTACCTTATTCTTGGTGACAACCACATAATGTCCCCAAGTATGGTGGGAAGATGGTATAATATGTTTAACCCTTGCCCTGATGGTGACCTGTTAGCATGTTTCTAGTTTTTCAGTATTATTGATAATGCTCTATTAACTCCCCTTTGCATGCTAGTTCAGTTGCACACTTTGTATTCAGTTACAACTTGACTTTTCTTATTGTCTTTACATCTGGGCAACTTTCCATGTCAGTAGATGCATGCCTACTTTATTCTTTCTAATAATAATTGGAACCTACTTTTGTTAGGTTGCTATGTGCTAGGGCTGGCTGATTTAGTCCTCACAGAAACACTAAGATATATTTATTTATTCAACAAGTATTTATTTAACAATCTTTATGTGCTAGGAACTGTGTTCTGCCTGCCTGGTATATATGATCAACCAAAACAGATGAAGATCCCTTATAGGGTTTATGTTCTAGTCAGGTGAAATCAAAACAGTACATGTAATAGTTGAGTGAATCATTTCGTATATTAGAAGGTGGGACATTATACGAGGGAAAAAGCAGAGCAGAGTAAGGGGGTTGAGTGTGGAGATTGGGCATGTTGCAGTTTTTAAATAGAGTTTTCAAGGTGTCAAGGGTCGACCTCACTGGAAAAGTAACATATAAGCACAAACCTGAATGCATGAGGGAAGGAGCCATGTGCATAACTGGGTAAAAGCCAATCCATTGCAAAGGCCCTGTGGCAGAAGTGGTACCTGCATTTTCAGAGGAACAGCAAGGAGGCCGGAGTGGCAGAAATAGAGTGAACAAGGGTTAGAACTATGGGAGGAGAGGTCAGAGTATAAGGAAGAATGACAGATTATGCTAGACATTTTAGACCCTAACCAACCACGCCACCCAGAATGAAATAGGAGCCATTGCAGAGTCTTGATCCAGGCAGTAACATGCTCCCAATGAACATTCACAAAGCCTCACTGAAGGTAGTAGGATGAGGTTTTCCGAAGGAGCGGAAGCAGAGAGCACTGACAGGAAGTTGTTATGACAGGAAGTTGTTATAATCCTGGTGTGAGATTATAGTGGCCAGACCAGAGTAATGGTAGTGGAGGTGTACAAAGTGGTTATATATATTTTGAGAGTAGACTCATGCCTGATGGATGACCTGAGGGGTGTGAGAAAAAGAGAGGAATTGAGAATGACTCCAAGGGTTTTGGTTTTTTGCTTTTTAACATGAACAACTGGAAGGACAGAATAGTCATTTGCTAGATGGGGGACACCAGGCGGGGGTGGGTCATCTCTTAGTTTAAGATCAGGAGTTTCATTTTGGACATAGTGAGCTTGACAGTCAGGACTCTCAAGAAGTCAGTGGTTGTAGATGGTGGAGTTCATGGAAAATTTTGCTGTACCATGATTTAGCCCAACATTCCCCAGTTTTTGAATGATGGAAACGGTGATGAAAGGAACATCCTTGCACACGTAGCTTTGTGTGTATTGTGAATTCTTCTGTAAGTTAAACTCCTGAGAGTGGCATCACTGAGTTAAAGAGAATGCACATTTTAGGATTTGAAAAACTCCCAAATTGTTCCACTAAAAGAATTATATAATTTACATTCTCATCAGCATGTGTAAGCGTGTTCATTCTCTTGTTTCTTAAAGTTTTGCTGGTTTGATAGGTGAAAAAACATGGACTTTTTATAGTCTTTACCGCAAGTTCATGTTTCCTTTGGCCTTAGAGGCTCTGTCTAGATTCTGGAAGATGTAGGAATTTATCCTGTCCTGTGAAGGTTTGCCTATCCTGGGCACAGTAGTGATGTAGGTCACATTTGGTAGGACAGACTAATTGCTTGAGGACTTAGCTCTCTGCAAGGATGTAATATATTCAGCATTGTTCAAGCAGCTAATTAAAGACGAATGGGGGGGACAGCTAAGTAGCAGTTTTAAAGTACATCTCCTTTAAAAGGGGAAATTTTGAATTATATCATCCTCAGAAAGAACAGTTTATTCTGACATTTGGACAAGTTTTAATAGCAAGTGTTGAATTAAAATAGTTGGCACAACCAAGATAGTTAAGAGCACCGAGTGAATTCAGATTTCTTTACAGTTATACAAGGTCAAAGGAGTACCAAGTTGAAATCTTTATGATTTTTTTACCGATTAATCAAACAAATAGTTGTTATGACCCAAATATGTTTATGAGCCCGATATTATGCTGGGTGTTAAAGATACAAAGATGTACAAAATAGCTTTACCCTCACAGGGGAATTGGTGGTGGTGAGAGACACATACATGGCCAATGACATCCCACCGTCACATGGGTTGTAAGAGAAGTATGTCAAGGTGCTGGGGGAGCACAGAGACTGACCTGACTTTGTCTAGAATTCAGGTCAGGGAAGATTTCATAGTAGAGGAGACACTGGTGATGCGTTTTAAAGGCTGGATGGGAGTTTTTCAGAGGAAATGAAGACATTCCTGGAAGAGGACGCAACCATGTGTATATCAAGTCATAAGAGGCTGGTGTTTCTGGGAAGGGATTAAGTCATGGATCGTTGAGTGTGCAATTTTAAGAGTTATGAGACACAGACTCGGGGATGGACACAGAGATGCCAAGGAGCCTGGAACTTATCCTGAAGGTGATGGGTGTCTTGGAAGAGTTTAGGAGAGTCACATGGTACTATTTGTTTTTTTTTTTTTGAAAACCACCCTGGCAACCATCTAAAGCAAGGGTCATTCAAGTAGGGTCCTGAGGTCAGATTTGGCCCACTGCATGTCGTGGTAAATAAAGTTTTACTGGAACCTGGTCATCTGGTTATTGTATTTTTTTTTATGGCTGCTTTTATGCCACATTGGGAGTGTTGAGTAGTTGTGACAGAGACTACACAGCCTCCAAAGCCTATTTTCTATTTATTATCTGACCCTTGACAGAAAAAATTTCCCAACCCTTGATTTAGGGAATGAAGTTAATGCAGGGGGGGTCAACAAGGAAGCTACGGTCAAAGTGAAAAAGCCCAAGCTAAGGCAAGGAAGACAGGGGAGATACCCAATAAATAAATATTTAGGGAGAGAAAGGACTTGGTGAATACTGGAGCAGGAAGTGCAAGGGAGAGGAAGAGGTCCAAGATGACATGCATGGTCCTAGGAAGGGTGACTTAGTAGACGGGAAAGTCACAAGGGGCATGCAAGTGGGCTGTCCAGCAGAGTGTGGGATCTATAAGCCTGGGAGTGGCCTAAGTGATTGTCCAAAACAGCGTGTTTAAGTTTGAATCTGTTTTCATAGTATCTTGTTAATATATAAAAATATAGAAGCACCTTATTTCACTGCCCCATTGTAAGGAAATGAATCCTTCTTGCCATCATTTTAAATCATTTTCAACTATTCAAGTTTCCTGTCTCCCCAGTTTTCTGTCCACATACTGCAGGAAGCCGTCCATGCATACTGTAAACTGTTTACTCTGACCTATCCCTGCTCTGAACCTAACAACATTAGAAAACTCTTTACTTCCTAGATGGTTCTCTTCTTAAGCTAACATTTCTTGTTTCACTATCTAGAATATAAGTTTAAGGATAACTTCAGTGTCTCATACATTTTTGTGTTCCTAGCGTCTGTTGTGAAGTCACAATTTAGGTATATAAATATTTATTTCTTAATTACGGAACCCGATAATCAAATGATGGAGCCAGGCAAACTTATCCTGACTCTACTATCATTCATCATTCGTTCAATAAAAATTTATTGAGCATGTTGTATATGCCAAGCACTCTGCAAGGTACCAAGGGTACAATAATTAACACTTCTTTCCCTTGGGGAACTTTTATTTTAGTAGAGAATGACAGACAGTACATTGCCCTTTGTACTTCCTTAAGTCCTAGAACTATAGAACATAATATTGCAAGAGAACTCAGAGATGTTATTTCTGTTCAATCCTCTCATTTTACAGATACTTAACCTGCACAGAGATAGAATTTGAACTGCCCATCTCACCATTAGAGTAGTGAGACTTTCATCTACATTGCCTAGATTGAAAAATGTGATTTGATTCACACTGAAGGGCATAGTCACTCATTGTTTTAATGTGCCTTTTACATATGGGGAGTAGTTTGTCATCTTTGGTCAGTGTTGATTCTGAAGGTAGCATTTTTTCTTTTTGTTATTAATACACCCCTACCAGACTTGCCTTTGAATGCAAACGCTCCACCTTAATGGGGTCAAATTTAGGGAGGAATGCTTCACCCTTAGAGCAAGTTCTTATCTCATATAACATGCTGCTATCTCTATTCTTGAAAACTGACTATCTATATTCTTGGAAGGCTATCTATATTCTTGGAAAATAAAGGAGCATAGAGTTTCCGGCAGCTTCCCGTTTTCATCGTTACAGGAGTTGAAAGCATCAATTTTCATTTCATGCTTTGAATTGCTTGTAATATGGGTTTTTAGCGAGTCTTTGGTAGGCAGATGAGCCAGCGATTTGGGGCTGTTCAGAAAAGGAGCCTCTAAGGAAAGCCGGAGAATAGGCTCTAGAGCCTTGGGAAAAGAACCAAATGTGTGCTGGAGAATTGAGATCCAGATGGATCCCAACACTGGGAAGTTGAGCTTCTCTCAGGCTTGCCATACATTTTGTAGAATTACTCCCTGATTGAGTGCTTCTGTTGTTTCATTGTGTTGTAATGCGAAGAAGGGAGGGAGGGTGTGGTTAATACAGCTGGTCGGTCGAGTTACAACTCAATCTCTCAACTTTAAAATGGTAAAGTAGGCTGGGCACCTTGGTTCACGTCTGTAATCTTAGCACTTTGGGAGACCAAGGCGGGTGGATTGCTTGAGCTCAGGAGTTTGAGACCAGCCTGGGCAACATGGTGAAACCTCATCTCTACAAAAAAATAGAACAATTAGCTGGGCATGGTGGCATGTGCCTGTAGTCCTAGCTACTTGAGAGGTGGAAGCTGGGAGGTGGAAGCCCAGGAGGTAGGGGTTGCAGTGAGCTGAGATTGCACCAGTGCACTCCAGCCTGGGCGACAGAGCGAGACCCTGTCTCAAAAAAAAAAAAAAAAAAAAAAGAAAAAAGTAATAATAAAATAAAATGGCAAAGAAATGCCATATGTATTCAGTAGACACCATACTTCGAGTATCCACACAACTGTTCTGTTTTTTACTTTCAGTACAGTATTCAATAAATTACATGTGATATTCAACACTTTGTTATAAAATAGGCTTTGTGTTAGATGATTTTGCCCAGCTCTAGGCTAATGTAAATGTTTTGAGCACGTTTAAGATAGGCCAGCCTAAGCTATGATGTTCAGTAGGTTAGGTGTGTTCCCAGTAAACCAGTGGTTTATTGGGACATAACTCCAAAGTGAGTCGAGGAGCATCTGTATCCCAATGGCATTAAGAAAAAAGTAGCAAAGTCTTGGGCCCAGCAATATCTTATTGGGGAATGTCAAAGATTTCAAATGAGCTTCAACCCCAACCTCAAAAGCAAAGCCCTCACACAGCAATAGTTAGGGATCTCGGGGTAATTCACCAGGTTGTTCTTACAGTGCCTCTTCCATAATGGGAAAGCAGCAAGCCTTTGGGAAATTTTAGCTTCTCCTGTGAAGAAAAACTGTGCATCAGCTTTTGTGACCTGTTACAGGCTAAGGAGAAACCTTCATTCGCCCATACCAGAAGCTTCCCTGTGCCCTGTTTGCATTTTCCAGAATGCAGAATGAAGATATTGGAGCGAACTGTTCTGCTTGCCAACTAGTGAGAAGGTGTTAAAAAAAAAAAATCTGTTACTTGCCAATTTGAAATTGTTCATGTTCCAACATTTTGTCATTAAGAATACGTCTTGTAGTTTGGGATGGCTTTAGGCAAAATTTTAGTATTTTTGTGTATCTTTGTATATTTTTGTGTATTTAGTATTTTGTGTATTTAGTATTTTTGTGTATCTTTGTGTTTAATTTCTGTCATTCAAATCACATTTGTTGAAGCAAATTGTATTCATTTTGAAAATTAACTTGCAACAAAAGTTACTCTTTTTGGTATGCAGTGCTCTGAGTTTCAGCAGTTGCATACAATCATGTAACTACCACTTCATTCAAACTATAGAATAATAATACTATCACCCCTAAAAATCAGCATTCCTAAAATTATTTTCTACTGACCATTTGTAGTCAATCCTTTCCACCTCCTCCAAGCAATTATATCCATTTTCTATTCCTAATAATTTTGCCTTTTTTTCTGAATATCATGTAAGTGGGATAATCTAGTGTATAAAGGTATTAGATTTAGCTTTTCTCACTTAATAAAATGGACTTAAGCTTCATCCCTGTTGTTGCTTTTTTTTTTTAGACAGGGTCTCTTTCTGTTGCTCAGGCTAGAGTACAGTGGCATGACCATGGCTCACTCCAACCTAAACCTCCTGGGCTCAAGCGATACCCTCACCACAGTCATCCAAGTAGCTGAGGGTACAGGCATGCGCCACCAACGCCCTGATAATTTTTTAAATTTTTTGTACAGACAGGGTCTCACTATAGTGCCAGGGCTGGTCTCGAACTCCTGGGCTCCGCTGATCCTCCTGCTTCAGCCTCCCAAAGTACTGGGATTACAGGTGTGAGCCACTGCACCCGGCCTGTGTTTTTGCTTGTGTCATTATTTTGTTCCTTTGTATTGTTGCATATTATTCCATTGTATGAATATACTATAGTATGTGTAGCCATTCACCAGTTAAAGGGCAGTAGAATTGTTCTCATTTTTGGGAATTAAGAATAAAGTTGCTAAAGGAGACTTCAAAGACAGCAAGAGAATAGGTTCAGAGGGCCAGAGAGATAACTAAATATGTATTAGATAGGTATTTGTGTCAACAGTGGTTTTCATTTTGCTAGGTAGATACCTAGAATTGAGATCTCTGTGTAGTATGGCACATATATGTCCAACTTTATAAGAAACTGTCAAGCTTTTTCCAAAGTGGCTGTACCATTTTTCATTTTCATCAGCAACATCTAAGAGTTACAGAAGCTCTGCATCTTCACCTGCCCTTGGTATTAAAATTAAAAACATTTTTTCTTTGCCTTTCTAGCAGTGTGGTGACATTTCACTGTGATTTTAACTTGCATTTTCGAAATGATTAAGGATGTTGAACATGTTTTCATCTGCTTATTTGCCATCTGTATATTTTCTTTTGTGAAGTGTCTGTTCAAATCCTTTATCCACATTTAAAATTGGGTTGTTTATAATCATACATTTTAATGCATTGCACAAGCTGTCAGTCAGTCCTGCTCACCATTGATTTGCCTGATTCTTTTAATACCAAGATGATATCTTATTTTCAGACATTAAGCTTATGATAGGAGTTGGACAGATCTGGGTTTATATCTTGGCTCTGTCCTTGACTGTCTGAATGACCCTGGCAAATCATTTGACCTCTGTAAGGCTCAGTTACCTCATCTATAAATGGTCTTAATGACTAATTGCTGATGTTGTTAGGATTAAATGAGTCCCTCACATAGAACCTGAAACATGATAGGCATTCAGTGAATGGTAGTTCTTATTACACATCAATAAGTCTTACTGACTTAGGTGAATCAATTTGGCCCGTCTGCCTTTCTCACAATGGATATGAAGGTCCCTGAATGCGGGTCCTTGTTGGGTTCAGTTTCCCATTATAGCACC
Organism: Homo sapiens; assembly: GCF_000001405.40. Classification (NCBI taxonomy): domain Eukaryota; kingdom Metazoa; phylum Chordata; class Mammalia; order Primates; family Hominidae; genus Homo; species Homo sapiens. The sequence continues at coordinate 65,584,886 of NC_000003.12, read as the reverse complement.
AGTGTCTAGCACAGTACCTGGTACAAGAAAGATTTAAATGAACTGGTCGAATGGATAAATGAATGAGATAAAAATGAGTACTGTTATACTTGACTTGGCAAGAATATCACAAATATAGTTTTGCGAGGCACTATCCTGAATCTAGAAATGTTTGTTGAACTATATCTTTATTACATTTTCCATTTATTTTAGTGCTGTAGTCATTGATAATCTTTGTACCACACACTTCAAATTTATTTTTAGGTAGACTGAGGGCATAAAGATGTGAGGATGTGTTGTACTTGCTTCCTTCCTTCTGCTTTTATATGTTTTTTCAAAGGCCAAAAGAGCTGTGACCTGTGTCTTGTTCCTAGGTTTCTCGTCCACTTGAATGTGAAATCTTTGAGTAATTGCTAAGTAAATCAATGGCTTCCCAGCTTTGTGTCAAACACTGCTTATCGCTCAGGTCTACTGAGGTTGCTGCCAGTTGTGTCTTGGCTGTTTTTAGGATAGTGGGTATGTTGTAGTCTGGTTTTTTTCTTTCTCCAAGAAACCAGGCCAATAGATATAGCATCTGGGTTCCTATAAGCTGACCCTATTTTAAAGAAATTGCTGACTTTGGCAGGGTACTGTCAGAGCCTCACCAATTCCAGCATTGGCCTCCTGAAAACCATTGTTCCAACTGGTCTCTGCTGAGTCAGCTGTCAGAATTAGGCCAAAGTAGCTCATTCTGTAGGCTGGGCAATGCTTGATAACAACCTTCCATGGAAAGGAAAAAAATTCACTTTAAGCCAGTTTGCCTTTTTTTTTTTTTTTTTTTTCAAGAGTAGATTTTTGAGGCCCTGACTAATGGAAATAGGGGTAGAGAATGTCAGAGTCTGGATGTGCTGTGATGTGTTAATTATTATTTTATTGCTATGAACTTCACACCACTGTCACTGTGGAAAGTTCTCCAGATTGAACTGCCTTTCATATTCTTGTGATCTGTTTCACCTTTGAAAGACTAGTAGAGGTCACAGTCTCATCTTCAGGGAGAAAATGACAGAGCTTTTCTTAGTATAGATTTTCAAAACAACTTTCACCTGGTGAATTAGCACCTAACCTGAATGTGTTCTTTAGTTCTTCTTCATTTAAAACTTGGTTAGATCATTCCTTTGAGTCCTTAAAGAGCCCTATTCTTCTTCAGCCTCATTTTGTACCTGTTCAAACACTAAGAGCTGGTCCATGGGAGTGCAGTTTATAGTGAGAAGGTGATTGTACTTGAACTTTCTCCTGCTTTCAACCTCCTTTCTGTTGCTGTTCAGTTTATCTTTTGGTAGTGGTGTTGGCAGAGCTGTTTAAAAAAAAAACCTTGTAGTTAGTTCCCATTTCCCTGCTGTCAGTAAGAAATATCATTCTTAGAATCTTAGGAATGTCACTGGAATTCAACAAAATGGGGTTCTAGTTAGAGATTAGAGAAACAAATATATTATTTGTGACTCTGAGAGACAGGGTAACTCTATCCTGGTTAGCAGCCCTCTCCCACTGTAACATAGCTTCATTCAGCTGTCTTGCAAGACGCATGTTTTGGTGCTGAGAGTAATGAAAGTAGTGTCATCATAGGTTAGAAGACTTTCAAAATCAGTTCTAAGATCCTTAAATAGTGTAAATCTAAGAGCAGCAATAACAACTTGGGAGAGAAGGTGCTTGACATCTGGACTCACACTGTCCAGGTCAGTGGTCACTAGCCACATGTGACTGTTGGGGCCATTGAGATACGTGGTCAGTGTAAAGTGGACCCCAATTTTGAAGACTTAGTATGAGAGATAAAAGGCAAAATATCTCATTAATAATTTTTTATTGATTTCATGTTGAAATTACAGTAGTTTGGATATATTGGGTTAGAGAAAATACACTATTAAGTGCATTTCACTTGTTTGGTTTGACTTATTTTTAACATTACGTAACTTAAAATCATATATGTGGTTTACATTATGTCTGTGTTGCACAGTGCTGATGGACTGGTGTGACAATGATACCTGTAATTCTAGAAGTTGTAGAAGGAGAAGTCATGTCTCATGTCAGCGTTCATTTGCTGATGTGGCGTATGTATCTTTGGAAAACACACATTCATGGAAGCAAAACCTTTAACAGTCATGGCCAGTCAGAGGTGATTGGAGTAGATGACTGCTGAGGTGACTTCCATGAGGCTTTGGGGTCGTAGTGGCCTTGGTGTAAAGTTCAAGACAGAGAATTGAAGTAACCAGGATGCAAAGGGAAATCCCTGCAATTTCTCTGGAGAAGCTTGCTTTCAACAGTAAGTCTTATTTGACCTGGATTTTGTACTCAGAATCGTCAGGCATGTCAACATCAGAGAGCCGCTCTTTGATGTGATGCACCTAATAGGAATTCCAAAGAGCTGCCACCTGAAGTAAAGCGCTTATGCAGCATGTTTAAAATCATCCTCTCCATTACTACTCCTGAGAATATTGAGGAAGGCCTGTGCATATTGTTGCTAACTGTGATTTTTTTGAACCAACCATGAGGAGACTAGGTAGAGTACATAACCAGGGCCGAGCCTCTCCCACGTGCCTGGTGCTCTTCCTATGTGCTGGGTAGAATCAGAAACATAACACATACAAGACTCTTATTCCTTGTTCACAGGGAGCTTACTCATTCACTAAATATTGCATGCTTCTCTATGCCATGTACTGTTCTAGGGCAGGGAATGCAGTAGCTGGAAAGCAGCCTAAAATCCTTGCCTTCAGGGCGCTTACATTCAAGTACAGCCTATAATCATGTCTAAAACACTCACTTGGAATGCATTTATGAGCTAGAGAGGACTGGGGGATTATGTAGGCCAACCCATTTATTTAACAAAATAACAGTCATTTTACATGTTGAATCTACCACAGGGGCTAGTGCAATGCCTGACATACACTAGGTTCCAGTTGTGTACACTTTTTTTCAAAAGATATTTATCAAACATCTACTATGTTCCTGGCACTTTTCTAAGTGTCAGGAATATATTCAGGATTGGAAGGAAAATTGTTGTTCTCAGGGAGTTTAAGATTCTAGCTGGAGGTCAGTAAGGGAGAGTTAGATAAGGACCGCAAAGTATTAGTAAGTGAGTTATATGGTATATCTGAAAATGATAATGCCTGTGAATGGAAAAGGAAAAATAGAGCAAGGTAAGGGGTATTGGGTATGCTGATGGGAGATGAATGGCAGGTTTCAGTAGGGCTTAATTAGGAATGTGATGTTTGTGCAAGAGATAGAGTGGAGAGTATTAACTTCACAAATGGCAGGGGAAGAGGGATTCCAGGTAAAGGGAACAGCCAGTGCCAGGTCACTAAGGGAGGACCATGCCTAAATTGTATGAATAGCAGCAAGGGGGCAGGGACAGTGTGGCTGGGACAAAGTGAGCAGAGGAAGTGAAAGTACTAGAAGATGAAGTTAAAGCAGTAATAGAGAATCGGGTCATGTGGCAACTTCAGCATGTACAATATAGGTTTTTGGGTTTTTGAGCAGAGAACTTCCGTGGCCTCATTTGCCTTTTTTTTTCTTGTACAGTAATTTTCCTTTTTACTGGACAGTAAAATTCTCTTATTCATGTACATTTCTGTGATCTTTAGTAAAGGTTCATATACAAGTCATATCGTCACTACATCATTCCAGAAAAGTCCTTTGTGCTGCCCCCTTTTTGACTCAACATTTCAAAGAATGATTCTGGATGCTCTTTGGATATAGAGTGTGCCTCTCAGACTGTAGGGAGTCAAACTTGGATGCAGAAGACCAGTTATGAGGCTTGCACAGCTATCAAGGTGAGTGGTGATGGGAGCTGGCACAGGGTGTGTAGATATTTTTGATGGGTGGTATGAGAATAAGACAGGAGAAAAGGATGATATTAATATCCTGACTTTTGCCCTAAGCTCAGAGAAGGGCTGGAGTCATCCGTTACTGAGATGGGACAGGCTTGCAGGTGGAGCCCATTTGAAGGGGAAGATAATTGTTTAACTCTGGGTATTTTGAATCTAAATATCTATTAGATATGCAAGCAGAGGTATCACCAGGGAAGGCTGCTGAATTGAAATGTACACATTAATGTGTGGAAACCGGTGTGCACACTGTAAGAGAAACAACTGACAAAAAAATCTGTGATTCTTATAGAAGCGACTTGTCAGTCTTAAGCATTCAGAGGTGCTTGAGTAATCTGATAGCCCAAGATTGGTATCTGCCACATATTTTTTTTTATTGTCCTTCACTTCTTTATTCATGCTTTGGTAGAAAGATATATTTACTTTATGTGCAGAAAATACCACAAAGTTCAGTACAGCTCTAATTGTCCTGGTGTTTGCGTGACTTGTTAATTGAAAAAAATAACCTGTGTTAGGAGTAAGGAAGAACTGGTTCAGAGGATTCTTTTTATTCTGCAAAAGTTGTTTGACTCCAGGAAGAACTTTTGGTGTTTGACTTTGGGTCACTGTGTATCGATTTGCTCACTTCTGATGTCTGTAGCTGTCATTGCACTTGAATTGAAGAAGAGAGAACTGAAGAGAAGGTTAAAATTAAAAGCAAGATGCGAGATTACTTGGCCAAGAAAAAAAAAAGGAGAAAAAAGAAAAGACAAACCAAATGGGATACAAAATTATTTATATAGTCTCATCTCAAATTAGATTGAAAACTTGTATGTACATGTACAGAATACATTCTGGAAAGTGCTAACAGTTGTTATCTCTGTGTTGCTAATTGATGGGAGAGTTTGCTTCATTTTAAATTTTTTTCCTATGTTTTCAGGACTTTCTCAATGAACAGATACATTTTTCTTTTTAAAACTTGTTCAGGAAATGTTTATTTAATATGGAGTTAAGTCCTGGACTTGGGATAGACCAGTGAACGAGGCAGAAAAAGTCTTTGCCCTCAGAGAGCTAATAGTTTCATAAGATCATGTGAAATTGTTATAATTTTTTAATCAGAAAAAAGATACAGTAATTAATGAAAAAAGAGTGCCAGTGAGCTTGTCTAGTTTCATTGGCTTTTTTAATGTCCCAATGATACTGAGCGAGTTTTTTTTTTTTTTTGAGATGGAGTTTCGCTCTTGTTCCCCAGGCCAGAGTGCAGTGGCGTGATCTTCGCCTACTGCAACCTCCACCTCCCAGTTTCAGGTGATTCTCCTGCCTCAGCCTCCCGAGTAGCTGGGATTACAGGCTCCTGTCACCACTCCCGGCTACTTTTTTGCATTTTTAGTAGAGACAGGGTTTCACTATGTTGGCCAGGCTGGTCTCGAACTGCTGACCTAAGGTGACCTACCCGCCTTGGCCTCCCAAAGTGCTGGGATTACAGGCGTGAGCCACTGAGTCCGGCCAGTGAGAGAGTTCTTTATGGATCATTCTCCATTCGTGTTTATCCCTGTTACAGTTGTCTCAGAGGGTCTAAGAACAGACATTTGTGACTGTGGGGACTCCTGGCTGCATTTTGGAAGTCACTTGTGTAGTGTGGTGTATCTGGTAGTCATAGGGCATGGGTAATCACTTCACTTAACCACAGAAAGGAACTGTATAAGGCCCAAATATGTGGCAGTCCTGGGATCAAATGGTCCCACCACAGAGCAGCAGAAAGCATCCTAGTTTTTTGGCAGAAGCTTGGGTAGATGGTTGCACCTGCTGCCATCATGACCTGGGTAAGACAAGTCACCTGGTCTTGCTAAGCCTCTGTTACCTTATCTGGAAAATACTTGGGATGAGCTGGTAGAATCTGAGATGTTCTGACTCCAGGATTTGCACAGTGGTGGGGCTGGACAATGTGATTCATACACAATGGATATGTGTATGAATGTAATTATCCAATCTTCTTTCTGCTTTGGGAGGCTCAGTGCCAAGTCTATGTTTTGTATTAGTGACCCCCACCCCTCCCCCGCAAAAAAATGCATCGCTTTAGGAGAGCTTGCAGGGAATATCTGTTCGTTCTCTCTCTCTCTCTCTGTCTCTCTCTCTCTCTCTCTCTCTTTGGAGACAGAGTGTTACTCTGTCACCCAGGCTGGATTGTAGTGGCGCGATCTCACCTTGTGGCAATCTCCATCTCCCAGGCTCAAGTGATTGTCGTGCCTCAGCCTCCCAAGTAGCTGGGGGTACAGGGATGTGCCACCACGCCCCGCTAGTTTCTTGTATTTTTAGTAGAGATGGGGTTTCACCATATTGGCCAGGCTGGTCTTGAACTCCTGACCTCAAGTGATCCACCCACCTCGGCGTCCCAAAGTGTTAGGATTACAGGCGTGAGCCATGGCATCCGGCCTGAATATCTGTTCTCATTGAGAGACTTGGACCCATGAAGATTTCATTTTCCCCCATGACTGTCTCTCCTTGTAGGGTTAAATATGTTTACTGAAGTTGGCATCCAGCTCTTATATTTGTTAGTGATTGGCTAGATGCCACAAGTGGGAACAAAGAAGAATAGGAGAGGATAATTTTATACTTCAAGATTTGGAACCTGCAAAAAATGTTTTTCTGATATCTTCTCTATACTGGATCTCATAGCTGGTTGATTTTTCACCCTCCTCTTTTTTTTCCCTTTCTTCTTGTGTGCAAATGTTGGTAGGGTGATTTCTTTCTAATTTTATCAAATACAGTATGTCCAGAAACAAAACAGAACCATGTTTCTGTGTGTGATTCCTGGCAGAAATGGTGCGATTTCATCTCAGGATAAAACTGTGAATTTATGGGAAGCAACATGGTATGGGTGCTTAGGGAAAGCAAAAGGAATACATAGCCTGGTTGCCAGAGTCGCCTTTGTCTTGGCGGCTGGAGGAAATCACTAGTGATTTGTGGGAGCTGAGGCTCCTGAGGATGGAGGCAGAACCCGTCAGTCGCTCAACAAGCAGGCATGCTGGGTAGAAGGCCAAGGGGCGGACAGCATTGCATTTCCAGTAGAATCACATTATTTATTCATTCAAGTTACACAAGTCGTGTGTGAGAGTGTGTGAGAGAGAGAAAGAGAGACAGAGACAGACCACAAACAGGAGCGAATAAAGGCAAATAAAAGAATGTGGTTGATTCTGCCTGCCTTAGAGTCTGTGCCTGAGCCAGGGTGAGATGAGAGACATGGTTCGACTATTCTCAGTTCCCAGAAGCCTCCCATGGCATCAGCACCTTGATGAGCCAAGTGTGAGTCTGCTGTGTAAAGACACACATTTTGTATACAGCCTGGCTCCTTAAGTGTAAGCCATCTTCTTCATCCAGGGCTCACCTGGAGAAACGTAGCACTGTTCTAACACTAAAGGCAAACTGGTGGTGTTGAATTTAGTGAGAGTAGAATATTATATTTTGTGGATAGTTTAAGGGATTCTTCAAGGACTGTTTTGACAGCTGTGCAGGGCCAGGATTGGGGTGACACGAGGAGGCACTCACCACCGGCACAGAATTGAAGGGAGTGCTAGAAACCTCAGTAATGAGGATAAATAATATTTTAATGTAATATTTTTTAATCAAAATTATTTTAAGTGAAGATAGGAGCCGTGTTTGATTTTTCATTTTGCCTCAGGCTTTGATATGGCTCAGTCCTGCACTGCTCTGATTTTGCCTTTGTTTAAAACTGATGTTTTATTCATAATGGATTCTTTGCATTATTTTTATTTTAAAAAATATTGCATGAAATATTATTTCTTTCATATGTGGAGGGTTTTTTTGGCGTATCCTTTAAATTTACATTCCAGGATTATGATTCATTTGTTTCACTCTAGTCCAGCTCTGCCTGTGATATTTGCCTTGACTTCTAACTATAGAAACCCTGAGTAAAATGTAACTCCAAGGGACAAAAAGAGCACCTAGGGTGACTGTCTTCAAGTAGCTGAGTTATTATAGAGTATTAAGTGTGTATGTGGATCGAACTTAATGTGCCATGGTATGTGAAAGACTACTTACATATTTACTTACAGCTATTTGTTGAACACTTACTCTGTGTCTGGCACTGTTCTAGGCACTAGGGTTATATAAACTAGACAAAATGTCTGAATTTGTGGAGTCTACATCCCAGGGGTAACCATACATCATCTCTAGTCCTGAAGACAACTCTGCAATATAAGTATCAATTTACAGGTAAGAAAAGTGAAGCTCAGAGAATAATCCTGGTGGCAGATACCTAAATGTGGTATTGTGTAGCAAGGAATCTAGTAGTGAAAGGATTCAGAAAAAGTCAAGTTTATTATGACCTGAGCTTAGTCAATAGGAGGCTTCCTGGAATGTATGAGTTCTGAATTGGCTCTTAAAGGAAACCGTTACTTAAATGCAAGACAAAATGCAGATAGCAGTACAACGCCCATTTTTCTTGATTTAAGCAAAGCAACAAGATAGCACAGAGACAGCCTGGCAAAAAGATGAAGATAAAAACGTATTTGCCTACTTCAGTCAGGCATCATCAGCATCATCAACAAGACCCCTGGATGGCAGAGCGGGTTCACCATTTGTATTAGCTCCAGCCTGTTAGAGCTGGAATCTTTTATTCAGGCTCAGAGAGGAAGAGTGCGGGGATTGATTAGCATTGTCTACGTAGGATTGACAAGGATCACCACTAATTTCATGCTAATGTGTCACACATGTCATGATATTGGTGTCACTATATTGATTGTTCTAGCACCCTGAGCTGAATTTTCAGAGGGCCACTGTTAGAATTATTATCAAACAGGTTATTAATACGTGTTACTTGATTAATTAGATATTTAGAAACAAGAAGCAAACAGAAAACCGCTAAAAATGCTAAGTATGCATGCTCTACATTTTATAAAATCTGTGTGTATATATACATAAAGTAATTAGAAAACAAAATTAGACAAATATCTAATGACTCTAAAAACATCTTTACTGAGGTAGAATTAATATACAATATCCTGTCCATGCTTAGAATGTATGATTTGATAAGTCTTGACTTGTGCATATACCCATAAAACCAGCACCACAATTAAGAAAACGAACATACATTAGCTCCCCCAAAAATGTCCTTGTGCCCCTTTATAATCACTCTCCTCTACCCTGTATCTCCCGATTTCAAGACAACCAGTAACATGTTATCTGGTGCTAAGTTTGTTTTATCTAGAATTATATGTGAATGTAATCATGTGGTATGTATTTTTTTTGTGGCATCAGGAATCTGACTTCATTCGTAGCATAATAGTGAATTATACATCATTCACTAGCAGAATTTTTTGAGAGCCATTCATGTTGTAGCATATAGCAACAGCTCACTATTTTTGTTGCTGAGTAGTATCTCATGGTATGGATGTATCATCTTTTGTTTGTTTATTCACCCATTGATAGGTATTTGGTTTGTTTCCAGTTTGTCTATTACAGATTAAGCTGCTATGAACATTTGTGTGTAAGTCTTTATATGGATGTATGCTTTCATTTCTCTTGAGTAAATATCTGTGGGTGGAATTACTGGGTCACATGGTCATCTCTCTTTTTAAGAAATCTCTTAACCTTCCCAGAGTGATTGCATCACTTTATATTCCTGCCCAGCAGTGTAGGAGAGTTTCACTTCTTCCACATTTTCATCAATACTTGCTTTGGTCAGTCTTTTTAACTTTAACCTTTCTAATAGTATATCTTGGTACCTCATTATGGTTTTAATTTTTATTTCTATAATGACTAATTTTTCATGTGCTCATTTGCCATCCATATGTCTTTTTTGTTAAAGTGTTTAATTCAAATATTTTACTCTCTTTTTAGTTGGTGTTTTGTTTGGAACTCTATAGATTCTGAATATAAGACCTTTTTCAGATATGTGATTTGTACATACTTTTTCCCAATATGTGCCTTACGTTTTCATCCTCTTAACAGTGTCTTTTGGGGAACAGAGATTTTTAACTATGAAGCAATACAAATTACCAATTGTTTCCTTAATAGATTGTGGTTTTGGTGTGATATCTGTTTTTACTTAACCTAAAGTCACAAAAGTTTTCTTCTATAAGTTTTATGGTTTTCGGTTTTAGTTTTATGTCTATGATCCATTCCGAGTTGAAGTTAATTTTTTTAAATGTGAAAGTCCAATTGTTTTAGTGTCACTTGTTGAAAAGATTTCCTTTCTCCACTTAATTGTCTTTGCATCTTTGTTGGTAATTAGTTGTCCATATATGTGAGGGCTTATTTCTTGATTCTCTATTCTGTTTCACTCATATACTCACCTTTCTTTACACCAGTACAACACTGTCTTGATTACTGGAGATTTATAATGTCTTGAAGTTAGGTACTATTAGTTTTCCAACTTTATTCTTCATTTTCAAATTTGTTTTTGCTATTCTAGGTCCTTCAATATTCCATGTAAATTTTAGAATCACTTTGTCCATTTTGACAAAACGTATGGTAGGATTTTGGTTGGGATTGCGTTGAATATCTAGATATAGATGAATATGTGGAGAATGGACATTTTAAAAGTATTGCCCATGAATAGGGTAGATTTTAAAATTTCTCTCAGTACATTTTTTTTTTTTTTTTTTAGTTTCTATGCAGGTCATTTACATCTCCAGTCAGATTTACTGCTGGGTATTTTATATATTTTGTTGCTGTCATAAATGCTGTGTTAAAATTTTTGTTCCTGAAAATATCTATTGGGTACTGTACTTATTACCCAGGTGATGAAATTACCTGTACAGAAAACCCCCATGGCAAGCAGTTTACATATATGTATGTATATATATATACATATATATATGTAAAAACCTGCACATGTATCCCGGAACCTAAAATAAAAGTTAAAAAATAAAAAATAAAATTTCTATTTCTGATTACAAGTTACAAGCAGAAAGAAATATAATAGATTTTTATATATTGATCTTGTATTCTTTAGTGTGTCTAAACTTGCTTATTACTCCCAGTAGTTTTATTGTAGATTTTATCAGATTTTCTACATAGATCAGGGGTCAGCAAACTTTCTTAAAAGGCCAGATAGTAAATAATTTAAGCTTGTGTGTGTCTGTGGCAATTACTCAACTGCCCATGGTAGTTGAGTAATTAGTAGGGTGAAAGCAGCTGTAGATAATACACAAGTGAATGGGTGTGACTGTGTTCTTATGAAACTTAATAACAAAACTGCCACATTTTGCCAAACCCTGACACAGCTAACCATGCCATCTGAGAAATAATAAAAGTTTTACATCTTCCTTTTCTATTCTAAATGCTTTTTATTTCCTTTCCTTGCTTTATTGCACTGGCTATAGCCTCTAGTAAAGTGTTAGACAGAAAAGGGTAATGAAGATATTCTTGTTCTCAATTTTAGGGAAAAAACATTCACTCTTTCACCATTAACTATGATGTTAGCTGCAGGTTTTTCATAAATTCTTTTCATCAGGTTGAAGAAGTTCTTTGCCATTTATAGATTACCAGGAGTTTTTTTTTTATTTTTAAATCAGCAATAAATGTGGGAGTTTCTGAAATACTTTTTCTGTGTCTACTGAGAGGACTATGTGGATTTTATGTAGTTTATTAGTGTGATATATAATTTATTAGTGTGATAAATTATATTAATAGATTTTCCAATGTTAAAATAATCTTACATGACTGGGATAAACTCTATTTCCCTATTTGCTCATGATGTATTATGCTTTTTATTTATTGTTGAATATGATTGGTTAAATTTTTATTTAGAATTTTTGCATCTTTGTTCCTGTGAAATATTGGTTTGCAATTTTTTTGTTCTAATGATTTTAAATATGTCTATAATATTAAGTAGAAAAAATGAGTTGTATAATATGTGCAGTTTGTTTTTATTTTGATTAAAATAAATTAACCCCTTATATATGTATCTATATGTTTATAGTTTTGTGAAAGGAATGAATATCAAACACAAAAATATTAACACTGGTTATTTGGGGAATGTAATTGGCAGATAGGGATAAGATGAGTAACTTTGTCTTCATATCTGTATAACATTTTTTTTACTTGTCAAAATACGTGCAAGTCTAAATTAAAATTCTTGAATAGACTACACCTCTGAGAAATGTAAATGTTGGAGAGAAACAATCTGTTCTTTGGCCAGAGTTTGACCCTTCTGGAAACAAATCAAATGTTCCTATGATCTAGTTGCTGCTTTGGGGAAAAAAGGTAGTGTAGTGGGCATGGGTTTTTGTAACTAGACAGGTCTGACCTTGAATCCTGGACCTGCTATGGGCCTTTGATTTCTCTGCGTTTAAGATGAACATAATAATACTTATGGGACAATATTGTTATAAGGATAATAAGGATAATAAAGGAAAACAGCATATCATAAATGGTAATTTCTACTACCACTACTATGGCTGCTTCTACTTATAGGATCAGAGAAACTCAAGGTCTCTAGTTCAACTTTGCACTCAATGCCTGAGTCCTGTCTCCGTGTTTGACAGGCAGCCTCTTGCCTCTGCTTAACTACTTTGAAGGATAGATGTCTGTGACCCTGTGATGCAGTCTTTCTTCCCCTGGAGTGGACAGTAGTAACTCCCCAGCTGGTTATTCAGTTTCCCCTCATTTTGTGCAATGCAATAGAATGCACTCTGGAAACATTGGCTGGCTTTCTTTCCCTTTAACACCATTTGCTTGTTCCTAGTTCCTGGTGTTTACATTTACTGCCCTCTTAGCCTTGGCAAATTCAGCTCTCCTCATTTAAGGTCATTTGACCTTAGATCATCCTCTGATCTCTTAGAGTATTAATTTAATTGTTTATAAAAATGAGATAATTATAGTTCCTTTCTATAGGGTGATATTGATAAGATATTATTCTTAAAGTATTGAGGATGGTACCTGGCACATAATAAATGCTCAGTATTGTAAACTAGTCTACTCTGCCTCATTTTTGTTAGTCAGAATTAAATAGGATGATTACCTTCCTCGTTTTTCACATTATTGTCCTGTTAAAGGATAATCTTTTTCTGTCCCTTTCTCCTGTATACTTTTTTCTAATTTGTGCATATATGCTTATTTTTTATCTCCACCCAAAGAGTAGAACTTTAGTTTTTTAATCTGTTATGAGGTTGGGTATATTTGCCAAAACTGAAAAAATGAGTTAAAGCCCTCATTTGGTGCCTAATTTTGTGCATCAAATGATCAGTACTGTCTTATAGCTATTTTTGGTCAGCATGCCATTTATGTTTTTGTTTAATACATGTGCACATTATTAATGGGACAAAATCAAACACAGAGGCCAGTGACATCTCTCAAAACGTATTCATCAACTACACCTATGGGTGTAGTTGTCCTGTTACGCATGGCTCCTCCTTTATAGAAAAACCCTACCAAATGTCTTTTTGAAATCTAGTTGCCCTTTGCTGTATTATTTGACCTATTGTCTAAAACAAAGTGTAATAAATTACTCAGAGAAGTTGGTTGCTTATCGCTTTTTCTGAATAAACCTATGGTATATTCTAGTAATCATTACTTGCTTTTAAAGGATACATTTAGTGAACTCATTAAGTAGTAAGACTTGTTAGTCTTCTGAAATTTTAGCTAGGGATTCAATTTAAGATCATTTGGATCCTTTTATAAATAACACTATACCATTTTCTTTGAGTGATAAGCCCTCATCACATGTATTCATCATTTAAAATACCATTTAAAGAGCATTTATTTCTTCCACATTTTCTGAAACACAAAATTTGAGGAAAAATTTGTATCATATATTTGTATTGCCTTGATGAAAACTTATATAAAATAATTTGTATACAGTTGAGTAAAGGGAGGAAAATGACCCTCAGTTTCATTCACTGCAATTTTTAAAATAGAATTTTCCAAGCCGTTAATCCCTAATGCAGGCAGGTGCATTTGGGTTTTTCATTTTCTGGAAATATTTCATGTTCAAAATTGTAATGAAAAGCAATAAAAAGCAAACTGGTTTATAGGTTTTTGGAAAAAGAGATGACTTTTCTGTTTCTTCTCTTCAAGTTAACAAAATTAGCAAGTGCATCTGATTTTGAGGCTTTCCAAAAAAATGTAAGCCTCCGTTTCTACAGATACCATTGGCAAAATTGAGTGTTATTCGGTAATTGAGTTTGGTTTGCTTGTTTTGTCCTAGCAGTTCTTTTGAACCATTGTATTTGAAAGAGCCCCCCAAACAACCAGGCAGCCTGAAACGGGGTAGGAGAGTGAGAAAAAGAGTTTAGTCTCTATTTCTTGCTTATTTTGTTTTTATATGTAACATGATCTGGATTTTTTCCACATAAGTCAAAAGAATGGTGCAATGAACTTAGATGCCCAGATGCCCATCATGTAGCTTCAACAGTGGTCAACTTTTAGCCAATCTTATTTCATCTGTATCACCATTCTGGTTTATTTTCCTGCCACCGAATTATTTTGTAGCAAATCCTGGATATCATACAATTTCATTTTTAAACATTTCCATGTGTTCAATCTGATTTATAAGCCTTAAATATAAATGGCATTCCTAATATTTGACATTCTTTATACTTTAGTGCAACTTTTAATTTCTAAGCTATATATAATTTTTCTTCATTGTTATATTTTTAATCTGAGCTGATTAAACATTTTTTTTTTTTTATGAAGTATTGTAGAAAGGCCAGGTGTAGTGGCTCATGCCTGTGATCCTAGCACTTTAGGAGGCTGAGGCTGGTGGATCACTTGAAGTCAGGAGTTTGAGACCAGCCTGGCCAACATGTTGAAACCCTGTCTCTACTAAAAACATAAAAATTAGCTGGATATAGTGGTGCATGTCTGTAGTCCCAGCCACTTGGAGGATGAGGCAGGAGAATCTCTTGAACCCAGGAGGCTGAGGTTGCAGTAAGCCAAGATCGCACCACTGTACTTCAGCCTTGGCAACCGAGTGAGACTGTGTCTCAGAATAATAATAATAATAATAATAATAATAATAATAATAATAATAATGATAATAAAGAAAGAAAGAAGCACTGTAGGAATGGAAAGAGCTCACCTAGTGGTTGAGAGAGTATACTACCTCTCATCTTTCTAATGTTGCAAAGTCCTCCTTGCCTTGTCCCATCTAAGTATTTCAGTAAAAATAATTCAAGTATTTCAGTAAAAATAATTCACCAGATAAATATTCTTGAAACTTTTTTTTTTTTCTGAGACAGGGTCTCGCTGTATTGCCCAGACTGGAACGCAGTGGTACAATCATGGCTCACTGCAGCCTTGATGTCCCAGGCTCAAGAGATCTTCCCATCAGCCCCCCAAGTAGAAGGGACTACAGGCGCATGCCATCATGCATGGCTAATTTATTTTTTGTTTTTAGAGACAGGGTCTCATTATGTTTCCCAGGCTGGTCTCCAACTTCTGGGCTCAAGCAGTCCTCCCACCTTGGCCTCTCAAAGTGCTGGGATTACATGCACAAGCCACCGTGCCTGCCGTCTTAAACATTTAAATCTTAAAGGATCCTTTAAAATTGTGGAAGGATTTATATACTTTAAACTTACCTACAGTTTTGATTTCCACAGTGCACACATATTCATTTGTATAAGTGGAGAAGGTTTTTTCAATCTTTTTTATAGTGGTAAAATATACATAACAAAAATTTACCATTTTAACCATTTTAAGTGCATATTTCAGTCACATTAAATACATTATGCTATTGTGCAACCATCATCAACATCCAACTCAAGAACTTTTTCATCATCCTACACTGAAACTATGTACTCATTAAATGACAGTTCTCCATTCTCCTCCCTCTCGCCCCTGGTAACCACAATTCTCCTTTCTGTCTCCATGAATTTGACTATTCTAGGTACTTCTTATAAGAGGAATCATGCAATATTTTTCCTTTTGTGTCTGGATTATTTCATTTAGCATAATGTCTTCAGAGTTCATCCAGGTTGTAGCATGTGTCACAACTTCATTCTTATTTAAGGCTGAATTGTATGTACCACATTTTGTTTATCTATTCATCTATCTATAGGCACTTGGGTTGCTTGGCAAGTTATTTTTAAAAAGAATTTAAAGTACTGTGTGAGCCAAACAAAACATTTATCAGCTGGCTGGATTTAGCACATGGGCTGCTATTTGATGTCAACTGCTCTATATGGAAAATAAAATTATACGTGGATATTATTATGAACTCATTGCTATAGGTCATAGAAACTTTGGAAATGCGGAGGATAAAGTAACCCTGGAAATCACAATAAAATGACAGACCTCTTTCTATTTAAAGGCTTGACTAATTAGAAAGTTATGGAGCATTATCAGAGACTTTACTGAACACCCTGAACTGGTATTTAATAGTCAACATGGCTCAAGCCCTAGAGCAAACTTGGCAGCAATCCTTCTCCTTTGGGAGCCAACATACAGCACCCTGCACAAGGTTTTGCCCAGAGCAGGCGCTAAACAGGTGTAGAACGAATGAATACATTTTAGACTTGAGTGTGCAGTCCCTATTATCCAGTACACTGCTATAGAAATGAAATCTATTGGCAAATCAGCCAACCTGAGCAGAGCATGAGTATAATCAAGTGAGAGCTCCTTGCTCATACGCAGTGACTCCCCGACTCACTGTTTCACCAAGTTGACACTATTATGTGCCCTGATTTGATGATGGTTAAGGTTTTACCTGATCAACCATAACAAGGAATCACCTATATTGCCTGCATGGATATAACAAGGGCTTTCTAGCTCCTGTGCACAACCAAAAAGAAAAAAAAAAGTGTCCAGTCAAAAAATATTTTATTTTTATTGCCATGAAGCTTGGGATATGAACTGGGGAAACGAGAGGGAAATGATATGGGGAAACAATTCCTGCTTCACTATCAACAAGTGCCTTGCCTGCTCCTTACCCAGATGTGTGAAGAATGAATGATGAGTTGGTCTTTGGGTGGGAGTTTGGCCCTTCACCAGTCTTCCACGTTAAGTGCCTCTGGTTGTGTCCTTTACCCGGTAAATAGATTCCCTTAGGACTGTGCTTTGAAAGGTTTCTGTGTTGGAATTGACATGGATTCTGACCTCAGGATTTATATCCTGATATCCCTTTGAAGGAAACATTTAACTACCAAAGAGATTTGCTAGAGTCATGTTCAGCCTAAATTAAATATAAATATCACATAACATGCCAGTGGGATACGTTACAGCAACGTATGAAGATTGCATGAGCTTCCCTTTTTTTTGTTGTTTTTGTTTTTGGAGAAAGAGTCTCCATGTGTCACCCAGGCTGGAGTGCAGTGGCATGATCATGGCTCACTGCAACCTCTACCTCCCAGGTTCAAGTGATTCACCTTCCTCAGCCTCCCAAGTAGCTAGGATTACAAGTGTGTGCTGCCACGCCCAGCTAATTTTTGTATTTTTAGTAGAGGTGGGGTTTCGCATGTTGGCCAGGCTGGTCTTGAACTCCTGACCTCAAGTGATCCACCAGCCTCAGCTTCCCAAAATGCTGAGATTACTGGTGTGAGCCACTGTGCCCAGCCATCCTTTTCCTCTTTCTTCTTTGGTTAGATGTGATGAAATGATTTGGGATACAATTACAGGGCTTTCCATCAATGCTTTCCGTAGTAGGACTTTTTTTATTTTTAAATTTTAGTAGTTGTCCTTCTGTTAGAGCTATTTTCTGGTCTTTATCCATCAGCCTTGCCTGTGTAATTTTTTTTTTCATGGTCAGTGGGGGTCATTCCTTTTCATACTTTTTACACAGTCAGCGTGAGTGTGGAGGGAGCAGGAAGCAGGAATGGCCTCAAATGTAGACTTTTGTCATTATCTCCAAACAAAAGTTGATGTACAGCCATGTGGATACATTCACAAGATTTTAATTAATATATCTAAAAAAAGCTCATCTTTTAAAACCACATTTAGCTATCTCATACTAGAGGTCTTAACATTATGAGTGTCCTGGGCCTCTTCTGACATCTCAGAGGTCCTGCCAGTTTTGTCTGCTTTCAGAAGCAATGCCACTTAAAAGTGTCTGTATGTCATTCCTTTTCATACTTTTTACAAGTCAGCTCCCTCCCTGTGGAGGGAGCAGGGAGCAGGAATGGCCTCAAATGTAGACTTTTATCATGATCTCCAAACAATGTCGATGTACAGCCATGTAGATGCATTCACAAGATTTTAATTAATATATCTAAAGACGGCCGGATGCTGTGGCTCATGCCTATAATCCCAGCACTTTGGGAGGCCCAGGCGGGTGGATCACCGGGTCAGGAGAGGTCTCAAAAATTATGAGTGTCCTGGGCCTCTTCTGACATCTCAGAGGTCCTGCCAGTTTTGTCTGCTTTCAGAAGCAATGCCATTTAAAAATACATTTAAAAATATATTGTCTTTTGGGTTATTTATTGCTGAATGACTAAACTCTTGGACACAATTATATGATCCACATTCCAAAACAAACAAACAAACAAACAAACAAAAACCCAGTAACACGGACTTGGGAAAACTGACTTCTGAGTATGTATGCCACCTTAGACAAAGCCTTAACTTTGGAACCAGATTTCCCTGGGTTATTAGTGGGAGGTATATGCTTTTTGCTTTTGCTGCCATTTACATGTAACTATCACAGAGATCATTTGTGTTAACTATGGAAAAAAAAAAAAGGTGAGCAAAACAGCAGACATAAAAATCACCCTGAATCTTACTACTCAGTCCCTGTTAATGTTCTGATGTTAACAGCCTTCATGCCTTTCTGAGTACATAGATAATATATGTAGATAAGTGACATGTGCCTATATTAACCAAACTTGCTTTATGTCCTTATTTTTATTTTTTATTTTTTTTTGAGACAGAGTCTTGCTCTGTTGCCCAGGCTGGAGTGCAGTGGTGCAGTCTCAGCTCACTGCAGCCTCCACCTCCTGGGTTCAAGCGATTCTTCTGCCTCAGCCTCCCGAGTAGCTGGGACTACAGGTGCCTGCCACCATGCCCAGCTAATTTTCATATTTTTAGTAGAGATGGGGTTTCACCATATTGGCCAGGCTGGTCTCGAACTCCTGACCTTGTGATCCGCCCGCCTCAGCCTCCCAAAGTGCTGGGATTATAGGCGTGAGCCACCACAAACTTAAAATATTATGACGTTTTTCTCTGCCTGTAAATATTACTGTTGCATCATGTGGTAAGGACTTCCTCCAAATCCACTGTCCGTTGTGTGATAGCAATGTTTCTTTTTTTTTTTTTTTTTTGACACGGAGTCTCGCCCTGTCGCCCAGTCTGGAGTGCAGTGATGCGATCGTGGCTCACTGCAGCCTCTGCCTCCTGGGTTCAAGCAATTCTCCTGCCTCAGCCTCCAGAGTAGCTGGGATTATAGGTGTGCACCACCACACCCGGCTAATTTTTGTATTTTTAGTAGAGACAGGGTTTCACCATGTTGACCAGGCTGGTCTTGAACTCCTAACCTCAAGTGATCTGCCTGCCTCAGCCTCCCAAAGTGCTGGGATTACAGTCATGAGTCACCGTGCCCGACCATAAGCAATGTTTCTTAATGAGAGTAGTGTTGTCCAAACTGAGCCACACTGTCATACTGGAGAAGTTGAGGATCTGAGAAGTGAAGTCACTCAAAACACTGACTTTAACAACCGTGAACACAAATGACCACTGAGTTTTGTTTTTTGTTTTGCTTTTGATTTTCTTAACTACTACTGTCTTGAAATATTTTCTGGCCATGAATGGTCCTATGTATTTCTAATTAGTATTGACATACTAGGTTTGGCTATATATTGTGGATTAACATTAAGGAATATGATAGACTATTGATAAAAATAATTATTTTCTATTGGAGTTAGCCTGCACCTGACATAAGCTACAGCATCAGATACTGAAGAAAAGGGAATGGAAAAAGATGTCTTAAATCATGCACCTTTTTTCTCTTGCTCAGCTGTCACTAGAGATGTGTTTCACCTTTAATGAATTGTTTGTGCCCGTATATATGTGTGTGCACCCGTGTGTATGCTGATGTGCTTGCAGGCTTGTTTTGGAGCCTATTCGTGTTATCTAGGTTTGGAAAGAATGAAATAATCGTCACAGTATCTCAGCAGTTCAGCTGGCCTTGACTGAAGGTCGATTGTTTTTAGGTCCTCTGGGTAAGAGTATTCAGGAGATGGAGCCCCCACTGGCTCATCTCTAAGTTGTCACCTCACTTGGTCTACAGGCTTTGGAAGCATATTGTGTTTCTGCCATTGATGAGCTGGTTGGCAGTATGGGGCCAGTAAACTTATTCTCACACAGGCATTTAATGATGAGAAAAAAATTGTGATATCATTTAAGAGCACTTTTGACAACTAATCCCTCTGCTAAAGACCCTAGCTGCAGGTTAGAGTACTGTTAGGACATCGGAATGCACACAAATAAATCTTTCCGTTGCTATTGAACATGAGACGAGGCTGTGTCTATGTTTAATTTCCCAGGGGATTCAGGACTAGCCACTGCATGGCCTACTATTTTTACTTATTTATTTATTTATTTTTGGTCTTCATGTTGTTACTATTGTAAATTGGATGACAATTCTTTGTCCATAGTTATTTCAAGATTTCTGCTGGGAGTTATTTATAAGCCATCTCTTTTTAAAATCTCATTCATTCTTATGCCATCTCATTGTCTCTTTGCCTTGGCTAGATCTATTCAGCAAACAAGAAAAATCAGAATTAGATATGGAAGAAGGCCAAAAACAGGGGCAGAAGATGGCAGTGGAATTATTAAAATCAGGACATTCATGCAGCACATTGTAATTGTAAAAGGAAGGAAAGAATCTTGAAAATAGATTTGTTCTGCCTTTTTTTTTTTCTTAGAAGATTTGTTATCCATTTTCGTAGCCTTGTCTAAGGCAGGGGAGCTGGTCCAGGCTTCATGAGGTCATTTGCCAGCCCTGCACTCCGTTCCAGTTGGTTTTTCCTGACCTAGTCAGGAGGACGGCTTTGAGAAGAGTGAAACAATGGGAAAGCGTAAATGCAGGAGCTCCGATGGCCCTTTCAGCCTCTGGAGATATGCATCTTGTTCCCTAGGAGCCCAGTTTCCAGTTGCATGAAAGCCTAAATGTCATTACATGTGCCATTGCTGGAAGCCACATTTATTAAGTATTTCCCATGTGCCAGGCACCATTATCTACTTCAGTAAATGAGAAGGACTGTGAAGGCTTGTAACCATGATAATAATGAATATGAATATAAAGGCTTGGCATACTGGTCTCATACAAGTAAGCAGTCAGTAACTATCAATTGCCAGCAATATTTGTCTTGAATTTGTAACAACTCCTAGTAACTACCTAATGAATCAGCACCATCATCAACCAATTTTACTGAAGAGAACATTGAATCTTAGAGAGCAGAGTAACCTTACCCAGGGTTACTCTGCTACTAAGTGGCTAAGTCTGGGTTCAAATCCAGGTTGGTCTGATTTGACTGTTTGGTCCACTCTCAAGGTGTCTCACTCACATGTCAGGTCAGTTCACACTGGGTTTTGGCAGGAAGCTATGTGGACTTCTCCCTAGGGTTGTTTGAGGGATCTCATGGCATGGCAGGCAGCATCCCTAGAACAAAAGACCAAAGACAGAGCAAGTTGGAAGTTTTAATGTCTTTTATGACCTCACTTCAGGAATCACATTCCATCATTTCTGCAACATCAGGCCAGCTCTCTTCATGTGGGAGGGAGACTAACTACACTGGAGCTTGAACACCTGGGGGCAAGAATCATTGAGTGTCACCTTGAAAGCTGGTGTTCAGTTGCATACTGATGTTCCCACTGTGAGTTGCAAGCTGTCCAATAGTCTGTTGTTTGTTTTCAAACTTGCTTATATCATTGTTACTCTAACAATATAATTTAATTAAATATTATATAAACCAATGAAATGTAAGTGGGGAGGGAAAGCTGATATTTCCCTGAAAATTTATTGGAATCCATTAGGACAACTTAATAAAGTTCTCTTGCTTAAAAATTGTGTTAAATTAGGTGTACGTAAAGACTGTAAAATATAAAGGGAAGTCATAAAAAATCTAAAGCACTCAAATTGGTTTGCAAGTGTGTTTACATTATCACTGTGTTTCAAATAAGCCCAAATTAGAAATCATAGACACTGAATTATAAGTATGGTTTATATCATGAAAGATACTACAGATCCCAAACAGGGAACCTAGGTTCAAAAAAAGTTAATCTACTTTAAAAGATGGATGCAAGAATGAACACTGTGTGTGTTAAAATAAAATGCTTTAAATACATATGAATAATTTTATATGATTTCTTGCTTTGTGCAAGAATTAACTCATCGTTTACTGGTCTCATTTTTGTGTTGGAACAAGGGCTTTTAATTTATGAGATGTCCCACAAGTTCTTTCTTACCTGTTAATTATTACAAAAGGAAGTTTACCATATTGTGTTCTTTCAAGAGTCATAAATCAGTTTGGCAAATTGGCTTGCACTTGTAATCCCACCTCCCCAGAAGGCTGAGATGGGAGGATTGCTTTAGCCGAAAAGTTCAAGGCTGCAGTGAGCTATGATCTTGCCACTGTACTATAGCCTGGGAAACAGAGATAGAGCTTGTCTCTAAAAAACAAAAACAAAAAACACAACAAAGAACAAAGCATAACAAAACAAGCCAAGAGTCCTATAAGTCATTACTTTTTTACAATACTATATTTATCAATTCTAAGATGCATAGTGTTCTACATTTTAATATTTCAGAATTCAAAATGCATTCTACAATGAGTGGCATTCTGTAACTTAATTGGCAGTATTTCTTCTGCCTTGTTGCTTCATAAGCTATAATTGTTGCCTCAGATTTGATAAAACGTGGTAAGTTTTATGGTTTTGTTTTTTAGAAAATACAGTAGTCCCCTTCTTATCAACAGGGGTACATTCCAGGACTCCCAGTGGAAGCCTGAAACTGCAGATAGTACATAACCCTATATATACTCTGTTTATTCCTATACATACATACATACCTGTGACATGCATACATACCTATGTTAAATTTATAAATTAGGGACAGTAAGAGACTAACAACTATTAATAAAATAGAACAATTATAATGATATACTGTAATAAAATTTATTGTGAATAAATACATGTAGTGAATATGGTCTCTCTTGAAAAATATCTTATTGTACCATAAGCACCTATTGTCAAACTGTGGTTGAACGAGAGTATCTGAAACCACAGGAAGTGAAACTGTATTGGGGGGGTTACTGTATATTAAATTAATGTGAATCACTGGTTTGTTAGAGTTGAGTTGCGTATTTCTGCCCAGCTGTAGTTTGACTGACTCTGTCTCCACTTGCTAATAAAGTTTTAAAAGCAATGGCTTGATTTAAGAAGTGAGAAACTCATTTGATTTTCTTTCAGTGAAGGTGGTAAATATCACATCTGTATGTCTTAGTTTTGTCATGTATAAAACGAGAGTTGATGTAAATTATTTCTAAAACTCCTTTTCAGCTTGTGCATCTCAAGATTCTGAGTCTTTTCTAGAAGAAACCAGAACTTCATACTTAATCTGTCTCATGTCTCTTGTATTTTCAGGGTGTTCATAGACCCCCTAAGCTTGTTCCTGAACACTTCAGGATCCTTTGAGTTCAAGTTAAGCACCTCCTTGAATTTTGCTTCTTGTGTTTAGATTTTTCTGAGTGGTGGGTTTCGTTCCTTAAGGCTCAAGCCTTTGCAAATAATCCCCTCCTTAGTCCTGTTAGAGTTCTTAGTACCATTTGCCCCAGCCATAGATTGGGTGTCCTGTTGTTAAGGGTGAGGGAGAAAATACAACAATACGGGGGAAACAAAAGCTCTCAAAATACTTTAATAAAATGAGCTTTCTGCTATGAATAACTCATAGCTCTGCCAAATAGGGAAGATTTATTGATAGAAAAAGAAGATAGCTGTCACATTTCCAAGTTTTCCTAGCAGTGTTTGAAGATCTATAAAAGCTTTTTCTACCTGGAGGTACAAAGTCTTGACAAAAACCTCAGGTACAGAGTCCATTAGAGAAACAGGGAAAGTACCAGGTCTAACGCTGTCTAAGTGCCTTGGACAGCTTGTTTTTATTTATTCCCTGTATATCTGCCATACTGATAGTTTTGTATCCCTAAGAATTACTGAAGGAAAGATCTACTGGCGTAACCATTTTTAAAAAGTGGGCTTCGTTTGTGCTGATGCAAAAATTTATGAATCACTTTCTCTGATGCTCATATTAGCGAATGTAGTAGTTCCCATCTGGACTAATCACTGAGCAGTCTTCCTCCCAGACTTCCCTAGTGTTTGGAGATTTTGCCACATGTCTTTTGTTGTTTTTAGTGGGCACCATAGTAGAAAACCCACCCACATTGGCCTGCCTCATCATTGTGACTTTGTACCAGATGGGTTTCACTTGGTGGCTTTTCTTTGTCCTTTGCAGAGCTGTTTCTTTCCTATGTCCCTCTTTTCCTATCTGGAGGGGGAGAGGAGTGGGAGTAGCAGGAAACAGTTTACATTTCCTCCAGTTTCATTAAATTAATTGCAGATGACCGGCTCCTTTAGAATCTAGAACTATCTTTAGAATTTGTTCTAGCAGTTATAGTTTCTCCTTATTAAAGGATAGAAAAGATGATGAGTACATTTAAAAAATTCCCTAAAAATTTTATTTTAAATTTTCGTGGGTCCATAGTAGGTATATGTATTTATGGGGTACACAGAAATGCAATGCATCATAATCACATCATGGAAAATCAGTATCCATCCCCTCAAGCGTTTATCCTTTGTATTACAAACAATCCAGTTAAGAGGCGTACATTTTTCAGTGCACCATCATAATGGACGCTTTTAATTCAAAACAGGCTGATTTAGCGGCAGTAATGTGATACTTTCACTAAAGTGATAGAAAATCAACACTGATATGTACCAGGGAATCCCCTATATATTTCTCTTAAAATAGTATTATTAATTTCACAGTGGGAAGATATTAAATATTTTATCCTATATATATGGAGTTTTGTATTTTGCTAAACAGACAAGCTTTGAAGTCAGATGTGTGTTTTCATTTGTTTGTTTTTCGAGACAGGGTCTCACTCTCTCGCCCAGGCTGGAGTGTAGTGGTGCAATCTTGGCTCATTGTAGCCACGACTTGCCGGGCTCAGATGATCCTCCCACCTCAGCCTCTCGAGTAGCTGGGACTACAGTTGCATGCCACCATACCCGGCTAGCTTTTTGTATATTTTATACACATAGGGTCTTACTATGTTGCCCAGGCTGGTGTCGAAGTCTTCAGCTCAAGGGATCCTCCTGCTGGCCTCCCGTAGTGCTGGTATTACAGGCGTGAGCCACCATGCCAGGCCAAGATGTGTTTTAAATCCTGGTTTGTCACCCATGAGCCAAGAGAAGTTAGACAAGTTTTGTAGCCTTTCTGGGCTTCCACTTTCTGATCTATAAAAAGGGAATAACGATCCCTACCTTGTAGGAGTGTGGACTGATTAAAAGAAGTAGTGGATGAAATCACATAGTGTAGCCCCTGGCACACAGTAAGCACTGTATGAATGTTAGAATATTAGAGAGAAATCTATTTCAACAGAGGGCAAAGAAAAACAAGTAGAATTAAATTAAAAAATTTAAAGTAATATGTAGATAAATATTTTCAAGTTATGATTAGTATTTTGGAAACTGAAAATATTATGGACTCATTCAATCAGGTGGAAGTATCCCTGAAATTTTCAGATAGATTGATTTAAAAGTAGCTTGAGAGTTGTGGTCAAAACCTCCTTCTTCTTCATGACCCATGAAGGATGAGAAAGACTGGCTAAGAAAACTGTTAGGATTATTTAATCCTCTAATTTGGAACATAATGTTATTTAATGTAATGAATAACTGACATGAGAAAATAACATTTCTGCTAATTTTCCTTAGATGCTCAGCTTCTGAAAGGGATATTCTTAAAGAGATACTAAAGTCAGTTTTTTATTTGTGAGTTCACTGAGGAAAATGGACTCCAAGAAGAATTCTTTTGTCTTCTTTGTTGTTGTAAGACTTTTTTTTAAACTTCACCTATTGTGAAAAGGACTTGAGCTGTGACGTGTGCACTATGTATAATTTGGCCCTTTAGTTCCTTTGTGAGAAGCCTAATCTAGCAGAGGAGTAGTACTTGAGAATGAAGTTACTTAAGTTTTTTGCTTTAGAAGATTCATTGTTTTCCTCAGTTTTCTGTCATATGACTTAGAACAAATATTTGGATTTGTAGCTTATTATAATGGAAGGGGTTTTAGGTGACATATGAGCTTTTATGTCTGGTAATATAATCTATTTTCTGAGTTGGTGGTTAAAATTGTAGATTGCCAGGCTCGTCCTCTGGAAATTCTGATTCGGTAGATCAGGATGGGGTCCCAAATCTGCAGGGTTTTTTTTGTGTGTTTGTTTGTTTTTAGCATGCACCCCATTTGAAAATCAGCCAACCCATTGGAAGTGTTGGCTAAAACTCATGGGTTTCGTGGAAGTGAAACTTAGCTTTTCTGTACCATAATAACTGAATTTGAGGAAACGAATGAGAGAGAATGATGTAAGAAGATAACAGGATCTAATGTCAGCTGTTTTTTTGTTTTTGTTTTTTTCTAATAAAGAGACAGGGTCATGCTATGTTGCCCAGGCTGGTCTCAAGTTCATAGTCTCAAGTGATCCTCTTGCCTCAGCTATCATCAGCTTTGATTAAACATTGTGTGCTGATGGCCTGTCTGCTCTCTTCGTGATACTACTGGCTGTATTTTGCTTAGTAATTCTTTCCACTTGCAACCAATAGTCATAGTATTCCAGAGAGGAGGCCAATAAAGTGTCTGTCATCCATGAAAAATAAAAATCAACCAATTAAAAATGGAAACGTTTAGAAACAGATGGGGGCACTTGGACTCCTGATTGGGTATTGATAGCCTCTACGTCTATTAATAAGCAGGACATTGTACTTAACATGAGAATGATGATAATTATCCTTCAAGGGTGAGAAAGCCTATTGGTGCCCTGGACTCATAGATCTGTAAGACAGTGACAGTAGAGAGACTGCAGTCCGGACAGACCTGGATCAGATCCTATTTTATTGTTATTAATTGACTCGTGGGTAGAAGGCAGTTTATCTCCCTATTGAAGGCATACTGCAGATTGAAACTGATGGTGGATGAGGCCATGGTTGGGGGACCTCTCTACATGGTTATCTTCTATTAATTACTGATTGATTTTAGGGCTCACGTTACATGTTAACTCCCTACCAAAAGCAAATTTATCAGAGCAATTCAGTGATTGAAGGGAAGTCTTCCAGTTGTATTGCTAGGACAATTAATTCACCCACCTAATGTTTTTGAGGCCTGTCACAGAGTTCTGGAAATACTGTGGTAAGATTAGGAGACAAAACTGATGAGGAGACTGGCACTGATCGATTTCGTTAAACAAATACGTAATTACCAAGTGAGATATGCAAAAGGAGCAAGATTCCACAAGAGGATATGACAGAGGCATCTAACCAAGCATATTCATTATCTATTGCTAAGTTTTAAGGTAATTGCTTACTGAGAAAGCTAAAACGATATATTTAATGATCTCACACAGTTTCTGAGGGTCAGGAATCCAGGGGTGGTATAGCTGGGTGGTCTTGGCTCAAGAACTCTCATGAGGATACAGCTGGCTGTCAGGCAGGGATACAGTCATCTGAAAGCATGGCTGGGGCTGAAGGATGGACTTTGATTATCACTTACATGGCTGTTGACAGGAGGCTTTAGTTCCTCACTATGTGTGGCTCTTACCACGTGGTAGCAGGCTTCGCCTAAAGTGAATACTCCAAGAGGAAGACAGAGAGAATGCACAGAACCAAGGTGGAAGGGACAGTGTCTTATAACCTAATCTTAGGGGTGGCATACTGTCACTTCTCCTATATTCTATTAGTCATCCAGACCAGTTTTGTGCGCTGTGGGAAGACAATACACAAGAGTCTGAATACCAGGAAATGGGGCTCATTAATGGCCATCTTGGAGGTCAACAACATACCGAGTCTGGGGATTTGTTGGAAAGTTCTTCTGATAAGTTGCTGTTCAAGTTGACACACAAAGAATAAATAGGTGGAAGGAAGGGTACTTTGGTAGAGAGCCTTTCCCAGGTGGTCAGAGCATGGAATGTTCTGAAACAGTGAACGAAGGCCAGTACGGATTGAGCAGAACAAGTCTGGAATCATATACTGAGAGATGATGCTGCAGCAGTTGGCAAGACACCAGACCATAAAAAGACATGTCCTTTTAGGTCATATTAAGGATCTTGTTCTTTGGAGACTCAAGCTGTTGGAATGACATAGTCAGATTTACTTTGTGTTGGTTTTTACTTTTTAAAAAGATCTCTCTGCCTTCTGTAACAGCGTGGATTATAGGTAGGAAAGCCAGCTTGAAAGCTATTATAGTAGTCTAGGCAAAAGATCATGGTGGATGAGAATATTGGCAGGAGAAATTGTAGTGAATGCATGAAATATATTTAGGAGGAAAATTGTCAGAATTTAAAGACAAAGTGAAGAGGGTTGTCCAGGATGAATTCTCAGGCTTTAGCTTTTATAATGAGATGGATGCAAATGACATTCACTGATAATGAGAACTCTGAAAGCGGACCAGGCTTATGAAATACATTACAGAACTGATCTTGAAATTAGAGACATCACTATATGTAGTGAGTAAATGTCTCAGGTGGTTCAGGGCATGGGGACCAGCAGGGAGGTGTTTCCAAGAAAAATGTAATTCTAGTCTAAGCGACAAAAGCATGTTGCATTTTTAAAGCCATATGACAAATTTGGTTTTTAATTTTAATTTGTGTAAGTAGCTAATGTCTGGAAAAGTACATCAGAGATTTCTTGGTGTTTCTTTTTTGATGATCATTCTTGTCTTTCAAAGTGAGAAGATGCAATCTTTTAAGTACCAGCTTATGTTTTGAAGTGTTAAGGTCCATTGGGATGTACTAGTTCAGGTCTCTATTTCTCTGTTCCGCTACTTCCACACTAATTCACTAACTCTCTCTCATACAATCTCTCCCTATCACAGAAACACACATACATTCTTATTTGTCAAAGAATCAAGCATAACGTGTCATAAAATTATAACATTTGAGAGTCCGCAGAGACCAACAGCTGATCATTCTTACATTCTAGGCAAGAAACATGTTAAGTGAATGCCTAGTTTCCATCAGGCTCTGTATCAAGCGTGTTTGGTTTTTTGTTTGTTTGTTTTGTTTTGAGACAGGGTCTTGCTCTCTCAGGCTGGTGTGCAGTGGCATGAACATGGCTCACTGTAGCCTCAACCTCTGGGCTCAAGCGATTCTCCTGCCTCAGCCTCACAAGTAGCTGGGACCACAGGCACGCATCACTATGCCTGGCAATTTTCTTTTATTTTTTTGTAGAGACGGGGTCTCACCTTGTTGCCCAGCCTGGTCTTGACCTTGGCTCAAGTGTTCCTCCAGCCTTGGCCTTGCAAATTGCTGAGATTACAGGCATGAGCCACCATACCAGGCTGGGTGTTCATATTTTTTTAAATGGCACCACCTCTCACCTATCAAAGATCTACTGTGTTCAAGCAGTGTTCTAGGCATGTGCTACGTACCAGGCATTGGACATAGGAGCTCACCTCCCCATCCACTCCCATGAGCAAAAGGCAGAGAACAGGAGCCATATCCTGTCCCTAATGTGAGGAGATATGACAAGAGCAGATGAATTTGACATGGCAGTAGTGGACAGGATAAGACTTATAAAGCATGGCCTCATAGCTATTCTGAGGCAGAAAGGAATCCGGAAAATACTATGTTAACCATGATATTAGGGATTATTGTCTTGTTTTGTTCATAGCTGATTCCCCAGCCTCTGGAAGGGCCTAGCATGGGTGGGCCTTTAAAATACTTTTGTTGAAAAAATTGAATGAGTAAATCACCATTTAAAAAAACCTTTTAATTTCGAAATAATTTAGACTTAGAGAAAAGTTACAAAAATTGTATGGCGTGTTCCCATTTATTCTCCTCTCAGCTTTCCCTAATGTTGACATCTTACATAACCATGGTATCATGATCAAAATCAGGAAATTAACATTGGCTATTAACTAATCCATGTACTATTAACATGTACAGTACTATTACCTAAACCATGACTATTTGGAGTTCACCATTTTCCCCTCCACTAATGTCCTTTTTGTGTTGCAGGATCCAAACCAGTGTCTCACATTGCATATCTTTGTCATGTCTCCAATGGAGACAGTTCCTTAGTCTTGCCTTTTCTTTCATGATGTTGACACTTTTGAAGAAATGTTCTGGTTAGTTATTCCATAGAATGCCCTTCAGTTTAAATCAGGGTTGTCTGATGACTGAGGGTTCTTTGTGCTAGAAAGATTTCATGAAGGAAGTGGGACCTTTGGTGGGTTTGATGTAGGTATGAGACTTGGATGGACAGAAGGGTAGAAAGAGGATTTTTCAGGCAAAATGAACTGTGCCTAAAAGTATCTATTCTGGAGCACTTTGGTGTTGTGTTGCTTCTTCTTTGCATGTGTAAATGATGGGTAATCTTAGCTGACTCATTAAGAGAGGTGATCACCCTTGTCCAGCTGCCCTGATGCTTTGCGTCTCTCTTTTTCCCATCGGTAAGAAAGTAAGAAGGTCTTCTTGGTTTATGCTCAACCCCAGCCTCCAACAGACTTTTTATTGTTGGATTCAGGCTTTGGTTTCCTGGGTGTCAGAGCTGATGTGCCTCTTGTCATCTTTTGTCAGACTTTACTCAAATCTTCTCTAGTCTAGGGATATAGAATCATATGTTTATTTTGATGATTATTACTGTTATATTTGCTAATATTTAGCAAGCACTGCATGACTCTATATCACATAGTGCCAAAGTGACTCTTGACCATGCCTTCTCAAAGGGAAGTGATGTCTCTCCTAAGGGAGGTGAATACTGGTTCTTGGGGAGTGAAACAAAACTTACCCTTTTTATGTAGAAAGTACAGATCTACCTACAATACCTAAACAGATATACAGTATATCTGTGGTATTACAATTTCACTGGAAAGCAGGGGTTGATTAGGAGAAAAAAATCTAAAAAAGCTCATTGCTTAGAGCAATAACGAAGAAAAGGGTGAGCAACACTACTGTAGTCCAAATGATTTGCCTATATTGTCTCATTTAATTTTATAACATTACCTCGAGGAAAGTATTCTCAGTTTCTTCATTTGTATTTTGTAATAGAGATAATGAGAATTAGCGAAACTGAGAATTAGCCCAAGTGAGTATGGATCATGGGGATACCCACTCAGGACAGACAGACTGCAGAGTCCAAGGTCTAAACATAGTTCATTGCTGTCCATTTGTAACCTTACTCACATTAAAAAACAAATAGAAAGTCCATGGAAAAAATATATAGCATATCCTAAAACCAGGGAAAAACTTTTGGACTCTTATTTATTCATTTGTCTTAATATGTCCCCTTGCACCGCTGTTATTAGGGCTGATAATTATAGTGCACTCTATATACACTTGCGACATTGATGTCAGGATTCTGGTCAGGCACAGGTATCTCATCACCGTGTCTGTTCACTGTTACATCTCCATTGTCTAGAACAATGCAGCACATATGAAGTGCTTTAAAAAATGTGTTGACTGAATAAAGGAGACGGGATGTTATATTAAAAAAATTTTTTTTTCAAAGCCAAACTGAATTCATTCTGTTTAATGTTAGGGCAATACTGTTTACACTTAAAAAATAAATGAACATGACCAAAATGTAGGACAAGGCTCATACCTACCACAGAGAATATAAGTTCTGGGTGGCCAAGTGAGTTTGATGTAGAAACTACCTCTAGCTACTTACACTCCAAATGTATGACTTAATATTGTTATACCGTGCATAGCTGATAGATTAAATCAGACTTAATTTTTCCATCCATCTTCAGGGGCTCAAAAAAAAAAACCAACAACTCAGTATTGTTATTTTAAATAGAATGGTATTAATGCAGTTGAGTGAAGTTATAATTAAGGCATCTTTTTTTCTTTTTCATCTGAGTATCAGGAATAGCTATTTATGTTTGAAGTGGGGACTAAACATCCCTTAGATGTATTACCACGCTGAACAGATCAGCAAAAACCTCAAGTTGCAGGAGGATATAATTCCCTCTCCTGGAGAAATTTTACGTTTACCATCTGTGAACAGGAGACATAAGTTAATCAGGATATTACACAAAACCTATTAATTCATCTCATAATTAAACCAAGGCATAACACATGCATCTGGTTGAAGGTTCATATGTCATGTCAAGAGTGGCTGTGGAATGAATTAAGTTAGATTTCCTAAACTTCCCTCTGTAGGCAGATGCAAATTTCAGTTTTCACAGGCCCTTCCCGAAGTAAGTAATTCATAGGATCAGGGCCCCAAGAAAAGCTAGATTTGCTCAAAGGAGGCCCATTTTCATCTATATGAGTGGAGACAGACAAAAGAATGGTGACATCACCACCAAGCCCTCATTTTCTTGTCCCCAGTTGCATTTACCCATAGTCTTGAGAGGGCTTCTAAGAAAATCTATCATGAGTGCAAATGAAACTAGCAAGTTGTGTAGCTCAGAATCCAAGAGTGGTTAGGAATTTTGCTGGCTGCTTCAAAGGATAAGCCACTCTTTTACCCCTGTATTAAACGGAAGCTTCTTTTGGAAATGGGTTCAAATACCTTTTTTCTCTAAATCACTGTTTGCTTTTAATTCTCATTTTCCCACTCCCCTGAAGCTTATAAGATTTGGCATAATTAGATGTTCATGTTGGGAAATTGGAATGGGGACACACACACACACACACACACACACACACCCCTATACACACTCCTGAGCTGAGCCCTATTACCTGGACAGGCTGTACTCCAATCCTCTTCATCAGAGAGGGTGGGTGCTTCAGGGCTTCTAATTACAGGCTTTCTGCCTCCTAACCCTCAGCCTTTGAGAACCCTCTCAGCAGGAATGCCGTGTACTACAGACACTCCATTCCAAACAATGAATGACCTAATATAATTATTTGAAATTGAAAATCACTTTCACTCTGACAGGAATATCTCACTGCCTCCCCCACTTTGGAGTTAGCAACTTACACATTCCTTTTCTGCCTCTTATCAGCATCAGGCTTATCTAGTCCTCTGATGAGCCCCACACAGGGAAATTGTACCAGCTTTGCTTTGGTGAACCTCTCATGTCAAATTGCTCCTCTTTGTCTGCTTTAAAAAGAGACAGGAGTAAATGTGATGTTACTCTCTTAGCTAATGCATTTATGCATTTCCACACTTGTGAAGGAAGGTCTGTTTCAGATGCTTAGTGTGGATTGTATAGTCTTCTGCTTCTGTAAGTCACATGGAAAAATCATTCTAGTATTATGTGAAGTGTAACAAATAATTGCTTTTGGCTTTCTTCTTGGGTGTGTTAGTCCATTTTCACACTGCTATAAACTTCCCTGAGACTGGGTAATTTATAAAGGAAAGTGGGCCGGGCGTGGTGGCTCACGCCTGTAATCCCAGCACTTTGGGAGGCCGAGGCGGGCGGATCACGAGGTCAGGAAATCGAGACCATCCTGGCTAACACAGTGAAACCCTGTCTCTACTAAAAACACAGAAAATTAGCCGCGCGCGGTGGTGCGTGCCTGTAATCCCAGCCACTCGGGGAGCTGAGGCGTGAGAATCGCTTGAACCAAGGAGGCAGAGGCTACAGTGAGCCAAGATCATGCGACTGCACTCCAGCCTGGGTGACCGTGTGAGACTCCGTCTCAAAAAATAAAAATAAAAAAGGAAAGTGGTTTAATTGACTCACAGTTCCTCATGGCTGGGGAGTCCTCAGGAAACTTAGAATCACGGCAGAAGGGGAAGCAGGCACCTTAACAAGTCAGCAGGAAAGAGAAGCAAGCGAAGGGAGAAGAGCCCCTTATAAAACTCTTAGATCTCCTGAGAACTCACCATCATGAGAACAGCATGGCAGAAATCGCCCCCATGATCCAGTTACCTGTCTCCCTCCACACATGGGGATTACAGGTCTCTCCCTGGACACATGGGGATTACAATTCCAGATGAGATTTGGGTGGGGACACAGAACCAAACCTATCACTGGGAATTCCGTTTCTTTTTAAGACAGGGTCTCTGTTGCCCAGGCTGGAGTGTAGTGGCACAGTCACAGCTCATGCAGCCTCAGACTCCTAGGCCCATGCAATCCTCTCACCTCAGCCTCCCAAGTAGCTGGGACTACAGGTGCATGCCCCCACACCCAGATAATTTTTGTATTTTTTTTTTTTGTGGACATGGGGTCTCCCTCTGTTGTCAAAGCTGGTCACAAACTTCGGGGCTCAAGTGATCCTCCTGTCTTGGCCTCCCAAATTGCTGGGATTGTAAGCATGAGCTATGGTGCTTAGCCTTGGGAATTCCAGTTCTTCTTGCCATTCCAGGCAGTGATGTGAGCATGCTGGGGGCCAATCCCAGTTTAGTCAAATTGATTGTTTCCCATCACTATTGCTGTGGTCCACCTGAAACTAAAACTAAAGTTGTATATGAATAAAAGGAAGAGCTGCCCGGAGGTGACAGGTTCAAACAGGGCTCTCTGGGATTTTCTTCTTGGCCTAGAGAGTCCAATTTCTTTCAAGTTTTATTCTTGCCAGTGAAGAGGTGAGATATCATCCAGAACTCAAAAGGGTGTGATGCCCTCTTGGCCTTAGAAGTTTACTAAAAACAGTAGCATGGAGAGACCAAGATCCAGGACTTTGAACTTGGACTGACCTGGGGCATTGCTCCAGCATTTCTTAGCTGAGTGACCTTTGGCAATTACTTAACCTCTCCGAGCTTTGTCTTTCTGATCTTTAATAAAAAGACAAATACTTAACCCCCTCCTGGGGTCTCTTGAGGGTGAGATGCATCAGATTTGAGGCTAAAGAGTAGGACCAGGATAGAAACTTAAGGGCCCTTGAATGCAGAGCTAATGTGGGTAGCTTTTCTTCTATGGAATGGGGCCAGCAGAGGTTTCCACTGAGAAGAGGGAAGATGTGATTCTGTCTGTATTAACCAAAGTGCCAGGTGGTGGACCCAGAACACACAGGCTTTTAAAATGTTCTGTACCAGAAGAGAATTTTTTGGCTCATAGTAATCACTTAATAAAATGGCAGATGCTATTTAATGATAATCATAAGTAAAATAGTGGTGATGATGATAATGAAAGGTTCAGCTCTCTTCCTGCTGTATTTCGAAGTCAACCCCACACTCCCGTGTTTGACCGGCACCTCCCTATTCATTTCAAGGTGCTAGCAGCTCTTGGTGGGCCCCTCTTACCCTGGCTACCCAGGGCCAGAACCATGTGACTCCCTTCCCCTAGTGGGTGCCCTGAAAGCCATATTTGTCTCCCACCCCTACCCCCGTCCAAGGCCCTGAGGATGGGGGCGGGCAGGCAGTCGCGCACTCCCGGGGGGCGTGTAGAGGGGTACCAGCCGCAGCCCGGAGTGTGAATAGCGCGCATTGACGCCGCTGCCGCCCGAGCGGGCTGGGGACACCCTGGCCGAGCCTACTGCCTGCGAGCCCCATAAAAGGAGCAGCTGCCGCCGGGCCGCTCAGACGCGCGGGGATGAGGCGGGCGGCCACCGAGCGCGCGCCTGGGCTCCGGCAGTGACCGAGGCGAACTCCGGGGCCGCTCCGGGGCCCGCAGGTAACGGTTTTGTCCTTGGGTTTGGAAGTGACAGCAGGAAGAGGGGAGGGGAGGGGGTTAGGAAGGGAGGAAGGAGACTGGGCGGGAATGAGGAAGAGGGAAGACGGAAAGAGGGAGGAAAGGGAAGGAAGGAGAAGGCGAGGAAGTGGCCGCGCCGGGGAGCGGCTGGAACGCGCTGCACTTGCCGCCCGCCCGGGCGTTCAAGTTCCCCCTTCCCGCCTCCCCAGGCTGGCGGTCGCGTCCCTCCCGCGCCCGGAGGCTCCAGCCAGCCATGTTTCTTGGGCGAGCATCTCGGCCCGCGCCCCGGAGCGCAGGGCCCGAGCAGGGGCCGCCTTGGCTGCGGCGCCAGGGCAGGTGCAAGGAGACGCGGGCGGCCCATCAGCCGCAGGCTCGTTCCGCCTAGGGCCAGGGTCCCTTGAAGTACAGTTTACTTTGGCTCCAGTGGGTTGAGAGCCAGGTTCCCTTCCCCCTTGCTGCCTCCCGTTCCCGCCGACCCCGCTTCCCTGGCCTGCTGCCACTTAATGAACTGTTGGCTCACCCCACCCCTCCAGTAGCCTGCATTTTGAGCTTAAGAGTGTTGTTTGCAGCCGGGAGCGGTGGCTTACACCTGTAATCCCAGTACTTTGGGAGACCGAGTTGGGTGGATTACTTGAGGTCATGAGTTCGAGACTAGCCTGGCCAACATGATGAAACCCCCTCTCTATTCAAAATACGAAAATTAGCCCGGCGTGGTGGCGCATGCCTGCCGTCCCAGCTGCTAGGGAGGCTGAGGCAGGAGAATAGCTTGAACCTGGGAGGCAGAGGTTGCAGTGAGCTGAGATCGCGCCACTGCACTCCAGCCTGGGCGAGAGGGAGAGACTCCGTCTCAAAAAAAAAAAAAAAAAAAAAAAAAAAAAGAGTGTTGTTTGCATAAAGCTGGGCTCAGCTGGAGCAAATGGAGAGGAGTTGAAAAGGGAGGCCCTTTTGTGCAGAGCCTTATTGTAGAGCCACTTTTCTCCCCTGGCCCTGAGCCTCTGGTGGTCCCCAGTGCAGGGAGAGGGGATGGTAGGGTGCCTAGGCCTTCTTGCGAGCTGTGTGCCAACTGCCCCTCTTGTCCCTCATTGGGATGCTTCATCTGTGGGCGGAAGGCTCCTCTGAGGTGGTGAGAGCCTCATTTCACCTGGGATGCCCCCAATACCCCATGGCTCTAGTTTCTGTGGCTTCCCTGCTCACTCACAGGAAATGTAACTTCTGGCAATCAGGCCTGTCTGCCATGAGCAGAGCTTCTTCCTCCAGAGCAAAGCGTATTCACATCAGACTGAATGGGTTCCAGTCTGCAGAGCTGGTTATTGCTGGTTATTGCCGCAGGGTTGCAGGAGGTTATTGGAGACCTTTGCTTGAGGAGCTCTGGGATGGTAGTTTTGGAGTTCCTCAATTACTTCATTTACTCCTCATTTGAACATTGTTCTTAACTTTTCTTCATTGTTCTAAGCTCCCAATGAACTTCATAGTTGACCTTTTTTCTCAACATGTGGTATGTTTGAACTCCAGGCTCTGCCCTGAGTCTGGGATAGAACATACCTGATTGTAATTCTGTTATGGAGTGAATATGGGCAAATAACCATAGTTGCAAGCTGTATGGAGTACCTAAACATAGGGCAAACACTGCTATCAGCTCTTCATATATATATTCCTCTTCAATACACTCAGCCACCAAGAATATCATTCCCACTAAACAGATAAACAGAAGTGGGATTTGTCCAGTGCACACAGCTACCATGTGACTGTGCTCGGATTTGAATCTAGGCAGTAGCCCTCCAGAGCTCCTGCTTTTAACCCTGCTTCTTTGCAGAAAGTGGGCAGTACAACTTCTCCATGGTTTCATTCTGGGGTACCTTGAGGTGACAAAAAAGAATACCCAGATGTGGAGTAGGTAGATGTGGGTTGAATAATGGATCCCACATTTATAAAAATCATAAGGTAACCTGTATAAATCCTACGTGATATGTTATACTCTGGTAATAGATATAAAATGCCATCTCATAATTTATAAGCAGATATTATCAGATGTATTTAGAAGTTAACAATAGTGTCATACCCTTTATAGAGATTTTAAAGCAGAGGCTGTCTACGCTGACATTCAGCTCTATCGCTTAGGGGTTGAATTAACGTGGCAAAGTATCTAAGCCACTGTAAGAGTCAGCTTTCCTATCCTTACATTGAGTTATTTTGCATAAGAGATGCGCTTAAAACAGCACAGAGCCTGGCACACATTTTAGGTGCTCAAGAAATCTTGGGGTTATTGTTTTATAAGTCAGCATGGACTCTTGTATTGGTTATGTATTTATTTTGTAAGATGGATTGATGTAACAGTGGTTCAGCATTACTCCTTCAGCTGCAGTGCATCATAGACCTTCTATGAATGTTAGCTTACATACATGTACATGCATCCTCACATGTATGCATAGACACAAATGCATACATATATACACGTCTATACACATACACAGTGCCCAGAAGGTCTACATTTGAAATTAGAAGACCTTAGTGAATTCTGACTTGTTCAGTAAGGGCTCTGTTTTTCTTGGCAAAGCAATCATTGACTTTTTTTTAAGGGTTAGAGAAACTTCAAAGTTAATTTTAAAGCTGTCTGAAAACCAGCTGGGAGAATTAACACCACACCTAACAGTTGCAAGGAAAAAAAATGGATTGACTATGACATTTACTTTCTTCATAGGCTGTTAAAAACTGTAAGGTAATTTGCTAAACTGTTGCAAATAATCAACTGGAATCTTAACTTAGTTAAACAATTCTAGAATGAATATCTTCTCTGATGTGGTTTTATAGATGTTGATAAGTGAAAACTAAGTCATTGAATGAGGCATTTTCAAAATACAACCTTGACATAGATGAACGTGTTTTAAACAATTGTTCAGGGTTTGGCCAAAATATTTGCTTATAAAAGAAGAGGGTGCTGCAAGCCCAATATTTATAAAAAAGAATGTGCAAAGTAGAAAGCAAACTGAATGTTGATCCATAAAGGACTGTACATTGTAGCATGTACTTACAATAGAGTGAAA
Source organism: Homo sapiens (assembly GCF_000001405.40). Taxonomy (NCBI): domain Eukaryota; kingdom Metazoa; phylum Chordata; class Mammalia; order Primates; family Hominidae; genus Homo; species Homo sapiens. The sequence continues at coordinate 65,546,348 of NC_000003.12, read as the reverse complement.
ATACAGTTATCGAAATAATGACGTATTGTTTATATGCTGTATGGAATGGCCCACTGAGATACCACCTCCATGGGGGCAAGAGTTTTGTCTGTTTTGACTGCTTTTTTAGTGGTTCCTAGAATAATTGCTGAATGACAAGTAAATGAAGGAGTGAATATTGTTCAACGAGACAAAGCAAAGTATTTAACAGGGTCTATAGTTAGTGGCCATTTATGATTTTAAATGTATGTTTATATGCAATTGTGCGTGTGCATAGAAAACATTGGTTGTTTCTGGGGAGGGACTGGAAGGCTAGGGTTGGGACAGAGGGAGATTTATTTTTGTAGTTTGAGAGTGTGTGTGTGTGTGTGTGTGCGTGTGTGTGTGTGTGTGTGAGATCATACCCCATTATGCCCATGTACTAATTAAAAATAAAAGTTCAGAGGACCTGGTTCCCCTGAGTTTGGTCTTATTTTTTATTCTGCATAACCTACCCTTTCTGTGACCCGTTTACTACATACAGGCTGTTTAATTTTCTCGCCATGGCTAAGTGCCTGCAAGCTTTTGATGGGATCATCACATTTTTTTGAGGGGAAGGGTGTCTACTAGATGGAATTCCTATAAAATAAATGGTGCATCATCCTGCCTGTAGAGATTGCTCATGAGGGAGGCCTCTCGAGAAGTCTTCATGGACCTCTGACACCTTAGATCAAGCTTGGTCCTTCTTAGGAACTCTGTAGATGCTTAAGAATGAATAGATGGCTAGAATATGAGTCATCTAAGAATTTATAATTTCATCACAATAAAGGCCTGTCTGAAAGTAAGGAAGTTTTACTTCACTATGGGTACTTCCTGGCCTTTGACACACATCTTATGTACAATTCCACTATTCTGACCTCTTGTAATTAGGTCTTTTAAGGAAGTAGTCTCCAAAGTGAGAAATGACCCATGAGAATACAGGAAGAAGTCCTCAGGAGTTCCATGTATATACATTTTTAAAATGTTACCTTTTTAATATCATATATACACCACATGTTACTGGTATGCCATCTCTCTCTCTCTCTCTTTGGCTGAACCATCAAAAGTAAGTGGCTGACATTATGCCACTTCACCTTTGCCCCCATTTTCCATTTCTCAAGTTTCTTTTAAGTTACTCTATTTTGGGATAGGTGTTAAATTTTTTGCTTTCTCATGGGTTTGTCAGAAGTGACGCATTATGAGGGGATGCGTATTTTAAGAGTTGTGTCTGAAGTTTTCATATGTGTCCATTTCTAAGATTTAGGTCTTAATTTCCGTCATCTCTAACCATTTTGGTAAACTGAAACTAATGTACAAGTTTCCGTTGCAGCCCGCCCCTTTCCAAAGATATAGATCCTCCTGCACTAGATGAGATTGATATAAATGACAGTGATGGTGAAGATATTAGCAAATGGTAACATGCATGTGGCTGTTTATATTTATAAATCACACTCACATGTATTACTTAATCTACAAAATAACCCCATCAGGTTTGCATTATGTTTGTTTTCAGAAATAACCCTAATCATACTACCTGCCTCTGAATATTTCTGACAGCTTATATATTCTTTGCTATTCGGGAACTGGCCCGGTGCTATCAGTTAGGCATTGGGGTTGCTCGTGGCTTGGTGATGGATCAGAACAAAAACGAGACCCCTGGTAATCATGCCTTAACACAGACAAAACATGAAAATTGTCCAAACCACAAAAAAGACCACACATCCTCCCATTCTGGCTGGTATGAGTGACTGCTGCTTCTTTAAATATTAGAGTTGTAGCATTGCTTCCTTCTTTCTGCATGCTAGGTAAGATTTATTAGGAAACACAATCATGGAATTACCTCCATGTCTTAACAGCATCTAGTCTAGAACAAAGCCCTACTACTTTGAACCCTCCCCCAAATCACATAAAATTACCCAACACATGCACAAATCCTATAAAAGTTCTTTGCAATCTCCTCTTTCTGAGATCCCCCAGTTCCCCACAGTGTGCATTATCCCTGCTGCATTGAGTGATACGTTGACTAGCACAACTACAGGTATGTTCCTAATGGTCTTGGAAGCATTTGCTGTTTAGTTGTTTACAAACAGAAGAACTTTGCAGAAGTCATTGGGTAGTATTTTATGGTAAAATACAGCATTTTAAAATAAAGTAGTCATCATTTATTATAATTTGTAAAATATAAAAATATAAAAGGCACCAAGAATAAAAGAAAAATATGCATTAATTTTATAATCCAGTAATAATCATGGTGAATATCTGGATATATCTACTTTATATATCTGCTTCTATGTCTACTACACCTCTCCCTTTCCCCATATATACTCATATGTCATATGAGTATCTTGTCATATGAGAATAGAAAGGTGTTCTTTCATTATTTTGTCTAAAATGATTGGCTTTTCCTTTTTAAATAGCTGTGATAAACATCTTCCTGTGTTTTATTATTATTATACTTGTAAGTTCTGGGATACATGTGCAGAATGTGCAGATTTGTTACATAGGTATACACGTGCCATGGTGGTTTGCTGCACCCATCAACCCATCATCTACATTAGGTATTTCTCCAAATGCTATCCCTCTTGTACCCCCCCCCATCCCTGACAGGCCCCAGTGTGTGATGTTCCTCTCTCTGTGTCCATGTATTCTCATTGTTCAACTCCCACTTATGAGTGAGAATATGTGGTGTTTGGTTTTCTGTTTCTGTGTTAGTTTGCTGAGAATGATGGTTTCCAGCTTCATCCATGTGTCTGCAAAGGACATGAACTCATCCTTTTCTATGGCTGCATAGTATTCCATGGTATATATGTGCCACATTTTCTTTATCCAGTCTATCATTGATGGGCATTTGGTTTGGTCCCAAGTCTTTGCTATTGTGAATAGTGCTGCAATAAATATACGTGAGCCTGTGTCTTTGTAGCAGAATGATTTATAATCCTTTGGGTATATACCCAGTAATAACATTGCTGGGTCAAGTGGTATTTCTGGCTCTAGATCTTTGAGGAATTGCCACACTGTCTTCCACAATGGTTGAACTAATTTAGACTCCCACCAACAGTGTAAAAATGTTCCTGTTTGTCTACATCCTCTCCAACATCTGCTGTTTCCTGACTTTTTAATGATCGCCATTCTAACTGGCGTGAGATGGTATCTCATTGTGTGTGCTTTGCATTTCTCTAATGTCCAGTGATGATGAGCTTTTTTTCATGTTTCTTGGCCACATAAATGTCTTCTTTTGAGAAGTGTCTGTTCATATCCTTTGCCTACTTTTTGATGGGGTTGTTTGTTTTTTTTTTCTTATAAATTTGTTTAAGTTCCTTGTAGATTCTGGATATTAGCCCTTTGGCAGATGGATAGATTGCAAACATGTTCTCCCATTCTGTAGGGTGCCTGTTCACTCTGATGGTAGTTTCTTTTGCTGAGCAGAAGCTCTTTAGTTTAATTAGATCCCATTTGTCAATTTTGGCTTTTGTTGCCATTGCTTTTGGTGTTTTAGTCATGAAGTCTTTGCCCATGCTTATGTCCTGAATGATATTGCCTAGGTTTTCTTCTATGGTTTTATGGTTTTAGGTCTTATGTTTAAGTCTTTACTCCATCTCGAGTTAATTTTTTTATAACGTGTGAGGAAGGGGTCCAGTTTCAGTTTCTGCATATGGCTAGCCAGTTTTCCCAGCACCATTTATTAAATAGGGAGTCCTTTCCCCATTGTGTGTTTTTGTCAGGTTTGTCGAAGGTCATATGGTTGTAGATGTGTGGTGTTATTTCTGAGGCCTCTGTTCTGTTCCATTGGTTTATGTATCTTTTGGTACCAGTACCATGCTGTTTTGGTTACTATAGCCTTGTAGTATAGTTTGAAGTCAGGTAGTGTCATGCCTCCAGCTTTGTTCTTTTTGCTTAGGATTGCACTTTTTGGGTTCCATATGAAATTTAAAGTAGTTTTTTCTAATTCTGTGAAGAAAGTCAATGGTAGCTTGATGGGGATAGCATTGAATCTAAAACTTACTTTGAAAAGTATGGCCATTTTCACGATATTGACTCTTCCTATCCATGAGCATGGAATGTTTTTCCATTTGTTTGTGTCCTGACTTATTTCCTTGAGCAGTGGCTTGTAATTCTCCTTGAAGAGTTCCTTCACATCCCTTGTAAGTTGTATTCCTAGGTATTTTATTCTCTTAGTAGCAATTGTGAATGGGAGTTCACTCATTATTTGGCTCTCTTTGTCTATTATTGGTGTATAGGAATGCTTGTGATTTTTGCACATTGATTTTCTATCCTGAGACTTTGCTGAAGTTGCTTATCAGCTTAAGGAGATTTTGGGCTGAGAGGATGGGGTTTTCTAAATATACAATCATGTAATCTGCAGACAGGGACAATTTGACTTCTTCTTTTCCTAATTGAATACCCTTTATTTCTTTCTCCTGCCTGATTGCCCTGGCCAGAACTTCCAACACTATGTTGAATAGGAGTGGTGAGAGAGAGCATCCCTGTCTTGTTCCCATTTTCAAAGGGAATGCTTCCAGTTTTTGCCCATTCAACATGATATTTGTTGTGGGTTTGTCATAAATAGCTCTTATTATTTTGAGATACATTCCATCAGTACCTAGTTTTTTGAGAATTTTTAGTATGAAGGGGTGTAGAATTTTATCAAAGGTCTTTTCTGCAGCTGTTGAGATAATCATGTGGTTTTTGTCACTGGTTCTGTTTATGTGATAGATTACGTTTATTGATTTGCGTACGTTGAACCAGACTTGCATCCCAGGGATGAAGCTGACTTGATAGTGGTGGATAAGCTTTTTGATGTGCTGCTGGATTCGGTTTGCCAGTATTTTATTGAGGATTTCGCATCAATGTTCATCAGGGATATTCACCTGAAATTTTCTTTTTTTGTTTTGTCTCTGCCAGGTTTTGGTATCAGGATGATGCTGGCCTCATAAAATGAGTTAGGGAGGAGTCCCTCTTTTTCTATTGTGTGGAATCGTTTCAGAAGCAATGGTATCAGCTCTTCTTTGTACCTCTGTTAGAATTTGGCTGTGAATCTGTCTTGTCCTGGGCTTTTTTTGGTTAGTAGGTTATTAATTATTGCCTCAATTTCAGAACTTGTTATTGGTCTTTTCAGGGATTCGACTTCTTCCTGGTTTAGTTTTGGGAGGGTGTTTGTGTCCAGGAATTTGTCCATTTCTTCTAGATTTTCTGGTTTATTTGCGTAGAGATGTTTATAGTGTTCTCTGATGGTAGTTTATATTTCTGTGTGATCAGTGTTTTAATATATGTTCAGATTTCAGTTTTTTTCTTTAGGATAGATTTCCCTTGGAAAGAATATATCTTTTCAAACTTTTTTATGTCTTGCCTGATTATTTTTTAAAAATTGTTTTTGATACATACACCATCCAGATTTAGTAACAGTTGGGCCCTGGGGCTTGCTGCACCACGGGGAGCCCTGAATCCCTCTCTCAGCCTGGCTGCTCTTCCCAGCACATCTGCTTCCTTCCTCTCTCACAGCAGACTGGTTATTATATTTTACCAACATGGCTGCATTTGCAGTCACCATGTGGAAGAAGGGAGAGAGGCACTTACCAGTGAAGGAAGAATGATTGTGCATTGAGGATGCAACCCAGTGTGTATGAACTAAAACCTCTTTAAGGGCATACTCTGATGAATCATTACCTCTTTCTTAGCACCTGGCAAACAGCTTTGTGAAATGCTCTGTCCAATAGATAGTTTTTGAATAAATAGATAAGAAGTCCATTTTAGATGTAAAGCAACCTGCAGTATCAAAAATCCTTTTAATAAAATACAACCCACTCTCAAAACAAATGTAAAAATTGATAGCCCCCTATATTTTTAAAATGTATATTCATTCTACCATCCTGCAGGTATTTATTGAGGGTCTCTGTTTGCCAGGCACTTTTTTAGGCACTGGGAATATAGTAGTGAATTCAACCAAGCTTACATTATGGAGCATGAATATAGAAAAAAACACCCAAAATAAATATAAAATGCCAGGAAGTGATATATGCTGTTATGTAAAATAATGAATCAGGGTGAGGGGGATAGAGAATAAAGGGGTTTGATGTAATTTTAGATAGAGTAGTCCAGGAAGGCATGTATAAACTGAGAAGTCTCTCTCCTATTGGTTGTGATTACTGATCTCGAATATTTCTTTTAGCTTAGAAGTTACTGAACATAACATATAGCATAAGTTGTTATAGCATAAGTTGCTGTTGTATGTGGTTTGTGACTTTCCCTTTGAGCCCATCTTGATGTTAAGCACTTTCCATATGTTGTTTAATATTCCCATTGATCTTATGAGAAAGCTCTTAAGCCTTTGCTGTGGAAGTGAGTGTAGGGGAAGTGAGAGAGGTTACCTTACTTGCCTGAGTTCAGGTAGTAAGTGGCAGAGCTGATCCTGAAATCCAAACTTTGTTTAAAGCCCCTGGAAACCTATCATTAGCAAGGACTGAGAAGCCTAGGGTTAGTGCTCTCCCAGGTTCCTGAGGCTAAGAAGGAAAATGCACTTGTGGTGAAAACTACTGTGGTGAAAGGTTAATTAGAAAGCATTGGTATGTAAACTGTATTTATATTGACGACAGACTGCTTTTGTTTCCAGAAAGTGGGTAAAGGCACAGGCCTCTCTTCATATGCTAAATAGTTGCCACAGTCTGCTAGAGTGCCCAGGAAACCAGCTCCCTTTGTGTCTAGGAATAGTGTGGAAAGCCTGGCCAGGCTTTTGATCCAAGTATATTTCCTTGCACCCTCCTCATTGAGCACTTCTGCTTTGGCCATGATCACAAATGAGGATACAGGTTAAAAGGACACAGGCATCTTTTTTGTTTGTTCTTGGTCCCAGAGAACACGGTATCCATTTCAGATGGTTGCTTGGCAATATTGTGCAGAAGAGGTTTTCTCTTTGACAGTAGCTGATATGTGTTTCTGGTTGACAGTAGTTGGTGTGTCTTTTTGATGGTAGTTGGTATGTGTCTGTTTGACAGTAGTTGGTATGTGTGTTTGTTTGATGTAGTTGGTACATGTTTCTGGTTGACAGTAGCTGGTATTTGTTTCTGTTTGATGGTAGTTGGTATGTATGTCTGTTTGTTGGTACTTGGTGCATGTTTCTGGTTGACAGTAGTTGGTATGTGTTTCCAGTTGATGGTAGTTTGTACATGTGCCTGTTTGATGGTACTTGATATGTGTGCCTGTTTGACGGTAGTTGGTACATGTGTCTGTTTGACGGTAGTTGGTATGTGTTTCTGTTTGATGGTAGTTGCTACGTGTGTCTGTTTGATGGTAGTTGGTATGTGGTTCTGGTTGATGGTAGTTGGTATGTGTGTCTGTTTGATGGTAGTTGGTACATGTTTCTGGTTGATGGTAGTTGGTATATGTGTCTGTTTGATGGTAGTTAGTACATGTTTGTGGTTGACGGTAGTTGGTATGTGTTTCTGTTTGCCGGTGTTAGTATGTGTTTCTGGTTGACAGTAGGCAGTTGGTATGTGTGTCTGTTTGTTGGTAGTTGGTTTGTATGACTGCTTGACTATAGTTGGTATGTTTGTCTTAGTTAATAAAAGAAAAATGTTGAGGATCGAACAGAGAAACGAGTCTGCTCTGGGTCTGACTGCTGCCCTTCCTGTCCGTCTGGTGTGGATATTAATGTTGCTCTGAGGGTTAGATGAGAGCATGGCATCTAGTGGACCTTCCTGATTGAAGAGAATCACATTAGGGCTATAATTAATTTTTCAGCTCAATTACAGGCTTCTTTTGATATCCTTCATATTGTATTTGCCAGATTTCTAAGAGCTTTGGTATATTGCAGTTCAATGCCAGCCTAACTTGGTATAAATTTAACTGTAGGGAATTGATTTCTGCATAGTTACTTGTTTTAGAAAATGCTGAACACATGAGAAAAATGTTTTTGGATGACAGAGAAGGAGGTAGATAGAGATCAGTGTTTTTTATCACCACATGGAAGGATGGTGTGTATCTTTTAATCTGGCCAGAGAATATCCCCTGAGTCCATGCCACTTAAAGCATTATTCTTAGCTGTGGTATTTTGTTGTTTATATGGAGAATTTACAAGTCTTGAGGTCATTGTTTTTCTGGTTCCCAATAATGCTGTCTTCTGGTTTTATCCTTATACTCCAACCTATAAGTTAGTGGAAAAGGCAGAGGGTGTTGTAAACATAACTGTTTACATTTATTTTATTTATGTCTTTGTTTTTGTTGAGCTAGAGCTTCGCTCTTGTTGCCCAGGCTGGAGTGCATTGGTGTGATCTCAGCTCACTGCAACCTCTGCCTCCTGGGTTCAAGCGATTCTCCTGCCTCAGCCTTCAAAGTAGCTGGGATTACAGGCACCCACCACCACACTGGCTGATTTTTATTTTTTTATTAATTTTTTATTTTTTAGTAGAGACGAGGTTTCACCATGTTGGCCAGGCTGGTCTTGAACTCCTATCCTCAGGTGATCCGACCGCCTTGGCCTCTCAAAGTGTTGGGATTACAGGTGTGAGCCACCGTGTTTGATACATTTAAAAGATAATTATCTTCATAATCTTTCTCTTTAAATGTGTAATTTTCAGGGGGTTGGGGAACAGCATGAGATCCTAATTTGACTATTAAATAACAATTGTTTCCTTTGCATTCACTTAAAAAATCTAGTGATTTTTTTCAGTGGAAGGCGAAAAGTTGGGAGGTCATTTTTAATCCAGCAATGATTTCCTGATTATTGTTTTTATTGCAAGGTATACCCAAGTTCTGAAGACTCTTGTTCAGAGTCTATCCTTCTTTGCCCTGCATGACCATAACATTCCCCCACTGCCATTCTTTCCTCCTTCTCACTTATTGAACATTAAACTATGAGGAGATAAAGATGAATAAGTTACAGTTTGGGGAGAAACACATGAATAAATAACAGTGAGCCAATGTGGCAAATGCTACAAGGTGCCATAAATTATGGGGAAAATGCAAAAGGGAACACAGAGAAAGGAGTGAAAGGGAACATGGAGAAGGGAGTGCCTGCTCCTGCTTATGAATGGTATGGCTTCCACAGAAAAACGGGCTTTGTAGGATCAATAGGAGTTTCCTGGGCAGAGAAAGAAGGAAAGATCTCATAGGGAGAGGTAATAGCTTGAGCAAAGGCATGTTGGAATAAATGTGTTTGATCTATTCACGGACAGTGTATAGTGGAGTGCATTTAGAACTTAAATTCACAGAATGGATGAGGGATGATGGCAGAGGAGGTTAGACAGCGTAGGTTGGGATATATTGTAAAGGACTTGAGTTTTATGAGCCTGTGCAATCCCCCGTAACACTTCTATTTCACTTAAAATTCATTCCATTGTCATAGCCAGAAGAATTCATACTCAAACAGAAAAGAGAATTTATGTGCTTACCTAATGAAAACGTCCAAAGATAAACTACCTACGGGCATGGCTGGCTCTGGGTACCCAAACCATGTTAGCAATCTGTCCTTGTATCTGTCTTCTGCCCTCTGCTGTATTGGTGCCATTCTCAGTCTTATCTCTGGTGGGAAGAGGATTGTTCCTAGCAGTGTTAGAGTCCCATCCTTGAAGCTTAGCATCCTTCATGAAAAGTGAATTTCTTTTTCTCCTTTTTCTCAATGGTTACAACCAATGTCCCAAGATTGAATCTGGTTAGATTAACCAGGATCATATGGCCAGCCCTGAACACTTTGACTAGAGAATGGATCATGCTGATTAGCTTGCTCAGGGTCACATGCACCTCAGGAGCTGGGAACTGGTGGCCAGAAAATGGGTAATAGTGACTAGATAGACTGAAACAGTGCATTTCTAATATAAATCTCACCCTACCGTATTAGCTCCTTTGAAAAGACCCTGGAATCCTTTTTTTATTCCTTTTGCCTTTATAACTGTTGCAAAGGAGCCAGCCAGAATGCTCATTATCTTTTTTGTACAAATACCCAGGAAGGGTATGCTCTAGCAATATTTCAGGGAGAGAGATATGTATGTATCCAGGTCACTTTTTATTTTCATTCATATTATCCCATGCAGGTTTCCTGAGACCTTCCGATATGGGAAGTTCTAGAAGCTAGGAATCTATAGTATGCTAGGAGTTATTATACAAAGGTGAATCTAGGCTTCACAGAACTTGTAGCTTAGTAGGGGTGATAAGATTAGAAAAACAACAAAAATATACAGGGAAACATCAGTATATATGTATGTAACAGACACCAAATCAACAGTGTGTACTAACTTAAAGTTCAGGGGAAAACGTATAAGTGTAAATAACACAGTCCATGCCAGCTGCCTTTGCATATGGTGTGTAAAGGTCCCAAAGTGAACAGGAGTTTAGTCATGAGTTGGATTTCTCCATTTGTTTTCAGTTCCCATGTGCCCCTCATGGTGTGAGCACCTCACCAAGTGGGTGTTTATTCTAGTGTCTTACTCTATATTTTAAAAAATTCAACATGGTCCTTAAACTCAAGCCAGCTTCCTCAGCTGCTGTTTAACCAAAGAAACAGCAATGAAGGGTGATTTTGACTTTAAGCTGTCAAGAAAAAATACTGAAGTGTCATAATTAAGATAGAGGTTACCTAACTGATCTCTATTTTAAGAAATATTAATTTTCATTTTGCCAAATAAAACCTTACATTTTTTCCTTTGAATCATCCCCTTGTAGTTACATGCATAAAACAGCTTTCAGCTGAATGAGTGATGGTATTTGAATGCCATTGATAGTTTCATTCCATTAGAAGAGAAAGAAACTGAACATTTGGATTGCTTTTTAGATTTGAAAGAGTACGGTGTTCATTGTTTTCCTGGTGTGAAGCATGCCTGAATTCTTACAGAAATTCACTGAGTCCTTGTTCCCTGTTCTTTTTCTTGAACACAAACTTTACTCGTAGAAAATGGGTAGGGTTGAATCTATACAGCTTCCTTCTTCCTCTTCCTGTTGCTATCTCTGGCTTATTGACTGGAGTCAACAGCTTATTTCAGAGCTGCAAGAGACAAGGCATCTCATTTAGTTCACCTGCCTTCTTTTAGAGACAAGGAGAGTGAGGTTGTTAAGCTTCTTCAAAGTTAACAATAATCTCTTGAAGCACATCTTCCCTTTGAAGAGCTATTCCTGCACCAGGCTTTTAGGAAAAAGGAAAATTGTTTTAATGAGCTGGTATTAGAACTCTCCACTATCATCAGACTTCCTTTTCCTCTTTCATATCTTTTTCAAATTCATGGTAAGGAGTGTCAGTAGAGTCCCTTGGGGAACAAGAACAACACCACCAAGAAGGAGCTGACCTGGGCTGACTTCTACCAGCCGTGTTGGATTCTGCCAGAGTTATTTTTGTCCTTGGCAGTCTTCTTCCTTCCTAATTGCTGGGCCATATGGTGCCTTGTCCCCCACATGGAGAGTTGGCACTTCCCCTCCATTCAATCTCTATCCTTTCTGTTGCACAAATTACCTGCCATGGTGATGGGGTTGAACAAACTCACCCCGTAGAGGCTCGGCAGCATCCATGCCTTAGAAATCAGAGCTGAAACCTCCTACTGATGCCCTGGATTGGTGGCCAAGAATGAAAAAACTGAACAAGAAATAGTGAAATGGGATTGAATTTGGAGGCAGCCAGACCTGGGTTCAAATCTTGGTGCTCTCTTGCCATCATCGTCAGTGTTCTCACTGACATCACAGTCAATGTGAATTGAGTGCTTACTGTATGTGTATGCCAGGCACTGTGGTCTCACTTCCTGATCTTGTTTGTTTGTCATGTTAGCTCTCAGCGAACTGTGGCATGGAATGGTTATGCAGACACTTGCCCAAGTAACATGGCTTGGGCTAGTTTCAAACTCTGATCTCTCTCTCTTTCCAAATCCCACACTCTTTTTTTCTTTTTTAGAGACAGGGTCTCACTCTCTCACCGAGGCTGGAGTGCAGCAGTATATTCACAGCTCACTGCAGCCTTGAACTCCTGGGCTCAGATAATCCTCCACCTCGGCCTCCTGAGTATCTGGGACTACCGGTGTGCACCACTACGCCTGGCTGATTTTCATTTATTTATTTATTTTTGTAGAGATGAGGTTTTGCCATCTTGCCCAGGCTGGTCCCAAATTCCTGGACTCAAATGATCCTACCACCTTGGCCTCCTAAAGTGCTGGGATTACAGGCATGAGCCCTGCACTTATGGTATGTGTATAATTTGGAAATAGGACTGCCAGTGATCATGCTGTAGAAACACACACACACAAACATACAACAAACATTTATTCTCTCACCAGGTTTCTAAGGGTCAGGAATCCAGGAACAGGAATCCATAATCTGGCTTAGGTAGTTCTGGGTAGTTCTCTGTCTCACAAGCTTGCAATCAAGCTGTCAGGCTTCAGTCATCTCCAGTCTTGAGTATGGCCAGAGAATCCACCTCTAAGCTAGTGCTTGTGCTTTTTATAAAACATTCTGAGTCTAGAATTTACATAAGCCATATAAGGTTTCATGAATGATCTTACCTAGTAGTGGAGAATTTTGGATTGGATGGATGTAATATTTGGGATGATTTCATGAGACTTTGCAGGTTGAATTTTTAAAGCCTCCACCAAGAAATGGTCTTAACCACATGGATTCTAATGCTCAGAGAATGTTTTGATAGAGGAGATCTTTTAGAAGCTGCCTCATTGGGGGAATATTTGGTCTTGTTAAAAGAACTCTGTATATAGCTTTCTACATGGTTTTGGTAGAATTCTACATGTCACTTTCCTCAGAGGGTAGTGAAAGTCTTTGAATTCTAGAAAGTGATTTTGAGGCGATCATGGTACACCGATGGAATTTTTCAATAATTACGTATTTAATGACCTTTTGAAACTGTATTTTGGAAGTTGTCAATATTTTGTGATAGTCACAACACTAAAGTAATGATTGCAGTGTGTTTAAGAAATGGATCCAAAAATGACAATTACGGGTACAGTCTGAGTTTCTTCCTAAGTAAACACAACGCAAAAGTTACTGTCAGCTTATCTATTCCTTCAGTATTTGATTCTGTGATGAGAAGAGCAGATTGCAGTGTTACTATGAAGCCCCTGGGGTCAGTGACCACACCTCCTTTGGTCTTTATCTCTCCAGTGTCTACCACAGTGTCTCCACCCAATAAGTGCTCCGTAAATGTTGGACTGAGTTAAATCTACTAATTTGAGATGAGAAGGAAAACCACCCAGGATTTGGAAGAAACACAAAGCCAGGTCATTCAACATACCATAAGTAAGCCAGTCAAAAAATAGGGATTGCATTCTTTTTGCAATCCAGGAGCTGTTCTAAGTGTGCGGGGCTACAGTGGATGCCCCCCAAAAGTTTATCTTTAGGTGGAAGGAGGCAGACATTTACAAAGTAGATAAAGAATTCCTGTGCTATCACATGCTGCAAACAAGAAAGCATAGAGTCACGTGGTATAGATCAGGAGAGAGAGACGGTCCTGCTAAACCAGCGACACCCCTAACGTTGTGCCATTTGAGGGGAGACTTGACCGGTGAGAAGGAGGCAGCCACACATGGATCCATGGGGAAAATTGCTCTGCAAAGAAAAGGGGAATGATCATAAATTAAAGCAGCTTACAGGATAGGAGTGCATTGTATGTTTCTTCTTCTCCAAGGTAAGTAACCTAGAGCTGATGATGCAGCTTGATGATCACCTGGACCCAGATTCCTTCTGTAGTTTTGCCTTTCCCTCCACAGATTTTGGCTCCTTCTCTCTTGTTAATTGCATTTTTCCAAACACACGCTCCAAGCTTGGGCTGCTGTTTTTGCACTGTAGCCAGTCTGACCCAGAAAGAGCAAAAGAGAGATGTGCCTTCTCTATTTAAGGTCTTTTCCTGAAAGTTACACATACTTCTGCTTAGATCCCATTGATAGAATGTAATTGTTTGGTTATGTCTAGCTGCCGGTAGGCCACATATGTAGTCTGTATTCCAGGGCATCATGTGGCCCTGACAAATTGAGTGTTCGAAAGCACGGGAGAATGAATGTTGGAGATTAAGTCGCAGTCCATGCCACAAACAGCAAGTGCAAAAGCTTTGGCATGCTCAAAGCCATTGTGTCTTAGTGAAGAGAACAAAAGCAGATGAGGTCAGAGAAGAAAGCAGGAGTGAGATCATAGAGAATTTTTTAGGCCATTATTAAGAGTTTTTCAAAAAAATTGCTCCCAATAGGAAATGATTGGAACGTTGAATAGAAACCATTGGAGTAAAAGATAAGATGATTTGGTTTAGGATTTAGAAAGTTTTCTCTAACTATTACAGAAAATGAATCCTAGAAGGAGAAGGCTGGGAACAGAGATATGATTGGAACTGTACGGATTTATAGGAATTGATGATGGTGGTGGGGTTATACTAGAGTTGTTGGCAGCTGAGAGAGTGAGAAGTGGTCAGGTTTAGAATACATGTGGGATGTAAGTGCAGGGCTAAGGGAAAATAATAATAGTGATGGCTAATTCTTTATTGAAAACTTACAATGAGAAGTGGACCATTTGAAGCACTTTAGTGTATTAACTCACTCTTTTAATCTGTATAATAACTGTGTGCTATAGGTTCTATTTATTCTCATTTTATGGATGGGGAAACTGAAATATTGGAAAGTCAGGGAACTGGCCTGAGGTCACTTAGCTGGAAACTGGAAGAGCCATGACTCAAACCCAGCAGTCTGGCCCCAAGGCGTGTATGTTCTTAATGCTATTTTATTCCACTTGAGGGTGATGCCCTAAGTGCTTCATCTGAGCAATTGTTTGGACAGTGGTTCATTTACAAAGATGGATAGGGAATTGGAGCCAGAGAGCAAACCTATAGTAGTTCAGTTTGAGAATGTTAATCTTATTATTACTAGAAATAAGTATTATACTGTAAATAATAATTGTGTGTTATAACTATTATTTTAAATAAATATTATAACTTTAAATTTTGAAATAGTTTGACTCATATAAAGTTGCAAGCATAGTAGAGTTCCTGTGTACCCTTCACCCGAGTTCCCCTGACGATAATGTATTAGGCATGCACTGTATTAATTCTAAGCTGTCTCTTACGGGTCTAAGTGGAGATTTCATGTAGGCAGTTGGATGATAGGCAAGTCTGTTGCTCAGATGACAACCCTAGCTATAAATTTGAGATACAATTTGAGATCCATTAGTATATTGATATAAAGCTGTAGGTCTGGATTGGAGCATTTGGGGTTGATTTTTTTCAGATTTTTTTTTTGTGTCCTGAGAGAATTTAATGTAAAAAAAGAGATTTTGCTTATGCTAGGAACCTACTTAATTAATGGTAAGCAGTACCATTAATCTGTGGGCCAGGCACTTTGTTAAGCATTACACATGACTTATGTCATTTAATTCTCATAGCAACTTCAAAGCATGGGGATTATTGTCCTTATTTTTCAGAGATGCAAATAGAAATTTATGGGAACTACGAATAATAACAGAGCCAATGCGGATTCCAACACTGGGCTGTTTTTCTCCAAACCCCACCCCTCCTCTTTCTCTCTCTCCATATATATATATATGTGTGTGTGTGTGTGTATATATATATATATACGTGTATATATATGTGTGTATATATATATATACGTGTATATATATGTGTGTATATATATATATATACGTGTATATATATGTGCATATATATATACGTGTGTATATATATACACGTGTATATGTGTATATATATACACGTATATATATATGTATATATATATACACACACACACACACACACACACACACACACACACACCACACACACATACGTATGTGTCTTGCTGTGTTGCCCAGGCTGGAGTCGTGTGCAATCTTGGCTCATTGCAACCTCTGCCTCCTGGGCTGAAGCAATCCTCCCACCTCAGTCTCTCCAGTAGCAGCTGGAACTACAGGCACACACCACCACACCCGGGTAATTTTGGTATTTTTTGTAGAGACGGGGTCTCATTACATTGCCCAGGCTAGTCTAGAACTCCTGGGCTCAAGCAATACACCTACCTCAGCCTCTCCAAACCTATATTTTTAGCCACTGTGCTATATGGTTCTGGAGGAGTTTGTGATGGAGAAAAGGAGTGAAAGACTCGCCTAATTCAGTGACATGGATGAATTAGCACTCGCCTAATTCAGTGACATGGATGACATTAATGACAGGTATCCAGAAAGTGACATTCAAAGTAGCACTCTGAACACTAGGGATCACCTTCTCTATTTTAACCTTGGATATGATTATGGCGTTGATCTTGCTACAGGTGCTTGCTGTATTTGTGCTATATGCAAGGTATTGCTTCATTCATTCATTCATGCATTTTTTTTCCAACAAATACCTACTGAATCCCTAGCTAGGCACTCTCACACATATATGGGTAATATGTAAACAGGTGGGATATGGAGAGGACTTAAAGTCATTTAAGACATTCCAAATGTGAAGGTGGGAGAGGGTCAAGATCAGCTAATGATGGAGAAAGAGAGGGAAAGGCCTTAACCAGGCAAGTATAGCAAAGGCTTACTACTGCAGAAATGAGCTACTGTGTGTATATTATATTTATGTATATATGTGTATATATTATATGTGTATATACATTTTTATGTGTGTTATGTCTGTATCCATATATTATCTATGTGTGTGTATACATAGGTAAAATCTATTTCACTCCTAGGTATGTACTCATAAGAATTGAAAAGATTTTTAAATAGAAACTCATACATGAATGTTCATAACTGCACATAATTCACAGTAGCCAAAAGTTGGAAACAACTTAAATGTCCATCAACTGATGAATAGATAAACAAAGCGTGGTATATCCATGTGAGAGAATACAACTGCTCAGCCATGAAAAGGAATTAAGTACCGATACATGCCACATTACATGCCTTGAAAACGTTTCACTATAAGAAACATCACACTGCAGGAAGACAGGCACAAATGGGTACATATTGTATCATTCCATTTGTATGAAATATCCAGAATAAGCAAATTCATAGTAGTTGCCAGGAACTTGGGGGAGAGGAGAACAGGGAATTAATGCTTAATGGGTATGGAGTTTCTGTTTGTGGTGATGAAATGTTCCAGAACTAGATAGTGATGATGGTTGGACAACATTATGAATGTACTGTCACTGAATTATACAATTTAAAATTGCTCAAATGATGACTTTTATGCTAAGTGTATTTTACCAAAATGTGAAAAGTATCTACTCAAAATCTCTTTCTTTTAACCTGGGAGCAGAAAGTCCAAGCCTTTTTTTTTTTATTTTAAAAAAAGAATATTTACCAATTAGGCATTACTTAATGACAATATTTTGTTTTTGTTTTTTGTTGGTTGGTTGGTTGGTTTTGAAACAGGGTCTCCATCTGTTGCCCAGGCTGGAGTGCAGTGGTGCAGTCTCAGCTCACTGTAACCTCTGCTTTCAGGGTTCCAGTGATTCTCTCACCTCAGCTTCTGAGTAGCTGAGACTAGAGATGTGTGCCACAATGCTTGGCTAATTTTTAAATTTTTTTGTAGGGACAAGTTCTCACTCTATTGTCCAGGCTGGTCTCAAACTTCTGGGCTCAAGCAATCCTCCTGTCTTGGCCTCCCAAAGTGTTAGGATTCCAGGTGTGAGCCACTACGCCTGACTCCATAGTATTTTGAATGGTAAAATAATGTTTTGGTACAGGGGCCAGTTTTTACCTTGAGAAGAGGGGAAATATTGGGAGTTGACATTTGCTGAGCATTTGTTCTCTGCTACACATCCTGCAAAGTGCTTAACTCTTATAGATTATCAAATTGAAATGATCACAACAGCCCTTTGTGATAGGTGATATTTTCTTCACATTACAGGTTCAGAAATTGAGATGCAGATGGTTCTGTGACCCGCCTTTTATCTTACTAAAGAGAGGTATAAGTTCATTGGAGTTTCCACTCCATGGGGACAGACACTACATCTCCTTATATATCCATGGTGACTTTAGGCCCTAGTCCCTGTCCTGCCATGGTGTATCTATTGAATCTCTTCCATGAATGAATGAAGGACTTCGGCTATGTAAAGTAGCACCATGTTTGACAGCAATTTCGCTGTGTTGAAAATCTTAGTTTTGAGAAACGCTTAGATAAATTTTGCAATATTGGATGAATTTTGCAATGTTATATCAATTTGTGACAGTTGACGTGGAGTGAAAGAAAAGCGAGGTAAAAATAAAGTGCTTCTGTTAGTTTTCAGTCTAAATTTCAGAACACCTTTTTCAAGGTGTTTCAGTTTTTTTCTTGATGTAAATGATAGCAGTGGAGCAAGGAGAAATTAAAAAGCCATTTTTTGTTAACTTATGATACTCTTAAAATCTTTGTAGTCTTTCACCCAACTGAAAAAAAGCAGTCTGTAAAAATGCCTTTGTTTTATGTGAAGATCAGTACTCCCCACCCCACTTTTTAAAAAATTGCCAATTGGTACTTCTTATGATCTCTCTTAAATATAATTAACTTTTTTTTTTTTTTCCTGAGATGGAGTCTTGCTCTATTGCCCAGGCTGGAGTGCAGTGGCATGATCTCGCAACCTCTGCCTCCTGGGTTCAAGCAATTCTCCTACCTCAGCCTCCTGAGTAGTTGGGATTGCAGGCATGCACCACCACTCCTGGCTAATTTATTTTTGTTTTTATTTTTTATTTTTATATACATTTTTTGAGACAGAGTCTCGCTCTGTTGCCCAGGCTGGAGTACAGTGGCCCAATCTCGGCTCACTGCAAGCTCTGCCCCCCGGGTTCACACTGTTCTCTTGCCTCAGCCTCCCTAGTAGCTGGGACTACAGGCGTCTGCCACCACACCTAGTTAATGTTTTGTATTTTTAGTAGAGACGGGGTTTCACCATGTTAACCAGGATGGTCTCGATCTCCTGACCTCATGATCCACCTGCCTTGGCCTCCCAAAGTGCTGGGATTACAGGTGTGAGCCACCACGCCCGGCCAACTCCTGGCTAAGTTTTATATTTTCAGTAGAGATGGGGTTTCACCATATTGGCCAGGTTGGTCTCCAACTCCTAACCTCAAGTGATCCACCTGCCTCAGCCTCCCAAAGTGCTGGGATTATAGGCATGAGCCACCGTACCCAGCCCTGAAATATAATTAACTCTGAACAATGTAAGTTAGGTGTGAGACTCAGTGCTCTTATGGTAGCATCCCAAGTTCGGCAAGCTGTGGAAATGCCAGTGTTAAGGGCTGGGTCTTTGCTTCCTAAAAGGAGCCACTGGTGTGACAAAGGAGCTGTTGCTCATCCTCTGCAATCTCAGCCTAAAAGCAGTGATTTAGGTTGGCTGTTTGAGAAGTCAAGACAATCACCAATGGAAGAAGAGAAGATACGTGAATCTTAGCCTTCCTAAAATATCATAACCATTCTAGAGTTTTTTAAAGCCTGCTTTCTTTGCTTTATATGTATCTTTCAGGCCTGGAATTAAGGACTTAATATTCTTTTTTCCTTTCTCACTCCTGCCTGCTGGTGGCCTTTGAAGGTCCCAGGAGTTACTGTTAATGATTGATGGCAAAACTGGGCGCTAACAGCTGTGGGTTGGATGACCGTTTAATTTTTTAACTATTAGAGGATTGTAGGAATGTTTAATCACCAAGTTACCCACAATGTCAGTTGAGGGAATGCTCCCATCATAGCACTGAAAGAGTCAGGCCTGTAAAAGGTAGCCTAGAAATCCCCCTCTTGGTTGTTCTTGTATTTAAAGTGATGAGAAGGTGGGTTAAATACAGTGGTCTGGGCATGTGAGGAGAGAATTGGGCTTTTCACTTTATAAGCAATTGCAGGTATGTCCAATGTGTTATTAAGGTAATTGAACTGCATTTCCATAAAGAGGATAGTTTCATTACCAAATTCTTTCTTTAATACTGTCATAATGGCAGCTGTAGCACATATAAACTAATTTGCATGCAGATAAAGAATTCTGGGCAGCTTGGTAGCATAATTGCTGCATAACATACGTTGCAAGTAAGAGCTGGAGCTTTTACTAGAGGTATGCTTGTGGGACCCATCTCTCTGACTTTGTTAAATTTCAAATGAAATACAATCAAGGAATAGCCATTTCAGTGACGCCCCATTTGTTTTACAGGCAGTAACTTCCCAAGTTACCTTAATTTGAGCAGTCATTTTGGCAAAAAATGGCAAAGATGTCAACAACACCTTCACAGTGAACTGAACATCAAGGAGGGCAGGAAAAAAAGAAAAGTGAAACAAGCATATATCCCACCCTGCCGCCACTGGAGTGGAAAAGCACAATAAATATTTCTCACTTGCAAATCACATTTATTAGGTGATGTAGATTATGATAGAAGTGGAGAATTTACCATGAGTTATTTAAAAACTAATTACATATAACAAAAGATTCTTTGTTTTTGCAAAGATTAGGAAGCCTTTTTCCATATACATTTTCTATAAATTGTGATTTCCCCCTGTGACTTGGTGAAGTTACTGAAGTCCCCAGCAAAGTAAGCAATTAAAACAGGGGACAATGTGTGCCTCCCTTATATGGGGCACGCTGATTGAACACAGTGGGTATTCAGGAAATAATACCTACTAATTGTATACTTGTACAATTGTGATACCTAATTGTATAATTAATAAGTGGCTTCCCACCATCAAAACCCAGATGTTGAGTTAAGCACATTCTACCGCTATATTATTGACAAGGTAAGTTGTTTTGTTCTTTTGTTTTTTCATAAATTTTTACAACTCAGGGGCTCTCTGTGACTGTAATTGAATGACCATGTAATTATAATCTCAGATGATTATACAGTGCTTATTCCAGACCAGAGCATTCGTTGAAAGTAAAGATGCCATTTTATTTTACCATTTCAGAAGCCATGTTAGTGGACTTAAAAACTCAACATTCCAAACAGAACATTTCTCAGATTACTGTTGATTCCTTAGTGAGGATGAAATCTTTGGGTAGCATGTGTGTATCTTAGTTCTACAGATTTTAAAAGCATTCCAAAGGTTAGTCAGTTGTTTCTCTGCAGATTATCCCAGTACAGCAGACAATGTGTTTGGCTACAAATACTGTAAAGGAGAAGAGAGAAAAAGAAAAACCTACTGAGGGTTGAGGGTGTTTGTGAGGGTCATATTGAAGCAGAGTTGCAGATTTGAGAAAGGTACTCCTCTGCTCAGCATGTGTCTGTCCATAGAGAGGTGGTGTGGCTTTGACATCGGTGCAGTGGGATAGTAGTGTCTGGCAGTCTTGCTGATTGATGGCAGTGAGCTGGAAATGGGTGCATTATAGGGAGATGAGAATGTGTAAATTTGAGTCTAGGGATGCAATTCCAAGTAGGTGTTTGAAATTATGACTGAGGGTGCTGGAGCCAAGGGGAGAGGAGAATGATTTCTAGCAAGCAGCACAAGTGAACCTCGATGGTGAAATAATTGTTTCTGGAAGACAAACGTGAGGCTGCACCTCCAAGTCCTGTGGCTTGAGTATTTGATCTAAAGGGTACCATTTGCAGATCATTAATGGGCTGGGTTGGGACCTTTGCCAGTTTTCCTATTACATGTTTCTGGATCCTGGCCAAAACCTTGTGGATGAGATCCAACCTCCAGAGAGAGCCCCTTGGAGCTGAGAGAGAGTTAGAATGCGAGTGACCACTAGGAATTCTGCATGGCCTGATGTATCAGATATCCACCTGTTGCGATCTATCATTCAGCCTATCTTGGTTCTGCAGTAGAGTCTACATAACTTCAATGCCCTTCACTATTTTCAGACTCACACACCAGGGCAGCAGAGTAGGATGTGTTGACACTTTGTCGACTGGGATGCATTTATTCATTGTTTCTACATCCTCGTTTCTATTTGAGCATGGTCCACTGTGGAATTGAATGATGCACTGAAACCCTTCCATATTTGCTTTGGGAATTTGACAAAAGACAGTCCAATTTACCCTACATGTCTAACTTTTCTATAAGAGTAATGAAACATGACTAACATATATTAAGTCCTGTAAGTTCCCAGTCCTGTGTGAGAGAAACTTTCTATTCATTATTGCTTAGACATTCTTACAGCAATTTTATGAGCTGCTGATTAGAAAAGAGTACTTCTGTTTTACCTATGGCAATTGTTTTTCTTCTCTTGAAACCTATGAGAGACTCCATCGTTTCCAGATAGAATGCATCAGATATTTTCCACTGGGTAGTATTGCCTGTTGCCATTGTACACCAACTTTGTGATTTGAGAGTACATAGTAAAATGTTCGTTGTGAAAGATTGCTGTCAAAACTTTCCCAAAGACCAAAATCAACTTTTCATTCTTCCTTCCTACCTTTCTTCCTTTTTCCTTTTCTCTTCCCATTTTTCCTTCCTTTTCTTCTTGCTTTCCTTCCCTTTCTGCTTTCCTCTCTTCCCTTTTCAAAGTTTCATTGAGCATTTGCTTTGTAACAAACACTGTAGTAACTTGAGGTCTGTGTTTCATGTGATCTTTGCGTTTGAATTTCTGTTGGTGACAGCAGTAATAGGACATCATAAGCTCTTCTGTAGCGTGCACTCTCAGGCTTCTTACTCTGAAAGTATTTGTGCTGGTGATTTTAAATGATACAAAATTGTAGAAGGGATATTTTTACCCCTAAGGCTAATTACTGTTTGTGTTTCACTTCTAACCACTATTTCCAGTTATTTCCAGGACTGAGAGAAAAATTCTTTCTTAAAATACTTGTGCAGTTGAGTTCTAACTTACATATGAGTTCCTTTTCAAGCACATGAGGCAAACAAAATTGTTTGAGGTCAAGATTTCCCTTGAAATTCTCTTAATCTGTGCAATATCTAACACTCCATGGAACAGGATGCATGTGAAACAGAGACTAGTGGGAGAACAGCCTCCAGTCACCTGGTCACTCCAGGACAGAAGTTCATTTACAGGGAGAAACAACACTACTCTTTAACTTTCTTTTTTTTCTTGCATTCTTTGCTTTTTCTTCCCTCCCCCACCCCTTGCCTCCCTCTCTTCGCCTCCCTCTCTTCCTTTTTAAAATTTCTGACCTTGCTTATATTATTAAGGTTGCCACATTAAATGGTGTTTATAGTGACTCCAGTAACCCTCTGTTGAACTTTCACAGTTGTGTAAACTAGAGCATGGCCTCATGAAACATTCCTATTATCTGAATTAGAGTTTTCTACTCTTGAGATAAATGGTGGGCATGCATTAGTTCAATAATAATTGGCTAATATGGTAATAGTATCATACACAGTAAGATTATATGTATTTTATTGGTTGACTGTGGTATAAAAGACTCTGGCAAACATAATATGTGTGCTTAGACTCCATCTTTAGCACCCAGGAAATATACATTCTGGTTGAGGAGATCAGTAAGGGTGTCATTCCAATGGAGAGTGGGATATTCTAAAGTGTGGGAAAGGAATGAATGCTATGAGAACCCATAGTAATGATACTAAGCCCAACCTTTTTGTATCAGACAAGGTTCCTGGAGGAAGTGATGTGTAAGCTGAGCCTGAAGCCAAAAAAACATATGGGAGTCTTCCCACCCCTACTGCAGCAGGAATTGGTGGCATAAATATTTTTTTGGTAGTGGAATTATAGGTATAGAATCTCCAAGTGCAGACAATCAAACTAAGTGCCAGAAGTACCACATTCAGCTAAATTAGCCAGGGCTTGTCTGCCTTTGAAGCATTTACTTTGGGGAGAGGTTTGTGGGGAGCTAAAAGTACCCAAATTGAAGTCTTGAGTACTGACACCTATGACTGGGGAAGAAACGATGAGGAGGTCATAAAGAAACTTTCAAAAGCTTGATTGACAGAATTTGTGTTTTACTGTGTAGAGTTTGGGAAGCTACTGGAGGGACTTTAAACCGGTAAGTGATGTAATTAAATTTGTATTTGTTGTTGTACACTGGGTCTAGAAAGTGTACCCTTTCTCATACATCATTGTGAGATTTCATCCTGAACTTGGCTTTATGTAGGGGAGAAAATGAGAACAGGAATCCTTTCTTGATTTAGAGATCCTTTAAAAACCCAAGTAAGTTACCTATGAGATTAGGGAAAGTGGTACTTAAACTCCAGCAGCCTATGCTTGTGCTTATAGAACACTAGTCCTATGAAATGCTCCGTGAAGAAAGAGTTGGGTAAACACAGCATAGTTTATTCTTTTTGGAAACTCTCAATTAATATCAGCATATTCAACACCTTTGAGAAGTCTTGCAGTGAAGAATTCTTTTTAATTGGGTTGAACTCAGTGCTTTTTGACATTATTTGACTCATATCTCATTATTGCTGGATATATATTAACACTTTTAGGCCATGTTGTGGCAGAAAATACTGCTCTTGGTGAAGGCCATTGTAAGAGTGAAGGAGGGTATGAAATTCCGTTTGGATTTTTTTCCTCTGTGATAGTATTCCCTCTGTATTGCTACTTTTCTGTTATAATAGAGATTTGGGAACTCATCATTACCTTAAGCTTATGTAGCTATGAAGAAGAATAGAAATGTCAGAGGAACACATCCCAGATACATTAAGTCCCATTGAAATAAGCAATCAGATTAATCACCATTATAATTTAAAATAGCAAAGCTATGGTTTATGCATCAGCAGAGAAATGGTAGCTTCTTTGTAAAAACTGAGTTTTCTGATTGTTATCCTATAATGACTTTCTAATGCCTTACAACATAACATCCAACTTTTCATAAAGCTCTTGGGCCTGAAATGACTCATTAATGTATGGCAAAGAGTATAACATTTATTACCATGTAACAACCACCCAAGAGGAAGATAAATCACTCAGGAACTCAGGTATGCATATTTACATTAAAATAGTGAGTTTTCATTGTCCATGAATATTCATTGTATTGTATATTAATACTCAGTAAGTAATACAGGCCTCAAGTCAATATTCCCTGAAATCTATATTTCATAAACTAATGGCATGTTGGCATATGTATTTAAATATTTATTAAACCAATTCTAAACATCTCTTGTACTTGCTCCTAAATCGTGGGCTATTGATATTTTTAAAGCAGCATTTCTTTCCAACATCCTTCCAGTGATATATCTTGAAGGCTGGTTGTTTAATATAGAGATATATGCTAGGAGGTTTCTCTGTTTTGTTATAGCTGTGAGGTCAGAATTTTATTGCTTCTGGCTAAAGGCCATAGAAAGAGTTTTATTGTTAAAAATCAGTTCTCTATTCAGCGTAATCTCTGTAATAAAGTGGAAGTGGGATGTGAGTAGTATCTCTAACAGAGATCTGTTATCAAGCTTAGGTTAATAAAGTGGTAAATTGATCCTTCTGTTTGAAGTGCCTTCCACTGTCTGTGGTACATATTACATCTCACATCTAGACTTATATAATGGGGTTTGCACTAATTGTCAGCAGCAAGATTTGGGATGGATTGATAAAATCATGCCCTTTTTCCTCTCCTTGAATTTGCAGAATCTCTTAAGTTGGTGTCATAATAGTTTGCCCTCCACTGAATTGGCTAATATGTTTGCCAAAATAGATGTGATAGTGTTAAAATTTTGGAAAGCTATTTTGCTGAGGGTTGGTGATATTGAGTTAGCTCCCATGACTACCATGGTTTATAAGTCACGAAAGGCTTCTGAAAGGCAGTCTGGCAGTTAATCCTATGACATCTTAATAAACACTGTTGATGCATAGAAGATGGCTAGTCAACTGTGGCTCTTGTTTCTCCTGGGACTATAACTCTTTTTGCATCTGGCCTCTTAATGTAGTGGAAATCCGGGAGTTGTGCCACAGAAGCTTCCATTTTTGAGAATGTTGAATGATATGGTGCCATTTTTAAAATGGTAAAAAATCAATCCTATTAATAGCTCACTTTTTTTGAGTACTCATTAAGTGTCAGGCATGGGGCAAAGCATTTTACCTACATTATCTCCTTGTAACCTCACAATATCTCAAGAAACTAGGCCCCATTACTCTTCCCATTTGCAGATGAGGTAACTGACTGAGGTTCAGGAAAACTAATTAATTTGCCAAGGGTTACCTGTTAAGTGATACAACTGTGTTCAAATATAAGTTTTTCTGGCTCCAAAACCCCAAGTTCTTAACCATATTATTGAAGGATCTTCCACATAAGTGCATTAGGAACTATCTTTTCCCTTACGGCTAGTTTGAGCTATCGTGAATTCTTTTTTTGGTTATCTGTTGCTGTGTCACAAATCACTCCAAAACTTAGTGGCTTAAAAAATAATAAGCATTTATTTTGCATATGAATCTGTAATTTGACTAGGGCTCAGCGGGATGGCTTGTGTCTGTTTCAGGAAGAGTAGGTGGGGTGGTTCAACGGGATCTAGCCAGTCCACTTCTAAGATGGCCAACTCATTTTGCTGCAAAGCTGTGCTGGTTGTTGGCTGGGAGCCTCCTTTTTTCTCCTTGTGGGTCTCTCCAGCTTTCTCCGAGTGAGGCAGTTATGTTCTAAGAGCTGCTGTGCCAAAGGACCAAAGCAGAAGCTGCAAGTATTCTTCTCACCTAGCCATGGAAGTAACACAGCACCATGCCTGCCTTATTCCTTCAATCAAGCAAGCCACTAAGGCCAACACAAATACACAGGGGGTGGAATTGGACTCCACATCTTAATGGGAAGAATAACCTATCACAATCTGTAACTTCAATTACTGTAATAACCACCAAACTGTTGTTCCTCTTTCCACTCTAGTCCATCATAGAGTTTATTCTCAATTCAGTAGATGGAGTGATCTCTTTAAAATCTAAGTCAGGGCCAGGTGAGGTGGCTCATGCCTGTAATTCCATCACTTTGGCAGGCCAAAGTGGGTGGATCACGAGGTCAGGAGTTTGAGACCAGCCTGGCCAACGTGGTGAAACCCTATCTCTACTAAAAATACAAAAATTAGCCAGCCGTGGTGGCAGGTGCCTGTAATCCCAGCTACCCGGGAGGCTAAGGCAGGAGAATCACTGGAACTGAGGAGGCTGAGGTTGCAGTGAGCCAAGATCGCACCACTGCACTCTAGCCTGGGCAACAGAGCAAGACTCCATCCAAAAAAAAATTATATATATGTGTGTGTGTGTGTGTGTGTGTGTGTGTGTGTGTGTGTGTGTGTGTGTGTCAGATCATGATACTCCTGTGATGAAAACTTTCCAGTGGCTTCCCATCTTCCTCATAAGATACAAAGTCCTTATGGTGGCCTCTATCTCTCTGTGTTGTCAAGTCCTCATTGTCTCTCTGATCTATTAGGTTGGTGCAATAAAGAAAGTAATGGCAAAAACCGCAATTATGTTTGCCCTAACCTAATAACATCTTTCTCTTACCCCACCCACTCTGCTTCTTACTGTAATTCAAACACATAGCTTGCTCCTGCCTCAGGACATTTGCGTTTGGTGTTACCTGTTGTGCCTAGAACACTTCCAGGCCTGGCCCATGGCTCCTGCTCTCATTTCCTTTAGTCCTCTGTGCATATTTTACCTTCTCAGTGAGGAATTCCCTCATCATGTAAAATTGTAATTCTACTTCTACTTCTACCATTGAAAATTTCCTACCACTCTTATTCTGCTTTTTCTCCCTCACGTTAAGTGACATATTGCATATTTACTAGTTTATTTAATGTGTATCTCTACTGACTAGAATATCAACTCCATGGAGACGTAAACTCGGTTTATTTATTTATTTTTTTTTTGCTGCATCTACCGTCTTCAACATTACTTGGCACATAGTATGTGTTTAGTACATATTTGCTGAAACCATAGAGGATTTCAACACAGGTTTTAATTTTTCATGGTGTCGATGTTTGTGAAGTATTTTAATTTGTGACTATAACAATGTCTCATAATACCACCAAATCAAATTTGGCTTAACAGCTATTTGGGATTCCAAGTCACATCAAGGAATTTAGGGTACAGGATCCCACTGAGATCACTACTAATTCCCATCTCCTACCTTTTCTTGTGGGAAGAGCAATAAAATGTCCAAATGATTATTTTCTCGTGAAGTTAAGCCCCAGTGTACCTTTATTTCCACGAAAAATCATGCAATTACTGCGTGCCTAGCCTGCGCTAGTCACTGAAGATGTAGTGGGACAGACACAATTCTAATTCTTATGATGTTAATATTATGGTGAATAAGAAAGATAAATAAATATACAGATACAGAAAGTCATTTTACAGATTGTAAAATGTGCCGTGGTAGACTTATGCAGTGGTCTGTGAAGGAGAACTAGAGGGGATCTACTTTAGTTAGGGTCAGAGAAGCCTTTGGGGTTAAGATAGTCTTTAGGCTGAAACCTAGACAATGTCTTCTGGTTAGTTTTAAGCTGCTAACTAGAGGGATACATTCATTCAGCTGATGTTTATTCAGCACCTAATATGGACCAGATACTACTCCAGGTGCTTAGGATTCAACAGTAATGAGACAGACAAAACCCTCTGTTCTAATGCTACTGTGGAAAGATTATTTTCTAAATTTTGTTTAAAAATCTAAAGTTATTACATATTAAGTATATCATTTGGGATCCAGTCAAGAAAGCAAAAATCATACTAGGTTTTTCAACAGAGGGACTCTGTTATGGGGAATTGGTGTTGGAGATCTGAAAAAGCAGAAAGAGAGCTCTGAGGTCACACAAAGGAAATAACTTCAGAAAGCAGCCTGCATGGTTGGGTGGGAGGATCAAAATAAAGAGTTTGGAGTTGTTTGAGTCTCGAGGCTCAGAGGAGGGATCCCTGTGGCAGAGAGCTCAGATGTCCGAGAAGGTGGCACTGGTACCTCTTAGGATGCGATGAGACTGACTCGGGAGTTGGAGACTGGAACCAACTTATGCTGCCAGGGCGAAGGGCCTCTGCTGGGGACATACTGACAGGAACAGCAAACATATGGGAAGTAGCTAGTCCACTCTGACCTCCCACTTTCTTCAGTTTTCCCCTATTGCAGAATAATCCTGGGAAATACAGTTTGTAGACTCCTAACTTGAGCATTGCAGAAGAGTGTTTGGAAGGGTAGATTTGGAGCCAAGCCACTAGTTTAATAACCAGCAGAGATGTTGATATGTGCTGTGGAGAAAGATAAAGCAGGATAGGTAGTTCAAGGGTGGGAGGAAGAGCTTACGATTTACAGTAAGCCATTAGGAAGCTCTTTACCAAGAAGGTGACATTGGAGCAAATTCTTGAAGGAAGTTTGGGAGCAAGCACTGGGGCTGTCTTGAGAAAGAGTGGCCAACTGAGACAAGAGTGTTGTAGGGAGGAGTAATAGCAAGTGCAAAGGCCCTGAGGCATGATTCTTTCTGGAGTAGTCTAAGAATAGAGGACAACATGCTTGATGCAGAATGAGATATGAAGCCAGGTAGTGTAAAATTTTAGAGCTTAGCTTCCAGAGTAGGAAAACCTGGGTTTTAATCCCAGTTCAGCCCCCTTAAAGAGGTGGGATGGGGCCGGGCGCGGTGGCTCACGCCTGTAATCCCAGCACTTTGGGAGGCCGAGGCGGGCGGATCACGAGGTCAGGAGATCGAGACCATCCCGGCTAAAACGGTGAAACCCCGTCTCTACTAAAAATACAAAAAAATTAGCCGGGCGTAGTGGCGGGCGCCTGTAGTCCCAGCTACTCGGGAGGCTGAGGCAGGAGAATGGCGTGAACCCGGGAGGCGGAGCTTGCAGTGAGCCGAGATCCCGCCACTGCACTCCAGCCTGGGCCACAGAGCGAGACTCCGTCTCAAAAAAAAAAAAAAAAAAAAAAAAAAAGAGGTGGGATGTACTATGTTTCTTCCCAAATCCTCATTTGAAAAGTGGGCTTATTTTAGTATTTTGCTCATGATTGTGATAAGGTTTTAGGGGAAAAGAGAGTACAAAGTACTTGCAGTGCCTGACATGTAGTAAGTGCTTTATAACTCTGTTGTGGTGATAGTGATATTAACAGACCTCTATTATTAGTTAAGTGCATGCTACTATTTATTATTATTATACTTTTAAAAAGAGACAGGGTCGGCCAGGCACGGTGGCTCATGCCTGTAATTCCAATGCGTTGGGAGGCCAGGCGGGCGGATCCCAAGGTCAAGAGATCGAGACCATCCTGGCCAACATGGTGAAACCCTATCTCTACTAAAAATACAGAAATTAGCCGGGTGGGGTGGCACATGCCTGTAGTCCCAGCTACTTGGGAGGCTGAGGCAGGGGAATCGCTTGAACCCAGGAGGTGGAGGTAGCAGTGAGCCAAGATTGGACCACTGCACTCCAGCCTGCCAACAGAGCAAAACTCCATCTCAAAAAAAAGAGAGAGAGAGAGAGGGAGACAGGGTCTTGGTATGTTGTCCAGTCTGGACTTGAACTTCTGTGCTCAGGCAATTCTCTCACCCTCAGCCTCTTGAGTAGCTGGGACTATCAGTGTGTGCCACTGCACCCAGCTTATTATTACACTTTTTAAAGGACCCAGAGCTTGAAAACTAGGGCAAGAAATTGTTTTTGATAATTTCTGCTATTTCAATTCCCTGTGCCCCTGTAAAGATTTTTGAACTGTGCATCAGTCAGTACTGCCTTCTCCAATAAACTTTATGATGTGTTCTCACCCTCATTTTCAGCATTTGTGTAACCTGAAGCATGTAAGTGCCAGGCTTGCTGTTGTGGTTGTAAAAAATAGCAATACCTTTTCTCTGTAAAGTATTGGACCATATGATTTGGTGTTGATTACAATGAAGCCTGAAGTGACAAGTGACAATTCTGATGGCTGAGAGTTTGGCTGAAGATTCCCAGAATTCATCCTGGGCCATGGGTTGGTGCCATAGACTTTGGATACTTAACTGTTGATAGGGTTTATTTCTGGATGGTGGGGGTACTTGTTGTCTTTGTGTTCTTTCGTAGATTCTACATTGTCTACAGCATTAACTTTTTATATCTGAAAAGAGAAATAAGGGACAACTACCAAAGATTTGATCAGGCCCTATTGTGTGAATTTTATATTTTCCATGGCTTGCTTTTAGTGTAAGTGTCATTCATTGACATTAGTTAGTATTCATTTAAGCATTTAGAAAGCCACTTTTTTTCTTAGATGTTTCATTTTCTGTTTTGCTTATGTAAAACAAAACAAAAAATTCTTGCACAACATTTTATAAAGTGGTTAATTTAAAAAATTGCTGTCTTCAAATGTAACTTTTTTTTTTATACTTTAAGTTTTAGGGTACATGTGCACATTGTGCAGGTTAGTTACATATGTATACATGCGCCATGCTGGTGTGCTGCACCCACTAACTCGTCATCTAGCATTAGGTATATCTCCCAATGCTATCCCTCCCCCCTCCCCCCACCCCACCACAGTCCCTAGAGTGTGATATTCCCCTTCCTGTGTCCATGTGATCTCATTGTTCAATTCCCACCTATGAGTGAGAATATGTGGTGTTTGGTTTTTTGCTCTTGCGATAGTTTACTGAGAATGATGATTTCCAATTTCATCCATGTCCCTATAAAGGACACGAACTCATCATTTTTTATGGCTGCATAGTACTCCATGGTGTATATTTGCCACATTTTCTTAATCCAGTCTATCATTGTTGGACATTTGGGTTGGTTCCAAGTCTTTGCTATTGTGAATAATGCCGCAATAAACATACGTGTGCATGTGTCTTTATAGCAGCATGATTTATAGTCCTTTGGGTATACACCCAGTAATGGGATGGCTGGGTCAAATGGTATTTCTAATTCTAGATCCCTGAGGAATCGCCACACTGATTTCCACAATGGTTGAACTAGTTTACAGTCCCACCAACAGTGTAAAAGTGTTCCTATTTCTCCACATCCTCTCCAGCACCTGTTGTTTCCTGACTTTTTAATGATTGCCATTCTAACTGGTGTGAGATGGTATCTCATTGTGGTTTTGATTTGCATTTCTCTGATGGCCAGTGATGATGAGCATTTTTTCATGTGTTTTTTGGCTGCATAAATGTCTTCTTTTGAGAAGTGTCTGTTCATGTCATTCGCCCAGTTTTTGATGGGGTTGTTTGTTTTTTTCTTGTAAATTTGTTTGAGTTCATTGTAGATTCTGGATATTAGCCCTTTGTCAGATGAGTAGGTTGCAAAAATTTTCTCCCATTTTGTAGGTTGCCTGTTCACTCTGATGGTAGTTTCTTTTGCTGTGCAGAAGCTCTTTAGTTTAATTAGATCCCATTTGTCAATTTTGTCTTTTGTTGCCATTGCTTTTGGTGTTTTGGACATGAAGTCCTTGCCCATGCCTATGTCCTGAATGGTAATGCCTAGGTTTTCTTCTAGGGTTTTTATGGTTTTAAGTCTAACGTTTAAATCTTTAATCCATCTTGAATTGATTTTTGTATAAGGTATAAGGAAGGGATCCAGTTTCAGCTTTCTACATATGGCTAGCCAATTTTCCCAGCACCATTTATTAAATAGGGAATCCTTTCCCCATTGCTTGTTTTTCTCAGGTTTGTCAAAGATCAGATAGTTGTAGATATGCGGCATTATTTCTGAGGGCTCTGTTGTGTTCCAGTGATCTATATCTCTGTTTTGGTACCAGTACCATGCTGTTTTGGTTACTGTAGCCTTGTAGTATAGTTTGAAGTCAGGTAGTGTGATGCCTCCAGCTTTGTTCTTTTGGCTTAGGATTGACTTGGCGATGCGGGCTCTTTTTTGGTTCCATATGAACTTTAAAGTAGTTTTTTCCAATTCTGTGAAGAAAGTCATTGGTAGCTTGATGGGGATGGCATTGAATCTGTAAATTACCTTGGGCAGTATGGCCATTTTCACGATATTGATTCTTCCTACCCATGAGCATGGAATGTTCTTCCATTTGTTTGTATCCTCTTTTATTTCCTTGAGCAGTGGTTTGTAGTTCTTCTTGAAGAGGTCCTTCACATCCCTTGTAAGTTGGATTCCTAGGTATTTTATTCTCTTTGAAGCAATTGTGAATGGGAGTTCACTCATGATTTGGCTCTCTGTTTGTCTGTTGTTGGTGTATAAGAATGCTTGTGATTTTTGTACATTGATTTTGTATCCTGAGACTTTGCTGAAGTTGCTTATCAGCTTAAGGAGATTTTGGGCTGAGATGATGGGGTTTTCTAGATATACAATCATGTCGTCTGCAAACAGGGACAATTTGACTTCCTCTTTTCCTAATTGAATACCCTTTATTTCCTTCTCCTGCCTAATTGCCCTGGCCAGAACTTCCAACACTATGTTGAATAGGAGTGGTGAGAGAGGGCATCCCTGTCTTGTGCCAGTTTTCAAAGGGAATGCTTCCAGTTTTTGCCCATTCAGTATGATATTGGCTGTGGGTTTGTCATAGATAGCTCTTATTATTTTGAAATACGTCCCATCAATACCTAATTTATTGAGAGGTTTTAGCATGAAGGGTTGTTGAATTTTGTCAAAGGCTTTTTCTGCATCTATTGAGATAATCATGTGGTTTTTGTCTTTGGCTCTGTTTATATGCTGGATTACATTTATTGATTTGCGTATATTGAACCAGCCTTGCATCCCAGGGATGAAGCCCACTTGATCATGGTGGATAAGCTTTTTGATGTGCTGCTGGATTCGTTTTGCCAGTATTTTATTGAGGATTTTTTCATCAATGTTCATCAAGGATATTGGTCTAAAATTCTCTTTTTTGGCTGTGTCTCTGCCTGGCTTTGGTATCAGAATGATGCTGGCCTCATAAAATGAGTTAGGGAGGATTCCCTCTTTTTCTATTGATTGGAATAGTTTCAGAAGGAATGGTACCAGTTCCTCCTTGTACCTCTGGTAGAATTCAGCTGTGAATCCATCTGGTCCTGGACTCTTTTTGGTTGGTAAACTATTGATTATTGCCACAATTTCAGCTCCTGTTATTGGTCTATTCAGAGATTCAACTTCTTCCTGGCTTAGTCTTGGGAGAGTGTATGTGTTGAGGAATTTATCCATTTCTTCTAGATTTTCTATTTTATTTGCGTAGAGGTGTTTGTAGTATTCTCTGATGGTAGTTTGTATTTCTGTGGGATCGGTGGTGATATCCCCTTTATCATTTTTTATTGTGTCTATTTGATTCTTCTCTCTTTTTTTCTTTATTAGTCTTGCTAGTGGTCTATCAATCTTGTTGATCCTTTCAAAAAACCAGCTCCTGGATTCATTGATTTTTTGAAGGGTTTTTTGTGTCTCTATTTCCTTCAGTTCTGCTCTGATTTTAGTTATTTCTTGCCTTCTGCTAGCTTTTGAATGTGTTTGCTCTTGCTTTTCTAGTTCTTTTAATTGTGATGTTAGAGTGTCAATTTTGGATCTTTCCTGCTTTCTCTTGTGGGCATTTAGTGCTATAAATTTCCCTCTACACACTGCTTTGAATGCGTCCCAGAGATTCTGGTATGTTGTGTCTTTGTTCTCGTTGGTTTCAAAGAACATCTTTATTTCTGCCTTCATTTCGTTATGTACCCAGTAGTCATTCAGGAGCAGGTTGTTCAGTTTCCATGTAGTTGAGCGGCTTTGAGTGAGATTCTTAATCCTGAGTTCTAGTTTGATTGCACTGTGGTCTGGGAGATAGTTTGTTATAATTTCTGTTCTTTTACATTTGCTGAGGAGAGCTTTACTTCCAACTATGTGGTCAATTTTGGAATAGGTGTGGTGTGGTGCTGAAAAAAATGTATATTCTGTTGATTTGGGGTGGAGAGTTCTGTAGATGTCTATTAGGTCCACTTGGTGCAGAGCTGAGTTCAATTCCTGGGTATCCTTGTTGACTTTCTGTGTCGTTGATCTGTCTAATGTTGACAGTGGGGTGTTAAAGTCTCCCATTATTAATATGTGGGAGTCTAAGTCTCTTTGTAGGTCACTCAGGACTTGCTTTATGAATCTGGGTGCTCCTGTATTGGGTGCATATATATTTAGGATAGTTAGCTCTTCTTGTTGAATTGATCCCTTTACCATTATGTAATGGCCTTCTTTGTCTCTTTTGATCTTTGTTGGTTTAAAGTCTGTTTTATCAGAGACTAGGATTGCAACCCCTGCCTTTTTTTGTTTTCTATTTGCTTGGTAGATCTTCCTCCATCCTTTTATTTTGAGCCTATGTGTGTCTCTGCACGTGAGATGGGTTTCCTGAATATAGCACACTGATGGGTCTTGACTCTTTATCCAATTTGCCAGTCTGTGTCTTTTAATTGGAGAATTTAGTCCATTTACATTTAAAGTTAATATTGTTATGTGTGAATTTGATCCTGTCATTATGATGTTAGCTGGTTATTTTGCTCATTAGTTGATGCAGTTTCTTCCTAGTCTTGATGGTCTTTACATTTTGGCATGATTTTGCAGCAGCTGGTACCGGTTGTTCCTTTCCATGTTTAGCGCTTCCTTCAGGAGCTCTTTTAGGGCAGGCCTGGTGGTGACAAAATCTCTCAGCATTTGCTTGTCTGTGAAGTATTTTATTTCTCCTTCACTTATGAAGCTTAGTTTGGCTGGATATGAAATTCTGGGTTGAAAATTCTTTTCTTTAAGAATGTTGAATATTGGCCCCCACTCTCTTCTGGCTTGTAGGGTTTCTGCCAAGAGATCCGCTGTTAGTCTGATGGGCTTCCCTTTGAGGGTAACCCGACCTTTCTCTCTGGCTGCCCTTAACATTTTTTCCTTCATTTGAACTTTGGTGAATCTGACAATTATGTGTCTTGGAGTTGCTCTTCTCGAGGAGTATCTTTGTGGCGTTCTCTGTATTTCCTGAATCTGAATGTTGGCCTGCCTTGCTAGATTGGGGAAGTTCTCCTGGATAATATCCTGCAGAGTGTTTTCCAACTTGGTTCCATTCTCCCCATCACTTTCAGGTACACCAATCAGACGTAGATTTGGTCTTTTCACATAGTCCCATATTTCTTGGAGGCTTTGCTCATTTCTTTTTATTCTTTTTTCTCTAAACTTCCCTTCTCGCTTCATTTCATTCATTTCATCTTCCATTGCTGATACCCTTTCTTCCAGTTGATCGCATCGGCTCCTGGGGCTTCTGCATTCTTCACGTAGTTCTCGAGCCTTGGTTTTCAGCTCCATCAGCTCCTTTAAGCACTTCTCTGTATTGGTTATTCTAGTTATACATTCTTCTAAATTTTTTTCAAAGTTTTCAACTTCTTTGCCTTTGGTTTGAATGTCCCCCCGTAGCTCAGAGTAATTTGATCGTCTGAAGCCTTCTTCTCTCAGCTCATCAAAGTCATTCTCCATCCAGCTTTGTTCCGTTGCTGGTGAGGAACTGCGTTCCTTTGGAGGAGGAGAGGCGCTCTGCGTTTTACAGTTTCCAGTTTTTCTGTTCTGTTTTTTCCCCATCTTTGTGGTTTTATCTACTTTTGCTCTTTGATGATGGTGATGTACAGATGGGTTTTTGGTGTGGGTGTCCTTTCTGTTTGTTAGTTTTCCTTCTAACAGACAGGACCCTCAGCTGCAGGTCTGTTGGAATACCCTGCAGTGTGAGGTGTCAGTGTGCCCCTGCTGGGGGCTGCCTCCCAGTTAGGGTGCTCGGGGGTCAGGGGTCAGGGACCCACTTGAGGAGGCAGTCTGCCGGTTCTCAGATCTCCTTCTGCGTGCTGGGAGAACCACTCCTCTCTTCAAAGCTGTCAGACAGGGACACTTAAGTCTGCAGAGGTTACTGCTGTCTTTTTGTTTGTCTGTGCCCTGCCCCCAGAGGTGGAGCCTACAGAGGCAGGCAGGCCTCCTTGAGCTGTGGTGGGCTCCACCCAGTTCGAGCTTCCCAGCTGCTTTGTTTACCTAAGCAAGCCTGGGCAATGGCGGGCGCCCCTCCCCCAGCCTCGTTGCCGCCTTGCAGTTTGATCTCAGACTGCTGTGCTAGCAATCAGCGAGATTCCGTGGGCGTAGGACCCTCTGAGCCAGGTGTGGGATATAATCTCGTGGTTCGCCTTTTTTAAGCCGGTCTGAAAAGCGAAATATTCGGGTGGGAGTGACCCGATTTTCCAGGTGCGTCCGTCACCCCTTTCTTTGAGTCGGAAAGGGAACTCCCTGGCCCCTTGCGCTTCCCAAGTGAGGCAGTGCCTCACCCTGCTTCGGCTTGCGCACGGTACGCGCACCCACTGACCTGCGCCCACTGTCTGGCACTCCCTAGTGAGATAAACCCGGTACCTCAGATGGAAACGCAGAAATCACCCGTCTTCTGCGTCGCTCACGCTGGGAGCTGTAGACCGGAGCTGTTCCTATTCGGCCATCTTGGCTCCTCCCCAAAAACAAAACCCAAATGTAACATATGTTATGTGTTGAGATTAGGAGCTCTCTGGATTTCCCTACTGCTTCATTTAAATACCTGTGTTTTGTTTGTTTATTTTGATTGTTTTGTTTTGAAACAACCCATTGGAGGCCAAGGCAATAGCTTCAATTAAACACTTTGACTCTTTGCTTCCCTCTGGGCAAAAATGTGGGTTTCCCAGAAAATGAGAGCCTAACTGCTAGATAAATAGGTTAAGAGGCAAGTATCTGGTGAAAACTTCTTGTAAGAGCTCCAGGATCATGCATCGTATCACCAGGTCTTCCCTGGCTCACAGGAAGCTAATGGCAGTCTTACCCTGCTGCCAAATGGAGGAAATAAAGATTGCCTCTGCCCTCTCTTTGCCCTTGATCAGCAGTTGCTGTTGACAGGGATGACAAATCAGATGGAACCCAAGAGTGAGAACCAGTAAGCATTGTGTGATAATGACACTCACTTAATACACATGAAACAAAACACAACAAAAACAAAACTCCCCAGTTTTTTCTTTTGTTATTTATATGTCACAACAAAGGTATCCATTTCCTTTTAATGAAAATTATCTCTAATACAGATTCATTGACTGGATTGTATCTGGACTCACATTGGGTCCAGTTTGAATAGATGACAAAGGCATAATCTGCATTCTTGGATTAATGAGAATCCTATAGGCTTAAAGTAATGTGACTGTCTTAGAAGGCAAAGCACTCACCTGACATCTCTGAAATAAGGAAGGCTTGTTTGAAAAGGCCCAATTTCTATTAGATTCTATTTAAAGACTATTGTCTTTATATAACATAATAATTCAAAGTAACTTATAATAATAAAAGCTACTTGATTTTATTTATTTTTATTTTTATTTTTTTTTGAGACAGAGTCTCACTCTGTCACCCAGGCAGGAGTGCAGTGGCGCAATCTCGGCTCACTGCAAGCTCCGCCTCCCAGGTTCACGCCATTCTCCTGCCTCAGCCTCTGGACTAGCTGGGACTACAGGCGCCCACTGCCACGCCCGGCTAACTTTTTCGTATTTTTAGTAGAGACGGGGTTTCACCGTGTTAGCCAGGATGGTGTTGATCTCCTGACCTTGTGATCTGCCCGCCTCGGCCTCCCAAAGTGCTGGGATTACAGGCGTGAGCCACCGCGCCCGGCCGATTTTATTTTTTAAAAATTGGCCACTACTTTTCTGATAATACCGTTGATACCTCATATAGTATTCTAATGAGATAGTTATTTTTAAAGTCAGTGTGGGTAAAGACCAGAACTTGGGTTTATCACATCAGCACAGGCTTCTGTTCCTCACTGTCTGCATTTTCCAAGCAAATGTTTAGAAGCATTAGTAATTGGGTTTTTTATGTTGCTGTTGTTAAAAAAAAAATCACCTCTAAAAGCTACCTAATTTGGCTTAACAATGAGACTGAAAAAAAATAATTTCTATGACTCATCTATCTAGAAACTATATAGTCCATAACATAAAATGAGCTATAGTTGTAGCCAGAGAAGTACCACATAATGTGAGAATGTAATTGCTCACTGAAACATGAACTAATTGAAATGAGGGCAATAACAGTTAATCAGCTGGGTCTAAATGATTTTGCCGTTGCTCCAAGTCCATATATTTTTGGATTGTGATTTATAGTTATAGAGATCGTTGGCAAACATTAGATAAGGTAATGGAAGGGGCTGGGAATCAAAGCTGTAGTTTAGTTTTCTAGGAATCTGCTGATGTCATTATTTATGGGGGAAAACATAAGCATGTTACGAACAACACCAGAGTCCCAAGAGTGAAATCAGCTGCCTGAGAACCCATATTATGACCAGGCTAACACATGTGTTGTCTCATGTAATCCTCATACAATTTTATGTGATATTTAAATGCTCATGTTTCTCAGCCTTTGCTCATGAGACACTTTTTGAATGTTTGAGTTTTTGATGCCAAATCTAAAACCCCTTCAAGGTAAATACCACTATAAATATGAGGGAAAAAAGCATGTGTTAACAAATGGAAAGATATGTTCAGTTTTATGCTACTTACTCTGTAGACCTGCTTCAACATGATACTGCTGTGTGGCTAGAAATTTTACTGCCCCAGTAAGTTTTCTTCAATACTATGAAGACCATGCACAGGTAGTACTATAGTGTACCTTTCTTTGGTGTAGGCTTAGTATTGTACCCAATTCTTCTTTATTTTTTCAAGAAGTTATATGTTGCACTCTGTGGTATTTCCTCTTGTTTACTTTGATGTAGCCATATGTATACTTGATGGGAGTGAAAATAAAATTTACATGTTCGTGACTATTTCGCTGTATACTTGAGAAGGCTTCAGAACTATCATGCCTATGTCAACTGAGAACGAATGTATTTGTTAAATGGGCATAAACTCCTTTTTTCTTTTATCTGTTTTGAATTGCTATTGTAATTGCTTTGTTTTAGTCCTTGATACAAATTTATTTCTCGTTTTATATCTAGTTATATAATATTTGCTCAATAAATATCACATTCATTTAATTATAGAAGGCTTTGATTATGTGAAGAATAACATGGTTAACATGGAATTAGGGCAATTGAGATCCTCAAATTTAGACATTATATTTCAATAAGTAGGCATTTTCTTATGGATCCGTGCTAGTGGCTAATGACTAGAATGAGGGTATTTATAGAATGTGTTGACTTTGTGATTTCTTATTGAAAGATAATCCAAAAAGTTGTGGTTAGGAGCTATATAGATTCTTGTGTGACTTTGAAAAATGGTGATTAGGGATGGAAAATTTCATCAAGGTTGGAAAAATATACCCCTCTTGGAAGAATTAAATTAGGCATTATGTATAGAAAACCTGTGCTCTTTGTTAGAGATATAGTAAGTGATCCATAGTCTTCCTTCTTCCATAACCATTTCCCTTTAGAAGCACAGAGTATGTTGTTGGGGGCGGGCGTGGGCAGATACTGTTGTTGTCATGGTTAATGCATATTATGACCAGGTTAAGCATTTTACTTGTGTTATCTCATGTAATCCTCACACAGTCTTATGAGGCATGCATTATTATTATTCCCATTTTAGAGATGAGGAAACCAAGACCCAAAATGTTTACCTTGTCTATGGTTGCACAGTTTGCAAATACCAGAGCTGAGATTTGAACTCACCAAATCTGGTTGTAGATTTTTTAACAGTTTCTCTGGACTGCCATTCTGAAAGAGCTTTAGATCCCTGCAATTTTTAGGAAAACGACATAACATGGTCAGTGATTGCTGATTTCACTCTTTAAGTTCCCATATTGGGAGGACTAATGAAAGCAGCTGTTAAATTGATGAAGAGTAAATTATACTATTTATTATTATTTATGGAAATGTAACAATGCCTCAGCTAAATTATAATATTCATGAGAACAGTGATCATGTTTTGCCCATCTTTACATCTCTGCAGTGTAAGAGTTTTTTTAACAACTTTATTGATACACAATTTATACATAATAATATTCACTCCTTTAAAGTATATAATTCTTTAGTTTTCATTATATGCACAGAACTGTGCAACCATTGAAACGATGTAATTTTAAATAATGTTCATTATTCCCCAAAGAAACCATGTAGCTATTAGCAGTCATTCCCTATTATTATTATTATTATTATTATTATTATTTTAGACTTTGTCGCCCAGGCTGGAGTGCAGTGGCACGATCATGGCTCACTGCTGTCTCAACCTCTGCTGGTCTTAAGTGGTCCTCCCACTTCAGCCTCCCGAGTTTCTGGGACTACAGGCACGTGCCACTATATCTGGCTAATTTAAAAAAATTTTTTTAGAGACAAGGTTTCACTATTTGCATAGGCTGGTCTTGAACTCGTGAGCTACCATGCCTGGCCCCAGTTATTTTTTTTTTTTTTTTAACTAAGCAAGAAAGCTGCCGAATATTAGAAACATTCAGTATTTAGCATTAACCATGCAAAGTCACCTAATTTGTGGAAACTTGATATTCTTAATTAATCACAGCTTTTCACCAAAATAATTATTTTCTTTTAATATGCTTTTGAAAATTATCTGGTTGAAATTGTTGGAAGTAGTTCATTCCATTTTACACAAACAATTGCTATAATTAATCAGAGAAAGTGAAAGTATTATTACCTGCCATAATGGAGAGAGTCTATCTGCTCTCATCCCCTTTTCTCATAGACAACTTTTAGCGCTAGGGTATAGCGTTACTGGTTTCCTGAATCCCTCTTGGAACAAAAATGCCTTCAAGGATAATCCTCAAAAGTTGATTTCTGATAAATGTGTATCTAATGCTGAAGATTCTTATCCTTTATTTCCTGGATGCTTTTTAATACTGTTTGAAATGAATCAGTTACAACCTGAGAACTCTCATGTTCCTGACTTTAATGAATGCGAGGTTTCCATGAGTTTGTATGTGCCAAAGTTCCCTTCCCTGAAAAATGAGGAAAAATGGTTAATGTTCATGTTCAGGTTGACTTTCCTGTGGAATGTTTTCTGGTCCTCCTCAGTATTCTGGTTAAGAGGCAGTAAGACATAGTTCCTGACAGTTTAGGTTTGGGATCAAAGAGGTTGTGGGGAAGGGTTTTACCAGCTTTCTTCTCCCAGACCGTCAACTCCATCAGCTCCCTGCTATGTTTCCTGGATGAAGACAGTGTTGATTTATTCAACCCTGGGTGAAGAGCTGTGGAAATTCAGCTGCACCTCGCTCCTCCACTAGTTTATCCTCCCACCCCTCCCCAATGTCTTCTTTGTGTACAGAAGTTCCCACCTAGTAACAAAAACCTGGTTTCAAGTCCTGGTCCTGACACTTACCAGCTGTGTAATTCTTGGCAAGTCACATAATGTGTGCATGTTTTCTCATCTGTGACATAGGATAATAATATTAACTACTTTATAGTGTTGTTGCAAGGATTAAATGAGATAATGCATATAAAGAATAGACGTTGGCCTAAATACAGATTTTTTAAATGAACATAATTTTCTAATGCCTTTAATTTGCTGAGGGGTTTGTATCCTTGCACATGAATGTATTTGGTCTCACAATCATTCTGTGATATAGTCAGAGCAGTAGTTACCCTTTTTGTTTTACAGATAAGGACATTGAGTGCATAAAAGGGAATGTTCCAAGGTAGTCACATAATTAATTTAGTGGCAGAGCTGGATCAAGACTGGTTCTTCTTACATCAGCTCCTTGAGCTGCTGTTTTTGTTTATTACTGGGAACCATTTGCTTGCCCTAGACAAACATATACTCTCTTTTTGTATTATATGATTCATTCAACAATCTGGAAGGTTCACATTTTTCTTTGACATAATGTGGATCTCCTTGAAAGGTAACATGTTTACACTTAACTGAGAGCACCTGGCTTCCAGGAAAAGGATACATGGACGGTTTGAATAGTTCCTTTGGAGCTACTTGGATTTGGCACTCAAAACTTCTTCTTTTCCTTCATCCCATGTCATAGCTATAGAGAAAAGAGCTAGAAGTAGGATCATGAAAACCAGATCAGATGCTTCCCATCTCTCATGTCTAGGCCACTTTTGCAAATCATCAGTACAATGGAATAAATGCCAAGTCCTTATTTATTTCAAGTATTGTAGGTGTGGTTTTTAAAACGAGATTCCAATACCTTCATCACACAGTGTTCTTCCATGCAAGATGGAACCTGAAATGGTCTGCTGATCCCAAACATGCAAGTTATAGCTGGAATAAAATAATTGTCTTTACACACCTGCTGTTGAATGGCTTGGCATTATTCCATTTATGAGACACAATTACTGACACTACTGTGTTGAGATCTGGGATAGAAAAAATAAGGGTCC
Organism: Homo sapiens; assembly: GCF_000001405.40. Classification (NCBI taxonomy): domain Eukaryota; kingdom Metazoa; phylum Chordata; class Mammalia; order Primates; family Hominidae; genus Homo; species Homo sapiens. Next base: position 65,503,466 of record NC_000003.12, on the reverse strand, counting down.
TGTTTCTGACCTTTGTTATCATAGTTGAGAGTTTTGGACAGAGAATGCCCCATTATTCAAAATGGTGCTTCTAGAAAGGATCCATTTATGTTGCCCTGAGTGGCCTTGCTTCCTTGTGAAGTGATTTGTAGATTACCACATATAAAGTGTTAAATAACTCAACAACTTCCCCTGATTCCTGAGGAGGAGGCTGGCCTTCTTTATTCGTGTTTATTTTATAATGTGTTATAGGGATGACAATCAGTCAAGTCTCTTTTAGCTGCTTTCTCATTTACAATGAGGCATCAATTCTGATTAGACACAGACCCAAACTGATTCCAAGTTCTCAGAAGACAAGGATCTTACCTTTTCAACTTTGTTCTGCTGGAGGTACAGCACACCTGGGAGTGGGGAGGGGGCAGTGTATGTGTGTGTGTGTTGCTTAGTGACACTAACAATTTGAGTCACATTTATTCACGTGACCCTTTTGAGTCTACATAGCTGTCTCATCTGGGATTACCTGTATCATGGATTTTTACCCCCTCTCTCCACTGTTCGTTTTCTAACCACTCCCACCCTCCAAAGTAGTATGAGCCATAGATTTTCTTTCAGCCCTTTCCTTGGCACCATGACCACCTTACCCACACACCTTTTCTTTTCACATTGGAATTGTTTCTGCTTCAACGCACCCTTCTGTCTCCCTCTCTCACCTTTGGGTCCCTAATTCCTAATGTAATGGTATTTGGAGGAGGAGCCTTTAGGAGTTAATTAACCAAAGGTCAGATTCTCGTGATGGAATTAATGCCCCATGTAAAAAGGGGAAGGGCTTTCATTTCCTGCCATGTGAAGATACAGCAAAAAGGCAGCTGTCTGAAAATCAAGAAGAGGGTCCTCTCACCAGACAGTTCTTGTTATGTTACCCAGGCTGGATTTGAACTACTGGGTTCAAGCAATCCTCCCACTTCAGCTTCCCTTGTAGCTGGGACTCCAGGTGTGTGTCAAAATGCCTGTCTCAACAATGCTTATTGTTTAAGCCACCCAGTTCATGGTATTCTGTTATAACAGTCCAAACTAACGAAGACAAATCCTTATGCTAAGCAGAAAGTCTCAAATTGACATTAATAGGTATCTAAGATATTTCTAATGTTTGTCAATCCCCTTTTGTGATAATAGGATAATTCAGACCTCGGGCTCAGAGCCTTAGGCTACAGATAAAACAAAATGGCTTTATTTTTGTGGCATTTATTTTTAGTTACTTACTGTTTATGGCAGGATGAAGCTGATTTTCCATTTGAGGTAAAGCTAAATGTTTCCTTTTTTAAAAAATTATACACAGTAAAAATCACCATTCGTGGTGTGCGCTATGGGTTTTGACCAAAGCACAGTCGTGCAACCACCACCGCAGGCAAGAAACAAAACAGTGTCCTCCTCCTTTCCCTAATTACCTGTGCTGCTCCCACCCTACATAGCTGGTAACCACTGCTTGATTCTCCATCTCTATAGAATATATAGAATATAAATGGAGTAATCATACAGTGTGTAATCTTTGAGTCTGGCTTCTCTTTCCCTGAGCATAATGTATGTGAGACTCGTCCATGCTGTGTGTATCTGTAGTTTTGCTGAGCAGTAGTTCTTTGTAGGGATGTGCCACAGTGAATTCATTCACCAATTGAACCACATTTGGTTGTTTTCATAAAGTTTTGGTTGATTATGCATAAAGCTCTTCTAAACATTTCTGTATGGGGTTTTGTGTGAATATGTTTTCATTTCTCTGGGGTAAACATTTAGGAGTGGGATTGTTAGGTCATATGAGAAATTTATGTTTAACTTTTTAACTAACTGCCAAACTCTTTCCCCAAATGGTTGTACCATTTTGTATTCTTCCCAATAAGGCATGTGAGTACTAGTTGCTCCATATTTTTGCCAGCATTTGGTATTACAGAAACATTTTTAAACCATTCTAATAGGTTTGTGGTGGCTAAGTATTTACTTTTTACCCAAATATGTTTAAATTTTTTTTTTTTTTTTTTTTTTGAGACAGAGTCTCGCTATGTTGCCCACACTGGAGTGCAGTGGCACGATCTCAGCTCCCGGGTTCAAGCAGTTCTCTGCCTCAGCCTCCCAAGTAGCTGAGAATACAGGTGCCTGCCACCACTAATTTTTCTATTTTTAGTAGAAATGGGGTTTCACCATCTTGGCCAGACTGGTCTTGAACTCCTGACCTCATGATCCATCCACTTCGGCCTCCCAAAGTGCTGGGATTATAGATATGTGCCACCGCACCTGGCCTGTTTAATTTTTTTTAAAAGCAGTTTCAGAAGGGGTTTTTCATATTAAATAAGATGTCTGTTTCACCACAAAAGGCAGTTTGATTTGAGGGATAGATATCAAGTAAATTGTAGTGCTGATTGTCATATATGGCAAAAATTGTGTGAGAGGTAGGTAACTGAGTGAATTTGGAGGACTAATACATTCTACTGTGCTCTAGCTCTATCAGCTAAAGAATGAACTGCATGAGGCTGTCCTGGATATCCAACTGATACTCTGGATATTTATCAGATGCAAATGATTGTGTTAGAATAGGAAAATGATGATCTGTTCTTAACACGTAAGCAGTTGCAGTGACTGTCATTTTTTGAAGTCTTGTTAGATTTTGACAAGCAGGACCCTGATTAATTTAACAGCAGGTGATATCATGGAATATTGACAATGTAATCTTTGTGGGCTGATTATTTTCCTTTAACAGTCTGGCCATAAGACCATTTGGACAGTTGTTGAGTGAGATCTCAACATCTTGAAACCGCATGGCGTTGGGAAGGTGAAGCAGTGGGAAATGGCTTATCAGAATTTCACCAGTAGGATTTTTCTTTTTCTGCCTCAACTGGATATTTCAAGAGAATGTCTAGAATAAAAAGATAGCGCAGATAAGTTCCCAGTCCAGTTTCCTTTTTGTAGTCATGGTTTGTGGATTTCAGTGATAAGGAAGGTCACTTTCTCATTTCCTCAGCAGGAGTCTCTGAAGCCAGATACACTGCAAGTTTATGAACCATAAAATGTGTGTAAGAAGCAGATAGCCACTCAAGCTTTACTGGATGAAGTTTGGGGGCATTGCTAATTCTTTCTGAGACACTCACTAGGACACAGCTCAAATTAATTACTTAAGTTATTATCTAGTGGTGGGAAGGGTTGATATTCACTATTCTAGTACAAATCTTGGAGGTACTTAAATACTTAAAAAGGACCCTGTTTAAGTGATGAGCAGTTTGGGGTTTAAAAATAAAATCAAGTGGAAAAAATAGTACCACTTTCTCAAATCTACTTGTAGTATATTCCTATTCATCGGTAAGGCAAGTAAAGTATTGTTGACCTTGAGGCTGGCTTTCTATGAGATGGGAAACCTTGAAACATTGTTTGTGTGATTCAGCTGGAGTCTATAAGTCGTTTGCATGTTTTTTTGTGAGGACTAAGTTACTTTTGAAAGTACTTGAATAAAATATCCAAGAATCAGGTCTTAAAATATTTCTTAAATAATGATTTCATTCAGTTTATAAAATGCCAAGACAGTTACCTGCCTATTGATACCATTTGGAGCATGAGAGTTGTTTAAACAATCATTTCATCTCTTCCCATTTCTGAAGCTACCCTCCTGAGGTTACCACTGTTAAGGGTATAGTATTATTATACCCATTTAACTATGTGAACTCATAAAACTCATAAACTTGTAAAACAAGCCATATTCTGTTTTTCAATGAAATGCAGTGATAGTTTACATCTTAATCTGTAATTTGTTTATATCACTTCAGTGCACATTAAAGGCATTCCTTCAGGTAACTGCATGTAGATTTAACCATTCTTTTTTTTTTTTGAGACGGAGTCTCAGTCTGTCGCCCAGGCTGGAGTGCAGTGGCGCAATCTCAGCTCACTGCAACCTCTGCCTCAGCCTCCCAAGTAACTAGGACTACAGTTACCTGCCACCATGCCTGGCTAATTTTTTGTATTTTTAGTAGAGATGGGGTTTCACCGTGTTAGCCAGGATGATCTCGATCTCCTGACCTCGTGATCTGGCCACCTCGGCCTCCCAAAGTGTTGGGATTACAGGCATGAGCCACTGCACCTGGCCAATTTAACCATTCTTTACCATTTACCATTACATAGCTAAAACATTTTCCCAAGGGTGGATCAACCATATTTCATTCAATCATTTCCATATTCGTGGACACTCATTTTTTCTGTGTCTTGGAGGGCTGCTTTTGTTTTGGTCTTTTTTGTTTTGTTTGCTACAAACCATGCTGTCACAAATATCTAAGAACATTTTTTTTTTCCTAGAGACCACAGCCAATAGGAATCAATGGAATTTTTAAAACAAATCGTGGAGTTGACTAGATAGTTTTTCAAAGCATATGAGAGTTTTTTGTTTTTTTTTTTTTAAGAGCGGTTTTCTTCTATCTGTTTGAGATGTCATGCTGTTTCAGGTAAGTATGTTTCTTGTTCTTATTTTGAGTGCTAGAAGTTGTTTGGGACATGGTACTGGATGTAGTGTAATGAAGGCAACTCAGATATTCTCATGGTTGAGAGCTGTACTGACCAGGCCAGTAGCCACTAGCCACATGTGGCTATTCAAACTTAAAGTTATTAAGATTAAATAAAAGTTCACATTCAGTTTCCTAATCACACTGGCCACTTTTTAATAGCTACATGTGGCTAGGGGCTACCAGGATAGACAGCACAGATATGGAACATTTCCATGAAGGACAGGTTCCATCAGACAGTGATGGTTAAGGATGAGGGATGCTGCTGTCACATTGCCTGTGTTCAGACAGACCATGGCTCTGCCCAACTTGTTATGTGACCTTGGGCAGGTTACTTCTCTGAGTCTGAGCTTCTTCATCAATAAAATGAGGGTAATAATAATCCTTACTTCTGTGTTTCTTGTGAAGATTATATACAATAATAGTATTGATTAAGTGCTTAACAGCTTGCTTGGGACATAAGTGAACATCTGAGAAATGGAAGCTATTATTTTTTTCCCAGCGTTATATATTTTTTTTTCTTTTTTGGGGGGTTGGACGCTGTGCTTATTATTAGCTTAAAGCTAATAACTGCAAGATATCGTTGGCCCAATTTCTAGCTAGAAAAAGAGAAGGCAGTATTGTAGGCTAAGGAAAATCCCAGTTTGTCAGCCTGGTCGCTTTTTTTTTTCTTTTTTTTTATATTAGTACGCTGTCCCTGAGAAACATGGTAGAATTTGTTTGACTCGTCTTCTGTCAGGAAGTAACCCTTCTGGCTTTGTTAGAAGCATGGTTTATAATAATTGTACCCAACCCAGATGGCTCCTGAAAACCCTTTGAAATGCCATCTGCCAGGCGTGTGTCCAGCCAGCAGCCTGCCATTCTGCTACAAGAAAAGAGAAGGCGGGGTCCCCTCCCTCGGTCCTTTTCTCCACAACATCGGTGAATAGAGCCTGGTCAGGTTGGCCCAGACCCAGGGCGGGCTGCTCAGAGGATAGCTGGGAAACCTCCTGCTAGCCTGAGCATGGAAAGGTTTTGTCTGGGTAATAAACCCTGAACGTTTTGTGGGTGGAGACTTGCCCGCCTTCCCACTCCCTTCCCATGCTGCTCTAAGGCATCCTAAGCATATTTATTTACATGGAAAAATGGGATCTGCTAGTTTCATGTTTCTGCTGAAATGTAGCATTTTTGACGTTCTTGATTATTTTGAATCCTCTCAGGAAATTAAGACCCCAGGGTGATTGTTGTCTTTAAGGTAAACCTGACAAATTGGATCTGAAAACATCATTGAAAGAATGGCAAAGATGGCTGCAGGAGAAAAAAATCAACATTGTCTAGTTTGGCAAGACTATGAAACTCAACAGATTTTTTGTTTTGTTTTATTTTGTCCTCATTTTTTTTCAAGATGGATTAAGTTAATGGAACTTTGGTATGGAGGCTGAAGATGAGAGTTGCCATATAGAACATATTTAGGACAGATCCTTTCACAGCAAGTTTCAAAGAGATTCTATTCTTGCACTGCACTGGAATTCCCAGTGTGATGTAGACTGTTTGTGTTTTAGAGGTAGCTGGCTGAACAGCTTTTTCACTTGGCTCCAAGACATCACACCCTCCTCCTTTGCTCCTATCTTGCTGGCTACTGCTGCTTAGTCTCCTTTGACGATCTTTCTCTTATTCTCATCTTCGAAAAGTTAAAAGTTCTTAGTGTTCAATCCAAACTTCTTGGCTTTTTTTCCCCTAAACTCTCTCTGTAGATTTTATCTTTCTGTCTCTTGCCTTCAAATGCCATTGGTTTACTAATCAACTGATCACTCTTAATATTATTATTAAGTTTACATTCCACCCTCTACTCTGACCTTCAGACTTTTAAGGTCAGCTGTGCTCCAACTCTCTGCTCGTAGGTGTCTGTTAGGCATTTCAAACCTAACATGTCCAAAAGTGAACTTTTGATTTTCCCTTTTCCCAAAACCTTTCCCCTCAGCCTTCTCAATCTCTGCAAATGGCACAGCCCATTTGCCCAGGTCACAAAATAGGTATTTCTGTCTTTATTCTGTCTTTCTTACATACAACATCCAATCCATCAGCAAGTTCTATTAGTTCTGTCTTCAAAATATAGACCTAGCATGGTGTGATGAGCTGACATACTTTTTAAAATTTATTTTTATTTTAAGTGCTAGGATACTTACCTATGACATGCAGGTTTGTTACATAGGTAAACATGTGCCATGGTGGTTTGCTGCACCTGATCTTTGTATTAAGCCCCACATGCATTAGCTATTTATCCTGGTGCATCTCCATCCCCCTGATGCTCTCTGTCCTCCATTGGTGGGTGGCATGGAGAGCATCAGGATAAATAGCTAATGCATGTGGCGCTTAATACCTTGATGATGGGTTTTACTTTTAATATGTCTGTTCTATGGACTATGCTGTAGCTCTTTAAAATACTCATGTTTGTAATAGAAATCTCACTGCTTCTTATCACTTCTGTCCTATTCTAGTCCATATCTTGATTACCATTCACCTGGACACTATGGTAACCACCCAACTGGTCCCCCTGCTTCTATTCTTGCCCACCTCCTGCCCTACTCTCCGAAAACTTGTTCTCCTTGAAGTCAAAGAGCTTTAAAAAGGAAAACCAAGCTGAGTGTGGTGGCTTATGCCTGTAATCCAAGTAATTTGGAGGCCAAGGTAGGAGGACTGCTTGAAGCCAGGAGTTAGAGACCAGCCTGGGCAATATAGTGAGACCCCCCATTTGTACAAAAAAAAAAAAATTAGCTGGGTGTGGTGGCACGTGCCTGTAGTCCTAACTACTCAGGAGGCTGAGGTGAGAGGATCTCTTGAGCCCAGTAGTTCAAGGAGATAGTGAGCTGTGATTCCTCCAGTGCACTCCAGCCTGAGCGATAGAGCGAGACTCTGTCTCTGAAAAGGAAAATAAAAGAAAAACCAAATCAACGCACCCCCTTGCTCAAAACCATTCTAAGGATGACATTCCATTATCCTTAGAATAAAATATGAAGTGTTTTCTATGGCCTACGTAATCTTGCCGCTTGCTTTCGTTTCCAGCCCTTTTTTCATCACTGTACCGCAACCATGCTGGCCTTTCTGCCCTTCCCTGAACACACCAGATCACACCCGTATCAAAGCCTTTTCCCTTCCCTCTGCCTGGATGCATTCCCCATCACCTTTTCTATTAGCCAGGCTCTTCCTCATCACCTAGCTAATATAGCTTCCCTACTTCTCCCTTGCTCCCTCCCTCCAAGACACTGTCTAAACCTTTAACCTATGTTGCTCTGAGATACTTTCTAATCTTTCAGTCTGTAGAAGAATGATTTCCTCCTGATATTATATGCTATATTTATTTATATACATATTTGTTTTCTGTGTCTCACAGTAACATATAAATTCCATCAGGGCATGAGCTTTGTCTTGTTCACCAGTGTTTTCCCAGTGCCTGGCATGTGTTGGGGCCTCAGTAAATATTTGTTGAATAAATACAATATATAATGCCATGAATACACACACATATACATAAACAGAGATATATTTATATGTATATAATAACAGATTATTATACTGGGATTTGAACGGTAAGATTCTATCAATTCATTCTAACAAAAACATAAACTATAATGTCTACTAAAAATTATTGAGCAAAGCCCTCAAAAAGGATTATCTCATTCAATACACACAACAAACTTATGGATTAGGTGCTATTATTATCCCTATTTTGCAAACAAGGATACTGAGAAATAGACACTAAGGAACCTGTCCAAGACCACAGGTTGGAGAGGCAGACCATGAACCTAGGATTCCCACTCCAGACCACTGTTCTTTAACAGTATATGATACTGTCTCTATGTTTCCTGTGCCTGACACTTGAGATGTAAATTTAAAAGTTGTGAACTACCTCAAGGGATTTGTCATCACCTGCCAGGGGAGGCACGAAACGGGAACAAATTAGGAAACAGTGTAAGAGTAGACTTTTTAACCTGAAGGTTCTAGCATGCTGATTATGAGAAGCAAACATCTATACTATAACCATCCTATGCCCAATTTGCAGCTATTTAAAATATTCAGATTTCAGATAGAAGAATTATGTGCACTAAAAATACATTTTGCCTGAGTAAAGTGTGTACTAAGTGTTGAGTGTTTTTGACTTATGAAAATTGTGAATATCCAGTGTAGGTGTGGATGCGGTTATTCACATGGGCAGATGATCAGAGACTGCACAGTGCTAAGAACTTCAGCGCCACTAGGCACATATAGTCGGTTATTTAATTGCATTACATTTCAACGAAGAGATCCTAGACATAGGGAAATATCGTTGCTTATTATATAGGAAAACGTTGACCTTAAATCACCACCGCAGGTAATAATGCCTTGCTAAATGAGCTCTGTTGAATGTAACAGCAGAAGTCACATTTTTTGCTCTTTTTTTTCGTCTCATAATATTTAACATAGGCTCCTAATACAGGGTACATAATTGCTGTTTGGTTTATTTTCCTTTCTTGACTTATGTGTAAACCACATTCTGCTCATTGCTTCCACTTTGTTGACTGAGATTGGGCTAAAATGATAAATCCATAGCCCAGCACCTGAGCTGGATGACTTTTTTACTCTGGATGCTCTGCCTTATTTCATAAGAGGAAGCGTTACATTTGTTAGCCACTGAGAAGATGACCAGATTAATGCAGGGGGAGAATTTTCTAGCAAATGCAGCGTCCTTTCTCCCTAGTCAGAATTCATGGACGGCCTCTTTTTGCCCAACATATTAATTACATGAGGAGCAGCAGCATTTTAATCCCTGGGAGATGTCCAACCACAGATCTCAGGCAATCATATTTCTCTGGTGATGTGTTTATGCAGCAGGTGTCATTTTCTTTAAAGGGCTTTGGAACTTGCCGGTTGTATTGAGGAATACGAGAATCTCAAGGCCTGTGATAAAAACACAAACCCCTTAGGCTCTGAGCTTAAGGTGGATACGTTTTTAGTATTTACTGGAGTCGTAAAAGCTGCTGACTGTGAATGTTGTCTGTATAAAATCCAGTTCACCTTTTTTATTCAGTGCATTATCAAAAATGGTATAAAACTCTCTCTAGGTTACCCAGCGGTGCTTGGTTTTCTCTCTCTCCCATTTGGGGTCCCAGGCACTAGAGTGTGGAAATGAGAATGCTGTTGTGTTGTATTAGAAAGAAGTTGCCTTTACTGTGTCCCTGTCTGGACAGATGAGGCAGCAGAGTCTTAGGTACGCCCTCTTACTGAACAGGTTATTTTAATTACACCTGGATGTGGAACTTCCTGTTTTAGTTGATTGATGGTTTGTTGTGCCTTTGTATTTTCTGCTACAGGCACAACCCGATCTCCCAGAGAAGGAGAAGTGCCTGGCGTGGACTATAACTTTCTGACTGTGAAGGAGTTCTTGGACCTCGAGCAGAGTGGGACTCTTCTGGAAGTCGGCACCTATGAAGGTGAGTTACTTGTACGACAGCATAAAAAGCTTCTCTCCTGGGTACTTGAGAGGAGCCAGAGCCATCCAGGCAAAAATGTTTTGTGGAATCTGGAGGTCTAAACAAATAACAGGAGATTTCAGTTCACCTTAATATGACGAATAATAGACAAAGTCTATGGAATAAGGCTTTGTGGAGTTCTTTAAAAATAGTTTTAGTTTTTCTCTAGGAGTTTTCTTTTTTAATTTACCTATTCAAGTATGTGGGTGTGTTTTGTTTTTAATACGGACATGTGCGGTATTAGGAGAGAAGGAAGAATCATGGTTAATCACAAAATGTGATCCTATAAGTAGTGTTGTTTTAATCTTGAAGAAATAAAATATCACTTTCCTACTGATTGGTTTTTAATGTATTTTTATGTGATTCATAAAGCAAACTTTTTTTTTTTTTTTTTTGAGACGGAGTCTCGCTCTGTCGCCCAGGCTGGAGTGCAGTGGCGCGATCTTGGCTCACTGTAAGCTCTGCCTCCTGGGTTCATGCCATTCTCCTGCGTCAGCCTCCCGAGTAGCTGGGATTACAGGCGCCTGCCACCATGCCCGGCTAATTTTTTGTATTTTTAGTAGAGACAGGGTTTCACCGTGTTAGCCAGGATCGTCTCGATCTCCTGACCTCGTGATCCGCCCGCCTTGGCCTCCCAAAGTGCTGGGATTACAGGAAAGCAAATTATTTTAAAAATATTTAGCTAAGTAATCTTCATATACCTGTCTCCCACCTGCCTGATTTAGGATTCAATATTATAAATAATCTGATTACCTTCTGAAGTTTATGTCAATACAGACATGCGTGTGCACATGCGTATGTACATGTGTGCATGCCTGTTGTATGGATATTCCCATTTCTTCCCAGTTTTCCCCAAAAGGTAGTATATAGTACATGCTGTTTGGACCTTGCTCTTTTTGTTTAACAGTATGTCTTAATAGGTCATTGCAATTCAGTAATAAAGCACTTCTGGTTTTCTTCTTTTTGAAATATAATTATAAAAATTATAATTCCTTTGTATGGGCATACCGTAATTTATTTAACCACTTCCCTCTGAACAAATATTTGAGTCAGTTTCAATGTTTCATATTTCTAAACACTGCTGAGTCGAATGACATGGATGTATCATTTCATACAGGTGCAAACATATCCATAGGATCAGATCCCATTGCTGGGTCAAAGCCAAATGTGGTGGAAAAAAGTCACATTTTTCTGAAAACAGTATTATAGCTTGATTACTTTTTGGAGTGTTATTATTATTTGAGGCAGAAGTGGTGTAATGATACTATTAACTAGGACAGATTATTAACTTGGTCAAGTTATTATGTGTATCTCTTTACAAACTCTTTAAAATTTGGATTTATTAGGCATTCACGGGGCATTTTAAAGATTAGACTTAAACATAAAGGGTAAATACAAAGTAGATTATTATTTTATTAGGGACATTATAGCTTTAATGTGATAATTGCTTCTGTTACAGTGACTAACACTCATATCATGATCATGAATCTTAGAGATGGCTGTTTCTGGTTTGATGTTCTTTGGAGAAGACGGGAAGGAGCATTGTCTTTGTACATACTGCTCCTTTCCAAATTGTGAATATACAGTAGACAGTGTATATTAATCAAATTCCTGCTCATGAATCAGGAATTTTTGTTTGTTTGTTTTTGAGTGTTGCTAATTATCAGTTGGCTTAGTTTCCTGAAACTACATGTTGGGATGTGACTGGGTGGCTGGTGGGCTGGGCAGGGGTCTGAGAGTAATCGAGGTCTAGGAGTGTATAGAGGGAAGGGAGGGGGGCTGCGGGAAGGTACAAGGAGCTTCTTCAACATGTTGTCAGCATGCTGTCCTCACATGTTGTACATGTGAAGAGGAGAGCATGTGTGACTCCTCTTTGGTTAGCAGAGAGAGAAATGTCCTCATCTGCAATCAGTTATTATGCCCATCTGGGGGGCTTCAGTCGTCAAATATATAAAACATCTATTTGCATTTTTGGAGAGGCTGGGGTGGGAGTGGTTGTACAAAGCAAAAGAGGATTGGGTCGGAAAGGAAAAACTTGTGATTTAGACTCCAATTTAACTTGGAAGATGGAAAGTAAACTCACTTTATTCGATGTTAATGGAACAAATGATATATAGGTGGAGTCAGTTCTTTTTCTCATTTAATTTTATCATTGCAACAGAGGCGGCTATTATCTTCACTGAATTTTTAGATGGGGACACTGAAGCCAAGTGGTATTAAATAACTATTTCAGAGTTGCACAGCCAGTTCTAGAATGCTAGAGAAGGAACCAAACCCAGCTCAGTGTGACTCTCAGATCCTACACTCTTTCCTAAAAACCCGAAGAATATCCTAGATATAACTAAGAAGCTAAGGAAAATAACCCATTAGTACTTGAAGCTAACTTCCTGGTGTATAGCAGTAGAGGAATGGTTTTCAGAAAATGTCTGATTGTCTTGTAGAAAACGGTGCCTTTGTGAATGTTGCATAGTTATTTTGGAATTGGAATTTTCTTAGGCACAGGACTAATCTTTTCCAGTTCTAACCCATTTGTACAGCGTTCTTCAGCCTTTGGCCTATTAGCAGCGAAATTTCCTTACCATATGAGAGGGCTCATAATTTTTCTTTCTTTTTTCTTTTTTTTTTTTTTGAGACAGAGTCTCGCTCTGTCGCCCAGGCTGGAGTGCAGTGGCGCAGTCTCAGCTCACTGCACCCTCCCCCTCCCATGTTCAAGCGATTCTCCTGCCTCAGCCTCCTGAGTAGCTGGAACTACAGGTGCATGCCACTGTGCCCGGCTAAGTTTTTATATTTTAGTAGAGACAGGGTTTCACCGTGTTGGCCAGGATGGTCTCGATCTCATGACTTCGTGATCCGCCTGCATCGACCTCCCATAGTACTGGGATTACAGGCGTGAGCCACCGAGCCTGGCCGAGATGGCTCATAAGTTTTTGGAACTGACCAGAGTATATTATATTGACTCTTAAAAGCTGAGAGCCAAATGGAATGTTTATTAAATGCCATATACCCTCATCGGAGTAGGGCTGGAAAGACATTTAGAGAACTTCCACTGTCTTTGCCTCCCCTGGACAAGTCCCCTGATGGTGGCTGCTGTCTATTGGTGGACACTAACAAGCATGCAAGCCCTGCTGTCACACTGCCTGAGTTTGATTCTCAGCCCCTTTGCTATTGAGCTGTGTGCCCTCCGGCAAGTTGCTTAATGCTGCATGTCTCCATTTTCCCATTGGTAAAATGAGGATAATAATAGTGCTTCCTCAGAGGTAGGGCTAAATGAGACAATAATTGGAAAGGGCTTAGCAGAGTGTCTGACACATGTAAGCTCTCCTTCAGCATTAGCTTTTGTATTTACACGCACCTAGTTCAAAATTGCTCCTGTAGTGGATCCCTTTCCCCTCTACTAGTCAGTAAACCAGCAGATTTGCCAGTAAAATGTCTTTATTTACTTCCCAGGTACTCACCATCTTTTTTCCCCTCCTGAAATTGCTTTCTCCAGACCTCTGCTGGTTCCAGAGAGGAAAAGTCTACCACAACAACACAAAGCACTCTTTAAAGGAAGACATATATAAATGTTTAAGTAACAGTAATAAGTGTACATGATGGAATAGTTCCTACAGCAAAAGCCTTAAAACTAGCTAAGTCCTACTTGTTTCCCCTCTTCCATATAGGTAACCACTATTAAAGATGCTAGTGCAAATATTCAGAAAACTTATATGTACACAACATATATGTATATCTCGTTTACTTCACTCTGTTATTGCCGTTTGCCCTTAACATACCCTGGAGATCTTTCCACATTACCGCATACAGTTTCACCTCATTCTTTATAAATGCTGCATAGTGTCCCAGTGAATGAGTATATATATATCTCTACATCTATCTATGTATCTATCTGTCTATCTGTATATAAATATATAACTTATTTAACCAGCCCCCTGCAGATGGACATTTTAAATGTCCCCTGCCTCACCTCCCCCTTCTGTTTTTGGTGGTCGTGTTATAAACAGTGCTTCAAGTATATTGTTACGCAATTATGAGCATAACTATAGGGTAAGTTTCTGGCAGCACAGTTTTAAAGCAAGCCTTTTAATGCATATATAGTTTATTTCAACAAATATTTATTGAGTATTTATTTCAGGTCAGACTTTTTTTGTGAGGCAAGGGATATGATGTACAGGGCAGTAGACCAAAACTACCTGACTTTGAAGGTGCTTATGTTTTTTAATTAATTATTTTTGCTAGGGCTTGTGTGGCACATAGTAGGTGCTCTTCAAAGTGCATTATATGCACAAATTCATTTAATCTTCCTAACAAGCCTATGAGGTAGGTTCTATTTATGTCCATTTTACAGAAGAGGAGTATGAGGCCCAGAAATGCCAGTAATCTCTTCTTAGTTCACATGGTAAATCAAAGATAGAGCTGGGATTCAGATTCAGGCACTCTGGCCACAGAGTCTACACTCTTCCCACACTCAGTCTTGTGAGGCAGATTAAACATAAACAATTTTGCTGGGCGTGGTGGCGGATACCTGTAATCCCAGCACTTTGGGAGGCTGAGGTGGGAGGATTGCTTGAGCTCAGGAGCTCGCGACCAGCCTGGGCAACATGGCAAAACCCCATCTCTATAAAAAAATACAAAAATGAGCTGGGCACGGTGGCGTGCACCTGTAATCCCAGCTACTCGGGAAGCTGAGGTGGGAGAATCCCCTGATCCTGGGAAGTTCGAGGCTGCAGTGAGCCAAGATCACACCACTGCACTCCAGCCTGGGCAACAGGAGCAAGACTCTGTGTAATATATGAATGAATGAATGTAAACAATTTTAAGAAAAGTGATGAGTAGGCCGGGTGTAGTGGCTCATGCCTATAATCCCAGCACTTTGGGAGGCCAAGGCAGGCGGATCATTTTAGGTCAGGAATTCGACACAAGCCTGGCCAACATGGTAAAATCCCCTCTGTACCAAAAAAAAATATAAAAATTAGCTGGGCTTGGTGGTGCATGCCTATAGTCCCAGCTACTTGGGAGGCTGAGGTGGGAGAATCACTTGAACCCAAGAGGCAGATGTTGCAGTGAGCTGAGATTGTGCCACTGCACTCCAGCCTGGGTGACAAAGTGAGACCCTGTCTCAAAAAACAAAAAAAAAAGAAAAAAAGTTATGAGTGTTTTGAGAGAAACTACACAGCGCTCCAGAAGCTTATAGAAAGCTTCATCTAGTTTTGGCAGACTCCCTAGAGGAGGCGAAGCTATGAGAGGACTGTGTTAGGTCAGGTGAGAGGCTGGGAGATGGTGTTTGAATTTAGTAATCAGCATGGGCCATGGGGCCTGAATCCACAGAGAACGATGTGATGATGAACCAAGAGAGGATTAGAAGGATGGCTTCTAGAAAGGGAGGGGAAGCAAGCACACCCTGTTTCCCTTAGAACCACTGCTATCCTGTAAGAACTTCCTTCCATGCTGGGAATGTTCAGTATTCTGTACTGTCCATTATGGCAGCCAGTGGTTCTTGTGATTGAGAAACCAAGTTTTAAATTAACTTTAATTCAACATAAACTCATTTAAATTTAAGTAGCCACACATGGCTGGTGGCTTCAGTTTTAGAATAAAAGCTTCTGAAAGGAAGGTTGAGGACCTGCTCAACAAGATCTCTGTCCTCACCAGCTGACTTCACAAAGCAAAGCAGGTCTTAAGAGTTAAGCTCCTTTAAAAAAGAATCATCGTGTTGAATCTTCCCAAAGAGGATGTTATGCAGAGGAGTGGTGATCTTCTTTTGTGGATACATTCTATGACAGGCAAGATGGCAGACAAATAGAGTGAACCAGTGAAGCCTCAAGGCCCAGTAACCTTCAGAATTCTCTTTCAGGCCCAATATTTGCTTGATTTACATTGGTCGGTTGTAGGACTTTACAGCTGGAAATGCAGTAAAGTTAGTTTCTTCAGATGATAGAACTGAAATCCAGAGAGAGCTTGCTTTAAGATACTTCAGGGAGTTAGGGACATAGCCTGGCCAAATGTTGCAGGACTGGGATGCTTTTATTTCCCTTTGCCTGAAAAGTAATGCTTCTTTTGTAGCCTCAGTTACTAGTTTGTGAGTTCATTCATTTATTCATTAAAGATAAAATGCTGAACAAAAGCAGATATGGTTGTGGTCACTGTCTTTATGGGTCTTAAATGTCTAGTGAACAAGACACTTTATTTAAATAAACGAATATCCAATTGTAAGTGTGCGAAGGTCTTTAAAGGAGACCATAAGACAGGGAGAGTGGATGTCTGTGGAATCAAGAAAAAGTACCTCTGTAGAAGTAGTAATTGAAGTGAGATCTGATGGTTGAGCTGGAGTTAGGTTGCTGGATTTAGCAAATAAAAACGCGGAACACCCTGTCTTGCATTTCATCTGGCAACCACAGTTGGAGTTGGCTTTGAACCACGTTGGTGATGGTGGTGGTAAATAGTCAGCTGAATCTGGAGATATTTATGTGAAAAGCTGAATTTGTTAATGTATTGGTTATTGTGAGAACGAGGTAGAAAAGACAGATGATGACAATCCTCCTAAGATAACTCCTAGTTTCTGTCTTCTATTACTGGATAGATAGTGGTACCATTTGTGAAAATAAAAAATACTATAATTGGGGTAGGTTTGCCGGGCAGGGACTCCATCCTGAAACTTTCTATCCACCGACAGCTGTAATGCTGAGAGTAGCATTATACTCCCAACAGAGTAGAGCCCCTTCCTGGCGATGTAAAGAATCTGATTATCATCCCTCACAAGGCATAGAAGTTATTAGTAGAGTTTGTCATTGATCTCTGCTTTACAATTTGAACCAGCTCCTCATTCTGTCACTGAACAGAATTGGCATCAAAGCAAGGTAAAGAAGACAAGAATAAGCACATCTTTCCAACTTGGCCCAACTTCCTAATTGTGGCACTGAGCTTATTTATTTGATATGGTGCTTAAAATAAATCAGCTGAACCATTTCCCTTTTCCCTTGCTTTTCTTTTTTTTTCTGTTGACATTTTTGCTCTGCAAGACAGGTCACTGCCTCAGCCAGCCCTTGGGACTTCTCTAGGAGAGAGTTTACAAGGGATGAACTATTCAGTGGAGGGTGGGGATCCAGACATGGCTGTTTTACAAATGCCTCTGGGTAGAAGAGGCTGATTATACACTTTGAGCATTGCAAAGGTTTTCCTTCAGCATAGAAGTGCAGTGCCAGGGTGACATTTCAAATTGGAGTTATGGGTTGCATATTTCTGCATGTTAATTAGGAAGAGGATGTCAGCATTCAATAATGTTATTGTTTTGCTTCCTAGAAGGTCTGCAAAAAGGCAGCTGCCAATGGTATAATTTTTGGGGACACAGAGATAAAATAGGGGTGAAGAGAGTTCTTGTTTCTGGTTAAAGAAAGCGAGACTGTCTAGAGTCCTGTTCTTTGGCAGGCCTTAGAAGCAGTCTGTTGTGATGAGCTCTGTTGGCAAACTCTGTCGTAGAATGTTCTCTGTTGATAATGAAAGTGACCAAATGAAATCTGTGCTATAATTGGCTGTTCTTCTGCTTATGAAGATGGGGGGAGCTGGCGAAGTTTTCTTTAATTCCCTGCTTAGAGATCCCCAAATATTCCTGGAGTTAAAAGTGTAGATGTCAGAGACAGACTAATCTGTATTTAAATGCCAGTCATCATCTTTGACTTGTGTAAATATCAGTTTCTTTATGTGAAAATGGGAATATTGATGCCTTTTTTTCTCTAAGATTGTTTATAAAGATTAGAGTAAGTGAATATATGCGTAGTGACACTTAATATGTGCACGATAAAGGTAACTTTAAAAAATGTTGTTCTTTGAATATGTGTTGTGATAATACACTCTTTTACACATTAACCCTATTATCTATCTACAACATCAGGCCTGATTGGAGACTGGCAGAGTTGATTATAGGCTAACATTGTGTCAAGCACAGTGCTGGGTGCTTTATACACATTATCTAATTTAATCTTGACAAAAACCTATTAGGTTGCCATGATTTTTGTCTTTATACTGTGTGAACTGAGGCTGAAGAGAGAGAGGTCCCTTACCTCACTCAGGGTCGTAAAACTCTTATGTTCTCCTGTTTGGTCTTGTATTAGAAACCAAATGGCACTGGCAAGAACAAACTGCTAATTATAGAACAGTGGTTTATTGTCCTTCTGTGCATGAACATCCTATTTTTGTAGGGTGGGGCAGGTAGGAAAAGGAAGAGTAAAAAGAAAGTATTGCAGTTTTATGAAGGAACTATCATGTGCTGAGCAAGCAAGTAGCAAAGTGAAGTGATGCAGATCTTGGTAATTCAAATGTAATTGACCGACTGGAAAGAAAGTGTTGTGAGTCATGCTATTAAAAACTGGATCCACAATACAGGTTTTTAGGAGGATCCCAGGCTGGAATTCATGTGCACTATCTGCCTTTATTCATTTACTCATTCTGCAGTGAATTACCGGGTAATGGTATGTGCCTGGCACTGCGTCAGGCCTGAGAACACAGTGGTACACAAAATCAGATGTGGCTCCTGGCCTCTTTGAGTTTATAGTCTAGAGGTGAAGACAGGTACTGATTAATTAAACAGTCTGCTATATACAATAAAGGGCATTAGGAAGGGGAGGTATGTGGTTCCTTGAGAACATATAAGAACTGATAAGGACAGCTTTGATCTAGTCTGTGGGGTCAGAGATACTGTTGCTGAGGATGAGCAGGTAGTAACAGGGTGAGGAGCAGAGGGAGGAGTGGGTGCAAGAGCTGTGAGATGGGGGAAGGGGGCACAGTTTACATGCTGGGGGCTGAAAGGCAACCAGTGAGGTCAGAGTGAAAAGAACAAGGTGAAGGCAATCAGGACAAGTGCTTGGAGAGTGGGCATGGGGCAGACCACTCAGGACCGTGAGGCCAAGGCAAAATCAGATATGCTGGATGTCCATGTATTCATGTACTCTATACATATTTGCACTATACATAAAGAGAGTAAGGTTTTTGTACCTCTCTCCCCCTCAAAAAAGAAAACAATTTTTGCCCCCTTGGGGGTGATATTGCCCCGTTGAAAATGCATGCTGTAGATTCCCAGCCATAGGTGGTCACTACCATCCTGTTCTCAGGCTTATTTGCAAAAGCTTGTCTCATAGGAAGAAGACAGACAAGTACCCCCAATTCCCACCCCCATTTACCTTGGACCAGCCATGTAACTCCATGGCAGGCGTTTCTGCCACTTTGGGCCTTTATGTTTGTCATCTGCAAAAGAGGAATGATTTTCTCTGTCCCAAATGGCTTTGCTACACAAACAGTGTGATCCATGGATCTCAGGCCCACCCTGATCATTACTTAATGTAATTTAATTGTTTGCACATTGAAGCTTGACAAAACTGATGTATGCCATATAGAATGGTTGTGAAGATCGTGTTTCAGTCCAATTTTTACTTTGTATTTCCCATGCCTGGCATTAAAAAGGTTTTCTGTAAGGAAATGAATGAATGAATAGTAAATTTGTATAATTTGAAAGCCATATAGATTTGATTCATCCTAGCTTAAATTCCAGGGTTACAATCCTCCTTAAATATTTTATAAAGCCCTAAAAATTGATTTGCAGTGCCTATTAATTTTTAAATGTGTGTCAGAAAAATATTTTCTTTGGCTTTGTCCTGGCCAGAGATTTTGCTTGTTAATTAAGGCCAGCAGTGGCTTCCTCTTAAGTCCTCCTTTGCCCTCCGCTTTCCTCCCTGGCTACCCTCCCTGTTGAGATTTGTTGTAGAACCAGTTCTGAAAATAGCAGCAGAGAGAACAAGTTTCCACTTGGGAGGGAGCCCAGCCACTGCAGGAAACGTGTGTTGGATAACGCAGAGCCTGTGGGATAATCAGCCTCACGGCTCCTAGACACTGTGCAGCCTGCCAAGTGATAGCCCCAATTAAGTTTTTAATCACTTACAATTTTTCAGATGATTTTTATTTAATACTGTTAAGTCGCGCATACTGTCTGTAAGGTTTGTGTTTCTACATGGCTAGACTTTGTAAGGTTTGTGTTTCTGCTGTGGCTAGACTTTGCTTGATTGTGATGAGAGTGCAAACCATTGCAAAGGTGGAATACTTTCTGGAAGGTTAGAGTCATGAACTCAAATGCCTGAGGGGCCAGACAGGTCAGGTAAGAGGGTGCATAGAGGCAAAGAAGACCACTGGTGACTGTGGCAAACTGGAGCAAGCATGACCCATCCTGCCCATTGCTGCACGGTAAGGGCAGTTCACAGCAGAATAAGAGAGCCAGAGTTGAAATAAGACAGCCAGAGTTTTTGTCCAAAAGCCCAGGGCCGAAAGCAAGCTCTCCAAAAATCAATTCACTCAAAGGCTAATCTGTGAATTATTGAAGACTTTTTGAAGTTTAAGGTTTTTTTACATCTACTCATGCCTCTGCTCATGCCCCTGTATCTGCCTATGCCCTTGCATTGCAGCAGCCTGAGGGCACTGTTCTAGATGGGGTCCAAGATCTTTGTCTGTCAAGGGTCAGGCAAAACCAAGAGGAGGAGCAAAAATTTCTCTGCAGAAATCCTTGATTTAGTATGTTCATGTGAATTGGCTTTAGACACATACTTGCTTTTCAACATCCTCTATAAGAGATGGAGTCCCTGGAACCAGACTTTACAGTTTGTCAAACAGCATTGAGAATCCAGACTTAACTAGAAGCTTTCTAATTTTAAATGTTGGTCACTAATCCAAATTATTTTGAAACAGTGGCGTATGAAAGTTTGAACACTCTGCAGTTAGAAAACCACTAGACAGAATCTTTTCTGTAAAGGTTGTAGGTTTCAGTACGGGAAATAAGAAATAGTGGAGAGATTTGGATAATTATAACACTATCTCATATTTAACACCTTATAGTTTACAGAGTACCTTTGAAAACTCTGCATTAGTTAATTTTCACAATAATCCTATGAGGTTGCTACAGCTGGTGCTACCATTCCCATTTCACAGAGAAAGTACTAGAGAGACTGAGTGTTAGAAGACTTGGTTATTTGGTTATTGACAGGTTTGCTTGCTTAGTGCTCAGTTACCATGTGCAGCACTTTGCATACATGATCTCTTTGATCCTCAAAACAATGTAGTATGGGTGTCATTTTAAAGACTGAAAACATGTGATAGCAACTTTAGGTAGCATTTATCTACCCTCACCATAGTGGCAGACTTCAGCATAGGTTAAAGGCAGACCGTCTCATTTTGTCTTCCTAACAGCTATTCTAGGTGTAAACTAGGTTCTCTTAGAATCCCAAGTTAAAGGCGGACAAAGACTGGCCCAGAGTCACACAGCCAGTTAGTTAGTAGTGGGCTTTCAACTCTGAGCTGTCTCTTCCAAGCCTTTTACCCCATGATATGGTGTGCCAAGGCTCTGCAGTATTGCTCATGGGCCACTCATTAGATTAAAGCCAGTGAAATTGCTTATGTTTGACAGTTTATATCTTCTACAACAGCAATTTCATATGGTTCAATCTAATATTATCTACTTTATCTGCCTCCATTCAATGTTAAACTAATTTTCAGAAACAGGAAACCATTGTGAACAAGTGGATTGTTTTGGGTTGTTTGTAATTGCATTAACAAATCTGCTAATCATTTATTAACTTAAGAAAGATTTTGAACTTGAAAAGTGAGGGTAGGTACCTAATGGAAAATCCACACATATTTGTCAAAGTTAAGTGGAACTTTTATTTTCCAAGCACTTATTATTTCTGCCATAAATGCAGATGTTGAAGTTTTCATTGATTTTAAATGATTAATAATTTTATGAATGCTACTTCAGTTTAATGGCACTGAAACTGAGTGATATGGTTAGGAAATTATGCATATAAAAATTACGAGGGAGGGGTTCCACATCTTTCAGTAGAAGTTTCTTATTTATAGACATTGGCCTTAATTTAACATCTAACTTGAAAATGTACATGATGTCGTGATATAATAATGATTAAGGAATGAAAATTAAATTCATTAGAGCTTTGTCTCTCTCCTTTTTTTCTCACTATGCAGATTATTTTTAAAATAGTTAACCATCATACTTTCCTAAACTTCACTAAAGAGTCTTCAGTTAATGAGAAAGTTAACAGTTTGGCCTAGTTACTTACACCTTCAATGAAGGCATGAGACATCCTTTGATACAACCACTGTAGAAATGCAAGATTAAGTGCATTTCTTGTTTGACACGTGCTAATTTCTTCTTTGCTCAAGTGTTAGCCCCTAAAGACACATGTGGAATGCCTTTCTTCAAGCTGATTCGACTCAATTCTAGCGCCTGTAAGTTGGAAACCTGAAAGAAGATTTTTGAAGATAAGGATAGATTACTTCCTATGAAAACACTTGAATGATTGAGTTGAGTATAAGCCACCAGAATGTGCGTATCAGGTTTCTACCTGGCACCCTTCAAATTTGAACGTGATGCTCTTTCATGTACTGCATTTAAAAAAATGTGTATGTTGAGTTTTCCTGCTGATACAGACTATTACACTCCTCTCAAAGAAAGTGGGTGTGTATCTCTATAAATTTTGATGATTCAAAAAACATTTTAAAAAATTTTAAAACTTTTTATCTTAAAAAAGAAACCTTATTGGCCAGGCATGGTGGCTCATGCCTGTAATCCCAGCATTTTGGGAGGCTGAGGCAGGTGGATCACCTCAGGTCAGGAGTTCCAGACCAACCTGGCCAACATGGTGAAATCCCGTCTCTACTAAAAATACAAAAAAGTTAGCCAGGCGTGGTGGTGCATGCCTATAGTTCCAGCTACTTGGGAGGCTGAGACTGGAGAATCGCTTGAACCTGGGAGGTGAAGGTTGCAGTGAGCCGAGATCGTGCCATTGCACTCCAGCCTGGGTGATGCAGCAAGACTCCATCTCAAAAAAAAAAAAAAAAAAGAAACCTTATTTATAAGAATAAAGCCTGATAGAAGCAATTTTTTTTTTTTTGAGATAGGATCTAGTTCTTTCACCCAGGCTGGAGTGCAGTACCACGATCTCTGCTTACTGTATCCTTGACTTCCCAGGCTTAAGAAATCCTTCCCTCTTCAGCACCCCCAAGTAGCTGGGACTACAGGAGAGTACCACCAAGCCTGGCTAATTTTTGTATATTTTTTAGAGACAGGATTTTACCATGTTGCCCAGGCTGGTCTTGAACTTCTGAGCTCATGTGGTTAGCCCGCCTCAGCCTCCCAATGTGCTGGTATTAGAGGCATGATCCACTGTACCCTGCTGAGAAGCAAATTCTTTATTATCTGTATGTCTCACGGAGACCAGGCTATTACCGTCTCCTTTTGTGGTTTTTTGTGTTTTTTTTTTTTTTGGTGCTTGTGTAATAAAATGTGTTTGTTATGTAACTATGTACTGAGGTTAGACAATGGGGTTGGATCCTTAGGAAGATACAGTGTGTACAGGATTTATTATTATTTACAAATTCTGTTTTACTAAGCATAGAATTACAAACATTAGTTAGGATTGATCCAGCATCTCAGAATCATTTCCTGTCTTCCTGGCCTTACTCTAAAAGATGTGAAGTGGTAAATGGATCGATGGCATTCTAAGGTTGATGTCTTTTATTATGTAGCCGCTGAATATTATTGATTATCAACTGTGTTTTTCAAACTTTGATCTTGATGAACCACCCTTTGTGATTTTGTTCATATGAGAACATGTATTATTTATTTAATGTTATCTTTAAAATAACTTTAAAAAAATAGCTTACTTTTTAACTTTTCAAAAGGAAACTCTTATTACTACCATCCCTATTATGTATTCAGCTGATTAATTTCTTATTATATAAAACTGTCTTTTTAAACTTTAAGTGAAAAATAAGTCAATTTTTTAAAGTATTGCTTTTTTTCTTAAATTCTAAAGGCAAACTTTATATTGGTATCATAACTTACCAGTGAGATTTCTCTATGGCAAATTAAAAATATATGTATCTATTAAAATAAAAAAATTAAAATGTAAAAATCTATTTATGTACAAGTGAGAGTCACATAGCACACTATAGTGGGACCTAAATCAAACTGGGAAAGAGTGGCTGAAAGTGAAGATGGGCCACTACTGGAAGAGTGACCCATACTGGGTGCCACCATTGACACAGGGTTTTCTGTTAAAGCTTGGCAAGGGTTTTTTCCTACCCCGCATGACTCTGAGAGTCAAGCCTGCCATTCAGCTAAAGAGGCGCCACGTGGGGTTTACTGTCCTCCTTTTTAAATATTGCCCTGGTTCCCTCTTGACGAGTCCCCTTATTAAGGGAAAGTGACCTCAACTTTTTAGGCCTGTAAGGATGCCGGCAGTAATGAATTTTTTAATCTTCTGTGAGGCTTGCTCTAAATTGGATTCAGCATTATGCTGGTGCATATATGTAAAAAGATGACCAATTGATATTCAAATGTAATGAGGAGGAAGGTTTACTATTCAGCATAGCCTCCTTTGTTTTTAGCCCTAGTAGGTTGTTTGCACTAAAACAATACAGCTTTCCTCTTCCCATCTGAAATTACTGTGTCTAGCTGGATAGGAAAGATATCTCTTCTAACCCACTCCAGAAATAAAATACAGTTTGTTCTGGTTTTCTAGTTTAATTTTTTTTTTAATGTGCCTAGAGATTTGGATGTGAAGTCTTAAAAAAAAACACAAAGTATTCCTTTTGAAACATGCAAATGTGTCTCTCCATCACCTAGGAAACTATTATGGGACACCCAAGCCTCCTAGCCAGCCAGTCAGTGGGAAAGTGATCACGACGGATGCCTTGCACAGCCTTCAGTCTGGCTCTAAGCAGTCGACCCCGAAGCGAACCAAGTCCTACAATGATATGCAAAATGCTGGCATAGTCCACGCGGAGAATGAGGAGGAGGATGACGTTCCTGAAATGAACAGCAGCTTTACAGGTAAAGGTCAGATCATGTTGCCCTCAATGGACCTGGGGAAGGGATGACGAGGAGGCTTTTGCATAGAGTTTTGAAAAGGATGCTGTTCTCAGGAGGGATTTTGTAGAGTCGCCAAAATTCAAACTTGGACCACACAGTGCTTGCAGAAGAGATGGTCCTTTCCCTGGTCTTCTTTTCATGCCCCTTTACAAGAATATTTTAACTTCATCAGAATACCTTAAAGGAGCTGGGGGTGAATGTATGAAGAAGGCAAACGAGAAATCAGCATGGTTTCTTTCTCTTCAAAATGATATATGTATATAAATATCTGTATTTTGTTCATTGATTTTTTTTGGGGGGGGTAACTTGCAGCATCTCTATCATTATGGCTGGTTGCTATGAAGCAAAATATGAGAATGTGTTTTATCAGTTTAATGTCAGTTGATGCTGTATAGAAGGCCAGCAGCATCCTCTTATATCTTTGAAAGCAGAGATATAATGGAAGGATATTATGTGTTCAGTTAACTTACGCAAAATTGTTATATGCCTTAAAAGGGAGAAAGATGGAAAAGTAAAATTCTAACATTATATCTATATATGCATTCTATATTATATAGCCTATGTATTACTGACTATATTATATATATTTTATCTATATTCAGGGCTGTCTACCTCCGAGCTTAGGTATGTTGTATTTTATGAAGGGATTTTCAAGGACAAGGCCTTTGGGTAAGGCCATACAGGCTGAGTACTGCACAACTCCAGGGGGTACCATTTGCAGGGTATGATGTGTGTTCCCTGAAGGGCAAAGATTGCAGTGAGCCGAGATTGCACCACTGCACTCTAGTGTGGGTGACAGAACAAGACTCTGTCTCAAAAAATATAAATAAAAAAAAAAAAATAATAATAATAATAATAATGTTGCGTGTTCCTTGGGTTAGTGCAGTGACCCAGAAGAGCTCAAGAATATTTTTTACTATATGAAGATTTGACCTTACATAGTAACTCCAAATGTAACAGCTGAGTAAGATAGGAGTAACTTCAGTCTACAGTGTTGTGGATTAGACGAACACCTTGTTTCTTCTGTTGTTATTGTACTTAAATATTGCCTTTAATATTTTAGAGTTATAGCCATGAATAAGTTATCCGTTTTCAACATATGAGATTATCCTCTCCCATAGTGGCCTTTTCTCACATTATTATACTTTGGTCATTGTTTGATTAGCATCAGCTCCAATGAAGGTGGAGATGAGTGGACTGTTTTCCCCTGTGCTACCAACTCTAACAGAATATTTAGGAAAAGTTTGTTATTTATGAATGCTGTTTGCAACCTGTATGGGCCTCACTTAGGTTTTTTAAAATTTATTAGCTAAGCTCAGAGGACTAAAATTTATCAAATGGAAATAAAATTTTTTGGATGAGTTTATTGTCATAGCAGTAGGATAGCCAAACATCTGTGCAAGAAGTGTTAGGTAAAGACAGAGGAGATTTGTTTGTTACCCTGGCTTGGCTCTTGGTAGTTGTCTTTTTAGAAACATTATGCCTAACTCATCCATATGTAAAATGACTCGCTAGGATTGGATCATGTCTGAGTTTCCCCTTTTAGCTGTATGAATTTGACTCCATGAAAATTTCTGTTTTCTCAATTAGAATGGGTTAGGCCAGTGCCTGCCCAATAGTTGTAATATCTAGAAGAAATTTGCCACCTTGTACCTATGTTTTAATTGAAATCAGCTGTTTTCATTCATTTAGGAATCTTTCATCTGTTTATAGTGGCCCTTACCAAAATGAAAACAGATCATGAAACATGTTAACATTTCTTTCAAAAAATCTCATACTTTAATGCCTTGATATTTTGATAAATAAGAATAGCAAATCATGGTATAACCTAAACCATAGTTGTGGTCACAGAAACAGAAGACTTTGGGGGTAGTGTGCGGCAAAACAGTTCTGCCAAGCAGATTGGGTGGTCCCCAAGAAGCTTGTGTGCCTGTATTTGTCCTCTATTTATTAAATAGATTTTTTGGTAGAAAGAAGGAACAAAGTAGAGGTAGTTTACTGTAAGTCTAGATGCAATTTCCTGTTTCTAACTACTATCAATCTCTCTCTCTAGAAGCCATGCCTCAGAAAATCTGACCTCATAAAATCCCCACTTGAAATCCTGGCATCTTAGAACAACTTGTGGGCCCAGATCATCATGGCCAAAATCAGTCTGATGATTAGTTTCCACACAAAACAGAAAGCCAAGTGACACCTGATTGTGTTCCTCACGTTCTTGTCTGATACCAAGAAGGCCAATAGGGTGCACTGAGGAAAAAGTGGCCTTGAGATATGCACGTGATGGGACCTCTTCACAATGTATGGAGCACGTTGACTGTCCCCTCACTTACAACAGTGTACCTGCGACAGCTGACAATCTGTCATACACTAACTCATGCTAAATCTTTCAAATAATTAACACTACCCAGTCCATAAGTATGTGAAACTAGTGGTATCAAAGCATTTTGTGTTCTGAACCACATTAAATAGGAATCCACCAGCCAGTTTGCACGTAAAGTGACAGTGGCATAATGAGGTGTCGGCTTCTGCTTGGGCCAGCTATGATAAAGGCATGAGCATCATATCAAAATGTAGAAATATTATGAAGCCATTAAATATTATATTTACCAGGATATTTTTAATAACTTGCTGCTGTTTCTATCTTAGCTGCCTTTTGCTTGAGTGTTTTGAAGAAGGTATGTCTCACTAAGACGCCTAAGTAACGTTGGGACTGTGCAGACAAAAGATCAAGGAGCCTATTGGCCAGAAGCATCTGGGAAGGCAGCCCACCCCTCCTTTCTGCAGTCATTGATTAAGGCAGAAGCTGAACAGTGAGCAGTCATCCCAGATGCTCACCATGGAACTGACTGTGAACACAAAGCAATGGGACAGTCTTCTACAAATTGTGCCCAAATTATTGACCTAAAAAGAGCCCTTGAGAAAGAACACTTCCTATGTGGGCTTAATGAAGGTAGAGTTAGACTGTTGGCCAAAGCACAGATATATACACAAACAAAGACTTTTGCAAAAATATTGTGTTTATTAGAGACAACTTAGAAAGTGTGTAACAAGGATTACATGCCTGTAATCCCAGCACTTTGGGAAACTGAGGCGGGCAGATCACCTGAGGTCAGGAGTTCAAGACCAGCCTGGCCAACATGGTAAAACTCCATCTCTACTAAAAATACAAAAATTAGCTGAGTATGGTGGTGGGTGCCTGTAATACAAGCTACTCAGGAGGCCAAGGCAGGAGAATCACTTGAACCCCGGAGGCAGAGGTTGCAGTGAGCCGAGGCTGCACCATTGTACTCCAGCCTGGGTGACAGAGTGAAACTCCATCTCAAAAAAAAGAAAGAAGAAAGAAAATGTGTAACAAATCACCACAACTAAAAAGTAACAGATTCATTCATGAACACCTCTGAGAGACATCAAAACATTTCTTAATCATGTTTCTAGGCTTTTTTTTTTCCCAATAATCCCTGATATTCTTAAACATTAGGTTGCTGACACTTCTTTTTTGTTGGTAGAGAGTGATAAAGCATTGCTTTGGAAAGTTAAGAGATAATCATTTCTATAAGAGCTAATGTTTCTCAAGTATGGACTATATGGCAAGCACTTTGCTGAGTTCTTTATGCATATACCAGGGAGGTCAAATACCTTGTCCAGTATCGCAAAACTGGTGAGGGAGGGTCAGAGCTGCCACTGCAACCCAGAAAGTCTGATTCCACAGCCTGAGTGCACACCTAGTATGCTATTTGTGTTTTAAATCAAGTTCATCAGCTTTATGGAGCCTCAGAGATCATGATTGGTTGTACACAGTGGGAGATACACATAAACCTAAAAGCATGTATAATTTAAAACGAGCTTCAGAAATCTTCTTTGACTTGGCTTATGTTGTTGAAGTCACCTTGAAAAGTCCCCAAGAGTGAGTGAGTGTGCATGTGTGTGTGTGTGTGTGTGTATAAAAGCTTGGAAGCTTCTGATTTACTATTAATAAAAATGTCATTCATGTTCGTTTCTGTTTTACAAACGATTTTTATGTGTATTCCATAAACCTCCTGAAAATCTTGAGAGAGAAGCAATCCATATATTAACTTCCCAGTTTTGCAGATGAGAACCCTGAAGGACTGTGTACCTGTTACACCACTGAACAATGGGAAAACCAGGTTCCCTGTCTCCCCATTCCATCTTGTTCCAGTATTCCATTCTACCTGTCCTCTTTGGATTCACTGGTAACCTTTAGTAAGAAAGTGGTGGCTGTGCTCCTAAATCTTTGGTAAATTAAATGAAAGGTTTTGTTTGTTTGTTTGAGACAGGGTCTCGTTCTGTGACCCAGGCTGGAGTGCAGTGGCTCAATCACAGCTCACTGCAGCTTCAACCTCCCAGGTTAAAGTGATTCTCCCACCTCAGCCTCCCCAGTAACTGAGACTATGGACACGTGCCACTACACCCGGCTAATTTTTAATTTTTTGTAGATATGTGGTCTCACTATGTTGCCTAGACTGGTGTCTAACTCCTGGGCTCAAGCACTCCTCCTTCCTCAGCCTCCTAAATAGCTAGGATTACAGGCACATGCCACCATGCCCAACAAAAGATTTTTTTGAAATCACAGCATGTGTCAGAGTCAAAACCATGACTAAGGCTGTGAATTCTTGAGTCTGCCGTGTGTCTGTGCCAGCAGCTCATTTTTGGACTTTCCATTTTCTTTCAGAGAATGAGATTCAGATTCTGTTGAGCTGAGAAGAAGATATGGAAAGCATATAAAATAAAAACAAATACTTGGATAATTTAAAGTAAGATCTCGTTGCTGAAGGGATTTTTTTTTTTCCTCCAGGAAATTAAAATTACTAAGAGATTTTCCCAGAGAGCTAATATTCCATCTTCACGCATTGTCTGGGAACATTGGCAGGACTTTTTTTTTTTTTTTTTTTTTTGTAAACATGTAGACACTCAGCGTTAAATTGAGTGCATCTCATTTCATATGTAGTGGCACTACCCTTTTCCTGTTATATCCAGTTTCTATTAAAATAGGTTAATTAAAATTTTCAAATGAAATTATTCTTTCTCCTTATCATCCTAACAGTTTACTGCCTCCTAATTGAAAAGGCTGTCACCGAGTTTGGACAGTTGTAGTTGCAATAAGAGGTCTCAGTCCCAAGCACCCATTGAGCATGCCCCAGGTGCCAGGCACTTTGCATGTGTTAATTCTGTTCTTATGCCATGTACATTATGCCCATTTTACAGATCGAGAAATATGTGCTCAGAAAGTTAAAGCCACACAGCTAGAAGCAGACAAGACTATAATCTGTGGTTTGATGTTATAACCTATCCTTCTTCTACCTATTTGTAATGTATTTGCAGGCTGGGGGACAGGTCTGGCCTGAAGACAAAATTAATCATAATTTTGATGAAGATAGAGGTACTTTTGCTGCTGGCAACTACCTACTATGGCTCACTATGTGCTAGACACTATTCTAAGCGCCTTATCCATTTAATCCTCCCCACAACCCCGTGAAGTAGAGATTGTTTTTGTCCCCATTTTCCAGATAAGCAAGTGAAGGCACACAAGGTTAAGTACTTTGCCCACATCAGTAAATGGTAAAGCCAGGATTCAAACTCGGATAGTGTGGCTCCAGGGTCAGTGTCCGTAATCATGACCTTTCATTTTTCACTGATGTCATACTGCATTATTTTTTAAAGAAATTAAGATTGAAAACTTGGGAGATTTTACATAAAAATACAGATTTCCAACTTGTCTTGAAAAATCAGAAGTTTGGCAACCCCAAGTCCACTCTCCTCCAGGGCACAAACTGTCTGGCACTGAGTGCCCAGCTCCCTTCAGCCTAGACCCACTCTCTACACGTCTCATTTGCATCTCTGGCCTGGCACTGGTGCACGGAGGAGTGTGTAGCCAGAGACTGCACCACTCTCTGCTCATTGGCGGCAGGGCAACACCTGTCCTAAGAGCTGGAGGTCCTGGTGATTCTGGAAAATGACAGGTTCAAACCAAGAAGCAGGTAGAGTAATTCCCAACTGAAATTAGAACTTTTTAAACAATTGGTTTTCTACATCATTTTTTCTTTTAGTTCATGGGAGAACTCTTAGTGTCTTTGTCTTTAAAATGTAGTTATTATACCACCTGAATATTCATCACCTGGGTACTTAAAAAGTGTACATTTTGGAACCTTACCCCAAACCTGTTTCCTGGAGGACAGAGCCAGAAATATGCATTTTAACAATCTCTCCAGGTGATTCTTTTATGCACTTAAGTGTGAAAAGTCTACCTTCCAAAGATATGCCAGAAATGAATCTTTGTTGGCTTCTAGAGAATTAAAGGTGACTCCTTTAATTCTTGCCGGGTTTTGAATTTATTTTGTTATTGATTAGTAATTTCTAAATTTTTCTTCTATGTTGGCCTAATTCCTTTCTGTTCCCTTACTTATAGTTGATCTATTAATCTGCACTCTTGGGTGCAAGTTGCAAAACTAACTCAAATTGGTTTAAGCAGGAAAGTGAATTTGGGGGTTCAAGCAAACAAAATGAGGGACATCCTTGATTTCAAGTATGAAATCAGAGATCAGAGGCTCAGTCAGTGATATTAGATGACTTTCTTCATCTTTCACCTCTCCTTTCCTCTGTGTGGACTTAATTCTCTGGCAGGTCATGTCAAGCTTTGTCAAGATGGCTCCAGCACCTGCAGCATGAGAACCTATTAGCAAACAGGCTCCAGCCTCAAGCGACCACCTCTGGCTTCATGGTTCCAGTAAATCTTCCATGTCTGACATTCAAATTTGTTTGCCTTAGATCATGTACCTATTCCTGACCTAATAACAAAGACAAAAATGATAGAATACTCCTGATTGGCAAGGAGTATGATGTAGAGCCAGGAGTAGGTCCCGTCCTGGACCATGTGGACCTGGAGTGGGGAGGGGCACCACAAGGATACCTGAGTGGTGCTAGCAGGAGAAGAGCAAATAGATGCAGGGCTGGGAATACCTACAGGCAGCCTCCTCAAGGGTGGTAGATTATTGGTGGTGGTGGTGTTAGTTTAGTAGGCTTGGCATGTCTTCCATCCAGCTTTCAGATTACCTTTACTCTCATGTGTGTCATTGGGAGCTTCTCATCAGAGAAAGCTTTGAAAACAGCCTTTTATCATTCTTCACTCTGTTTTTGCTAAATCAGAAATGTCTACAGAATTACTGTGGGAGATAGAAATTCACTACATACCCTGATTATTCAGTTTTAAAGCCCTGTGGAGATTGACATTTAATATCATCGGCCTCTATAAAAATTCAACCAGAATGTCAATAATGCCATTCGGGGATACTTTGATGACATCACCCCTGATGTTTCTAGTTAATAAGAAGGCAAGGAGACTCAAGTATTTCGAGCCTTCTTTTAAGACTCAAGTCATATCAGTCCACCCACATGATACTGTTCTGGGGGTAACTCTTGGTTTTCACAGGAACATAACTTTTTCAAAAGAGGTTCCAATCTGACTCACTGGTATAGCTCTCTCCATATTCTAAACTTTTGTATACGTTTCAGCTTAATTAACCATTCTTTGATCTTTGCCAGTGTCTACCAAAAATATTTATACAAATATAAAAATAACTTATAAAATCGTTTATACAAGAGTGGACAGTAATGCCACTGTGTCTGTGTTTTCACCCTGGATACTTTTTTGTGCCCAAACATCTTCTGACTAATGAAATCAAATGATACCTATGGAATGAGGGTGCAGATCCATCTGTGTTTTGATGGCCTTCTTAGTTTAAGAGTTTGAGTCATGAATTGGTTTCTTCTTTGACATTTCCAAGATTGTGAGCAATGCATTACTTGGGATTTTTTCCCCCTTCTTTTTAAGTAAAATAAATTTCATTGATCATTTCGATGCTTTCTAATTAAGGCACAGACATCTAAATGAAATCGAAGTAATAGTTAATGGCCAGGAATTAGGAAAGGATAAGAGCATTTAAGAATATAGATGTGTATAGTTGCATACTTCCCGGGTATGGGGTATGATTGCTGAATACCATTTTTTTTTTTTCTCTCTCTCTCTCTCTCACCTCTTCACATGATTAAGCAGCCGATTCTGGTGAACAAGAGGAGCACACTCTCCAAGAAACAGCATTACCACCTGTGAATAGTAGCATCATCGCTGCTCCCATCACGGACCCTTCTCAGAAGTTCCCTCAATACCTACCTCTTTCTGCAGAGGATAATTTAGGTCCTCTACCTGAAAACTGGGAGATGGCCTATACTGAAAATGGAGAAGTCTATTTTATAGAGTAAAGTATACCATTATTTCTACCTAAATCTCTCTCTCTTTCTTTTCCCTTCCTTCCCTCTGTCTAGCAGTTGCCAATGTAAATTACATTTAAGGGATTGATCACCCACTGATGGTATTTTTTAATAAGGTTTAATAAGTTTTGCATAAAAAGGTAATTAATTATTACCAACTTATCGATTCTCAACAGTTTGAGGAAGCATAAGGTTAATCATTTCCCTAAAGGTTTAGACAACTAAATTATGGTATATAGAAATTATGACATAATATTCAAAGAGCATATTTAACCATTAAAAATAAATATATTTTTATATATTTAAATATTTTAATAAATATTTAAATATATTTATAAATATTTAAATATATTTAAAAATAAATATATTAAAAATAAATATATTGCTTTTTTTTCTTAATTGAACTACAGTGTCCTTATTGTTTTAAGACTTCTTCATATATTCTGGATATAATTCCTTTATCATATATGTGATTTGTATGCATTTTCTCTAAGTCTGGCTTTTCTGTTCATTGTCTCCATCAAAATCTTAATTTTGATAAAGTCTCATTTATCAGTTTTCTTTTTAGTCAATTGTGCTTTTGCTGTAGTAGCTAGGAAATCTTTGCCTAACACAGAGTCGTAAATATTTTCATTTTTTACATTTTGTGTTTAGGTCTGTAATGCGCAAGTTAATATTTTTCCATGGTGCAAGGTGTATGAATTAGGTTTGAGAACAGAGAGACAGGAAAGTCTTTCAGATTTATAAAATGTAAATACTAGCTTTTCTGAAAAGGAAAAAAAAAAGCCGACATTTGAAACCATTCTGGAAAATCTAAGATAATGTGGTTTTCCTAACCAACAGTAGTCAGTTTTTAAATGCAGTATTTTGACTTTATTATCCTATCATTGAGATTCACCATGTTTTAATGTACCACTGAGAAAGAAAAAGAAAATGGCTGATTAAATTTAAAAAAAATACCACAGATTCATCTGTTATACTCGTATAGATTGAAACTGATCTACTGTTAAGTCAACAATAACGAAGGGGAGGACATTGCAGAAAACTATGAGAAGGATCTCAATTTTGCAAATTATACATGTATACACACATATCCTACATCTATTCTCTGTGAGCATTTGTTTCTGTTAATATGTAGATCAAGTTCTAGGCACAGAAAGTTCTAGAAGTATCTATTAACAGTTGGGTTTGAGTTAAGTAAATAACTTACTTTCTAACCACATTTTTCATTGATATGCGTTGTGAATTTTTTATACTTTGTGTGTGTGTGTATACACACATTTATTTATTTATTTATTTATTTATTTATTTATTTATTTATTGTTTCCCTTCCTGAGATGGGGCCTCACTGTATTGCCTGGGCTAGAGTGCAGTAGCATGATCATAGCTCACTGCAGCCTCTATCTCCCAGGCTTAAGTGATCCTCCTGCCTCAGCCTCCCAAAGCGCTGGGATTACAGGTGTGAGTCACCAAGCATGACATACTTAGCATATGTTTTATAATTAGAAAAAACAATGAAAATTAGGTAGTATGATTTTTCTAAACATATGAGAGTTAGAGAAAAGGCTTGGAACTCAGAACACCCTCTTTGACAGCCGGGTGCAGTGGCTCACGCCTGTAATCTCAGCATTTTGGGAGGCCAAGGCAGGCAGATCACCTGAAGTCATGAACTCTAGACCAGCCTGGCCAACATGGCGAAACTCCATCTCTATTTAAAAATACAAAAATTAGCCAGGTATGGTGGTGCATGCCTATAGTCCCAGCCACTTGAGAGGCTGAGGCAAGAGTATCACTTGAACCTGGGAGGTGGAGGTTGCAGTGAGCCGAGATTGCACCACTGCACAGCTTGGGTAACAGAGCAAGACTCTGTCTCAAAAAAAAAAAAAAAAAAAAAAAAAAAAAGAATACCCTCTTTGAGAATCTACCCGGGAAGAGTTCTGAGATAAGTGAAATAGAGCTTCTGTGCTATTTTCCAGCCAGAGAGAGGGGACAACCCATGTTTCTGTCTTCATGTTAATGACAAATGCTTTTTAAAGATAAGGATAAAAGAAGCAGTCTTTTCTTGAGAGTCAAGAAGTGTATTAGTTAAGAGCTCAACTAAAGGGTCATGTTGTTTCCATCATTTACAAGTTATTTGACCTTAGGAACTTGAGTTTACTTCTTGCATCTCAGCTTTCTATACATATATATAAAAAGAGGACTTGAATATTATGAATTGTACCTACCTTGTCAGACTGTTGTAAGAATTAGAGGAGATAGAGAAGCTAAAGTTCTTGGGCTAGTAGTAATTAGTGATCACTATTGTTATTGTTACCATTTTCATCATCATTATCTGTGGTTATTCTGAGGAGTTTAAACATTGTTATAAAAATGGATACCAACCATAAACTCAGGATTTTTTACTTAGCTTTTGCATTAAATTGCCTTCGAAATTATGTCACATTAGTAAAGAAGAATTACGCTGAGAAAAGGGAAGGATAATAGGTGTTCCTGGTACAGAATAATCTGTGAAACTCAGATTCTTAGAAAAGAATGTACCAGTAATTTTGTTCAAGACTGACTTGATATATTGGAAAAAGGGAAGGTGGATATCTTGATGGTTAGCAGGATGCTGGCCTCCTAAACTATGGCTGGCTTACAAGAGAATGTAGTGATTTGCCTACTTTTTATAACTTAGGTTTTAGCTGATGTGAAGCCAATGTTTCATTTACCTAAGGTTTAGTAGAAAACTTATACAAAAATGTGGCTAATGATAATTATGGGATTTGGGCTGCAACTATCAAATTTCATATATATTAAGTGATTAGATACATATCATTTATATTTTAGCCTAAATTATATATACTTGTTACTTTGTTTTCATGTGTTTTTCATTCCGAAACACTTCTTTTTAGGATATCTTCCATTGAATAGCAAATTAAACCGCATTAGAACCAGATCTACCTTGTTTATGCATGTACGTGTATGTACACTCACATGCAAATATATACACATTTGTTTTATAGTTTTTGGGAAGTTGAAGAAATAGTAGAAATTTAAAAGAACATTAAAAAATCAAGCATGGATTTATAAACCTTTGGCATTGTATAGAAAACAAACATAAGAAGACTTTGAAAGGAAGAGCAAATAAGACAGACTGGCTAGGGAGCATGGGATCAAAGGAATACTAGGTGGTGAGTTCCCTTTCTGTTTTACTCCATTTATCCAGACTTAAAGCTAAAGAGCCAGCAACCCAGAAATGCCTACAGATAGAGGCAAATAAAGCCCTGATAAAAGCGTGCTCTCTCTAGCCAAAGGATCAGGAAAGGGGCATCCTACAAGACAGAAAACTTTTATCCAACAACCATTCTACTCCAGCAACAGTGCAGAAAAACCTGTGGTCCTACGCCCCAAGGGTAGAAGCTTGACAGGCTGTGGGACTAGGAGCTGAAACCTCCCTGCTGGGTGGCGTCAGAAAAGGCCAAGTGTAGAGCTGGCACTTTGCATCCAGGCAGTAAGGAAATTCCCCTTATTTCCACATAGATTTAGTGGAGACCACTTGAGGGAACTCAGGACTTCCACCCCACCTGGCAGTAATGAAACACCCTCTTCCTCCCCACTGGTGTGGTGTCAGAGGAGGTTTAGAGGAGAATCAGGATTTTTACCCCCATCCAATGGTGAAGAGCCCACCCTCTCCCTGTGGAGTCAGAGAGGCCAGCTTGGGAGCAATAGTGAGATAGTCCTACCCCTCCCAGCCTAGCTGGTATCAACAAAGGCCTGGTGGGGAGCTCAAGCCACTATCCCCACCCAGCGGTAAGAAGGAGCCCATTCCCCTCTCCGGTGTCAACAAAAGCCAAATGGAGACCCCACCTAAAAGTAACAGATAGCCCCCTTTCCTCTTTTCGGCCATATTAGGAAAAGCCCATAGAAGGTTTAAGATCCAGACCCCTATAATGTAATACCAAAAAATCCATGTTAATAAAAAAAATCACTTATTATCCTAAGAATCAGGAAGATATCAAAATGAGTGAAAAAAGGCAATGAGTAGATACTAACACAGCGATAACAGCACTGTTAGAATTACCTAACAGATTTTAACGCAGCCATCATAAAATTACTTCAGCAAGCAGTTATACCATGCTTAAGCCAAGTAGAAAATTAGAATGTTTCAGCCAAAAATAGAAAGTCTCAGCAAAGCCATAGATGATTTAAAAAAAGTAGAAAATTTTCAACTGAAAAATACAGTAGCCAAAACAAAAAGCTTAGTAGATGGATTCAACAGCAGAAGAGAGTGGGGAGAGGAGAGAATCAGTGGACCTGAAAATAGAAATTACCCAATAAGAACAATAGAGAGAAAATCAACTGGGGGAAGAAAACCAACCAACCAACAAACAGAGCTTCAGGGGCATTTGGAACAGTAACAAAAGATCTAACATTTATTTCATTGGAGTCCCAGGGGAATAGAAAGTGGGTAGGACTGAAAAGAAAAGTACTTGAAGAACTAATGGTTGAAAATTTTCTGAATTTGGCAAAAGAAATAAACCTACAGATTCAATAAGCTGGCTGAATCCAAAGAAAACTACAGCAAGACACATTCATAGTCAAATTTTTGAAAACTAAAACCAGAAAAAGGTTGAAAGCGATGAGAAATGACACCCTATGTATGTTAGTGAAACAAGTAAAATGACAGCATATTTGTCATCAGAAACAACAAAGGCCGAAAGGAAGTGGCATAGCATTTTTCTAGTGCTGAAAGAAAAGAAGAATTAACCCAAAATTCTACATCCAGTGAAAATAACCTTTAGGAATCAAGGGAAAATGAAAATATTCTTAGACGAAAGAAAACTAAGAAAATTTGCTGCCAGCAGGCCTACTCTCAATAAATGGCCAATGGATGTTCTCTAAACAAAAAGAGAATTCTAAAACAATACCAAAATTCTAAAAAAAAAAACAACCAACAAAAACAATGAGGAAAAGAGAAGAATGGAGAAAGTAAAACTATAGATAAATAAAATACTTTTCTTCATCTTTTGAGTTTTCTTTTTTCCCATTTTTATTGAGATATAATTGGCATCTCTTTAAATTTTCCAAATTAGGTTTGAGTGTTGAAGCAATAATAGTACTGTTTAATGTTTCTAAATGTGTGTAGAGAGAATATTTAAGGTAATTCATTATAAGTGAGGGAGGGTAAAAGAATATCAATGGAGATAAGGTTTATCTACTTCAGTCAAAGCGGTAAAATGATAATGCCAGTAGACTATAAGATATATAAAATATATTTATAGATTATATATATATATATATAAAATGTGTGCATATATATGTAATGTAGTACCTAAAGCAGCCACTTAAAAGCTATACAAAGGAGATATACTCAACAGTACTGTAGATATATAAAAACAGAATTCTAAAATATTCATGTAACCCACAGAAAGGCCAGAAAAATAAAACAGAGGAAAGAAAAACAGAACAAAAAGAAAATTACAAACAAAATGGAAGACTTAAGCCCTAACATATCAATAACTACATTTAATAAAGTGAACTAAATACAGCACTTTAACGATGGGGAATGGCAAAGTGAATTAAAAAGCATGACCTAATTGTGTGCTATCTATGACGCATGATTTCAAATGTAGCAATATAGGTATGTTGAAAGTAAAGGATGGAAAAATATATCTTGTAAATGTTAATCGAAAGAAGCAAGAGTTGACATATTAATGTCAGATACAGTAGGAAAATCTCCAA